>NC_000007.14:155579193-155892258 GCF_000001405.40 Homo sapiens | reverse complement strand
TCACAACCACAACCACCAGCACAACCACCTCTATCACCTCCATCAACTCCACCACAACAGCCACCATCTCCATCTCCACCACCTCCACCACCACCTTCACAACCACAACCACCTCTATCACCTCCATCAACTCCACCACAACAGCCACCACCTGCACGACCTCCACCACCACCTTCACCACCTCCACCACCACAACCACCTCTGTTACCTCCATCAACTCCACCACAACAGCCACCATCTCCATCTCCACCACCACCACCTCCACCACCACCTTCACCACCTCTATTACCACAACCACCTCCATCACCTCCATCACCCCCACCACAACAGCCACTACCTCCACCTCCACCACCTTCACTACCAGCTTCACCACCTTCACCACCACTACCTTCACCACCACTACCTTCACCACCGCAACCATCACAACCACCTCTGTCACTTCCATCACCCCATCCCCACAACAGCCACCACCTCCACCTCCACCTCCATCACCTCCACCACCTTCACCACCTCCATCACCACAACCTTCACCACCTTCACTACCACTACCTTCACCACCTCGACCACCATAACCACCTCTATCACCTCCACCACCACCCAGCACCTCCACCACCTCCTCCACCACCACATTCATCACCTCTCCCATCTCTACCCCCTACCCCCATCCCCTTCACCATCACCTCTATCATCACCAACAACATCATCACATCCACTACCAACCCACCTCCATCACCTCCACTGCCTCCATCATCTCCACCACTTCCACCACGATCACCACCTACACCACCACCACCTTTACCACTTTCACCACCATCACCACCTCACCACCACAACCACCACAACCACCGCCACCACCACCTACACCACCACCACCTTTACCACTTTCACCACCATCACCACCTCCACCACTATCACCACCTCCACCACCTCTACCGCCTGCACCACCTCCACCACCTCCAGCAACTCCACCCCAGTACTACCACCATCTTCTTCACCTCCATCACCACCTTCACCACCTGCACCACCTCCACCACCTCCAGCAATTCCACCCCAGCACTACCACCATCTTCTTCACCTCCATCACCACCTTCACCACCTCCATCACCATTACCTCCATTGCCTCCCCCATCCCCACTACCTCCTCCACCTCCATCACTTCCCACACCACCTCCACCACCATTTCTACCATCTCACCACATTCACCACCTCCACCACCACCATCACCTCCATCACTCCTACCACCTCCCTAATAGCTATGCCCCTTCTGGTGAAGCAGGGCTAAATGCTACTGTCTTCTGGTCTCTCTGGAGAAAGCTTTATGGGAGAGGAAAGGCTTCAGCAATCCAAAACGCTCTATTTAGAAGCCACAGATGGTTTTTAGACCTCTTTGCTTATGATCCCCTTTTGGGGGGCTCCAACAAAGCCCGCTGGAGGAGAGTCCATGGCCAGCGCCCCTCTCTTGGGGAAATCATTTGGAAGAGCCCAGCCATGTCCCAGGCCACAGAATGCCACTCAGGTCTCGGGGCCCTGGGCAACTCTCGTCTAGAGAGGCTGCTCTTGGAATGCATCAAGAGCTCCGTCTTGGAATCTGTCCTTTCTGAGGGGTGTCCTCATGGCCAGCACCCCTCTCAGACCAGCTGGAGTCTCTCGGGTCTTGCCCTGTGCACTCTGCAGTGTCTGCCTTGGCACCAAGGCCCTCCTCACCCCTTGGCTGTGTCTTAAGGGTCTGTAGAAGTTTAGGCTTCCCAAGGCTGCTCCTCCTCCTCCACCTCTCAGAAGGCAGTGGAAGGCAGACGGAAAACCTTCCGTTTACTGAGCAGTAGGTGCTGGTAAACTCCCTTCTGTGCTAGAACAGCTGCGAGGGCAAATAACGGAGGGCGTTGTCCCCCAAACACAGCTGCTGCGAGTGAGCAGACCTGCGGAAGGGCGCGCCGAGGCCAGTGACCTTGGCTTCCCTTGCAGTTGCTTAGGGAGAGTTGAGATGGAGTTGAGTGAGGCCCAGGCTGGGGCCTGCACTCTTTGCACCACATAGAGCTCCTCTGTGTCCGGCTGCCAGGCCATGGGACATCCCCCGTATTGAAGGTGGGGCTGGGAAAAATGTCCTTCGGCCAAAAAGTAAACCACTAGTGTGTGCCCAGGCTTTGCCAATTTTATAAGAAGTGGATTTATTTCCTTCTTACCTCCAAAGAGGGCAGGGGAGAGCGTATGTGGGTGCAGCAGGCAGGTGCTGAGCACCTGACTCCACGGAGAAGGCCTCGCCAGGCAAATTCGCGGGAGCCGAATGCAGACCAAGAATTAAGGAGCAAGTCAAGTGAGAAGGGGCATCTGTCCCCCAGCCTAGTGCACTCAGCTGCACAGCATCCCGGTGAGGGGTGTGACCTGGATGCCAGGGGACTGGAGCTGGGGTGCTGGGGGCTGTTGAGTCCCCCAGAGGTCATGGCCAGCCCTGGGCAGCCTGTTTCATGCCTCTGAGGAGAGACTTGAGCACTGGAATTGATGAAGGTGTTCAGGTTCATTCAGACCCACTCCTAGGACAGGGGCCAATGCAGGACACGTGACGTGGGGACGTGGTGACAACGGCAGGCACTGGCTTTCCATTCACTTCCCCATTGCCCTGGATTGGTTCAGGGCAGGAGTGGCCCTGAGCTGCCATCATCCGCCTCCCACCTGCAATCGGAGCAGTGAAGGCCACGTGCATTCAAGCCAGAGCTTTGGAGTCGGGGCTGAGCTCAAACCTTGCCTCTCCTGGCTGCATGAGTGAGCTATCCATCGATTACAAGCCTCGGGTCCTCTCCCATTAAATGGAAATAGCAAGACTTCCTTCTCCTAGGGACGTGGTAAGGGTTGAAAGTGTGATTACAAACAAACAAAAAAAGGGGTTAGCACCAAAAGTGACTCCCAGGCAGCCCTCAGTGGACAGTTCCGAGTACAGAGGCGGAGGTGCTACAGTGAAAACGTCTGAAGTTCAAGGCCCAGCCTATCACTAAGTAGTCTGTGACCCGTGAGCTGGGACTGAGAGGCTTCCCAGTATGCGAGACGTTCCTTGCTAAAACTCAGAAAGTCCAGGCAAACTGGGGTGAGTTGGTCACTCTAGTTGGGAAAGTCATTTCACCCTTATAAAGTCGCAATGATGCCATCCAGTTCAGAGGGCCCTCGGCAAGACGTGTGTGAAAGTCCTTCCTGTTCACCAAGTGATGCACTAAGGAGGGGCAGCTGTCCTTGTCACTGTTGTCACTGACACTCCCCTGATCAAGTCCCTTTGCCGGTACAGCCCACACACCCAAGGGCTTTCAGCAATGACACCCTGGGGCAGCAAGCATGCCACCATCTGTGCGTTCCCCTCACCACAATCAAATGTGCCCACACTTCAGCCTGAAAGACCTGACAAGGAAAATCCCTCCACCACTTGCATTGTCTGGGTCCCAAACAGAACAGCAACAAGATCAGAGTTGCTGGGCAACAATCAATAAATAACAATGACCAGTAATGTGACATGGGTTTATTATGTACATGGAAATTCAGTTTCACATAGTTAAAAAGTTGTCCTCAAAGAAAAAAGCAAAACCTAGGCTCTTCATGGTAATCTCTGGCAAAGTGAGGTTCCTAAACTTCCAGCTTAACTAAGTTAGCTGAATGGCAGGCCTGGTTTTATAAAACAAAGAAAGCAAAAGCTCCACGTACTTCTAAGGTCTAGGGGGCTGGGGTTAGTATAGAAAGTTAGATTTATAGGGTGACTAGGCATTGACTGATGGGACCCACAGGAGACAGAGAAGACCCTAAGGGAGGGGACGAGGCCATTGTGTGGATGGGGCCACCAGCCGACACACTGGACACTGCCAGGCTGGCATGGTTTGAGATAGAGTAAGGGTGAAGTTTCCCAGGCTCTTGCCTGTAATCCCAGCACTTTGGGAGGCCAACGCGGGCAGATCATCTGAGGTTGGGAGTTCGAGACCAGCCTGACCAATATGGAGAAACCCCGTCTCTACTAAAAATACAAAATTAGCCAGGTGTGGTGGTGCATACCTGTAATTCCAACTACTCGGGAGGCTGAGGCAGGAGAATTGCTTGAACCCGGGAGGCAGAGGTTGCGGTGAGCCGAGATAGTGCCACTGCACTCCAGCCTGGGCAACAAGAGCGAAACTCTGTCTCAAAAAATAAAATAAAATAATTAACCATAACGTTAATTATGACCCAGCAATTCCACTCCCACCAATGCACCCAGGAGACATGAAACTGACATTCATACGAACAACCTGCACATGAATGTTCACAGCAGCATTACTCACAATCCCCAAAACAAGGATGCAACCCACACGTCCACCCACAGATAAGTGCATCAATAAAATAGAGTCTGTTCGCGCACTGGGCTGTTACTCCACCGTGGGAAGGAATGAAGGCCCGATGCACGCTACCACATGGATGAACCGTGAGAACATGCTAAGTCAAAGAGGCTGGTCGTGTTGTATGATCCCACCTGAAAATATGAAGTGTTCAGAATAGGGACCCCTCAGAGACAGAAACTGGATTTGTGGGCGCCATGGACTGGGGAAGGGAGGATAGAGGAGTGACAGCTACTGCACACAAGGTTTCTTTCACGGTGATAAAAATGTTTGGGACTTACTAATGATGATGACTGCACAACTCTGAAATATACTAAAACATACGAATTGCACACTTCTAAATGGTGAATTTTATAATAAGTGAATCATAGCTCAATTTTTAAAATTAAATTAAAAAATAATAAAACAGCAAGGGCCAAAGCAGCCCAGCCCTGGAAGGGCGGTTGGTAGGTTGGCCTGGCCCCCAGTCCTCACACCCCACCACTGCCGCCTCTGCCCGGCCCCCTCAAGACCAGGGGCCCAGGCCGACACCCCTCCACACCGGGGGAGCCACAGCCAAGTGCAGAAGCTCCAGCCCTGGCTCGGCACGCCTCCTGTCCGACCTGGCCACGCAGCTCTCTCCTGCACAGTCGGAATTCCTTCCACCCCCAGCCCACAGTGCAGCCATGGCAGGACAGGGGAAGACCAGGGGTGAACCATCTGGGTCGCCCTTGAGGGAGAAGAGACCCAGAGAGAAGAGGTCAAAAGAACGCTCTCAGGCAGAAACCGAGTGGCTTCCTGGGCCTGGGAACTGCAGTCCCTGGAGGAGACACCAGGCCAGGGACGAGGACCACGTGCTTGACTGTGCGAGCTGCATGAGCGATTGTGCAGTCCCTGAGCGGGTCTGGCAGCTCCAAAGTGCTTCGCAAAATCAGGACGCCCGGGGTGCTGGAGTCACACTCAGCGCTCTCTGCCAATCTGGGTTAAGCCCTTTCCAATCCCTGCAGGAGCACAGCCAGTCGGCAGGTCTCAGCTCCCATGTCTCACGGGGAAGAAACAGAGGCAGAGATGAGTCCAGGGAGGCTCCCACGGCCTCCCTCAGCTGTACGTGGCGGCAGGGCACCCATACCAGGCGCACGCCCTCAGCGGAGCTGCATGGGTCTGCCCGTGATGTGGAGCCTGGAAGAAGCCGACGTGCAGCAAGTCTTGGATGGGAAGATCATGAAGAACGCAGGCGTCCCTCTGAGCCCCTTCACCCCGCCAGCCCCACCCCAGGCTCCCAGCTTGCCCTCCGAGTTGGCCTTGTCAGGGAAAGGAGCCAGCAGACGCCCTCTCGCTCAGGTGAACAGGACCACCTCCGGGCTAAGCCTTCCATTCCAGTCTGTCCTCCCTGTGATCGCACCCGTAAAACCACATTCTGCTCCCCCACACCCTCTCCACGTCTGCGCATGCTTGCCCATTTTCTCACCCACAGGGGTGGGCGTCCCTCACCCCACGCCCTCTCCACGTCTGCACACGCTTACCCATGTTTCTCACCCACAGGGATGCACTTCCCTCACCCCACGCCCTCTCCACGTCTGCACACGCTTACCCATGTTTGTCACCTACGGGGATGCGCTTCCCTCACCAGGCTGCACCCTCCGTGACACAGGGCAGTGTTGCCCACTCTACATCCCGTGTCCAGCACAGGGTCTGATAAATATCGACAGAGTGAATGAATGAGTGAATGAATGAGTGAATGAATGAACGGGGACTCATGGATTTCTGCTACTCACCTCCCTCAGAGCATCTTCACCATGGAATGAGCAAAGCCACACAACTCCCCAGGACCCTCAGTGTCTGAGGAAGGGAAGGAAGCTTCAAGGCCACTCAATCCAACCTCCTTCCCAGAACTGAAACCCCCAAGCCTGCTTCCCAGGACGTCTGTCCCTTCTGCCCGGCGTGCACTCACAGGCCCCACTCTGACTGTGTAGAATCGGGGGGCTGTTTTCAGGGTGCCTTGCTCACTTCCCTAACACCTCATCCCTCCCGCCCCCACCAACGCCAAAGGAAGAAGGAAAAGGATGGGGGAGGAGGAGGGAAGAGAAAAGAAGAGAATCAAAAGAGAAACACAAGTCTAATCATCGAATAGCCCAGCGTGTGCCGAGAGGAAACGGGAGGCGGGATGAGCTCACAGCCCTGGGAAGGGAAGGGCAGGAGGCCCGGCCAGGCAGTGGTGACTCAGGGCTGTGCTTTTGTGACTTGTCCACAATGGTGGGGCGGTACACGGGCTCCACGCAGAACAAAGCAGTTCTATGGAGCAGCTACCAAACCCAGGGCAGAGCTGGGAGCAAACACTCGGGGAAGAAAGGCAGCTCCTGGGTGTGGGCTGGGGGCCGCAGGAAGTGCAGGAGCATTCATGGGTCTTCCAGGAAGCAGCGTGCTCACAGGGCACCCAGGACGGAGGAGGGGGCACAGAGGCCCACGCTGAGAAGACTCAGCCACAGGATGAACTGCTAGACTAGGCTGGAAAATATTTGAGGCCAAGGAGCGACCTCACCCTACGGCTTTCCAGGACTCCAGGCAGCATCCACAGGCTCCGTGTAAGGCCCAGCTCCTCAGGCTCTGGCCAGAGCTTGTGGCACCGGCCTGGCCCTGCCAGGTGTCCCTAGGCCTGCCTGGCCCCTCTGGTTTGTACCAACTTTAAGCACAAGGATGGCTGCTGCCTCCATCTGCATTCTTCCTGGGACACCCCCTCCTTGCACAAGCTTTGAGGCACCTGAAAGTCCACAGCGTCTCCCCATCACTGCAATCCCCGCGACACTTCTGCCACCGCAGGCACACCCAGCAACAAGGCATTCGCAGGAACCAAGGGCGAACACAGGCAGAGCAGGTGCCCAACAGCTGTGTGGCCTCTGAAGCCTCAAGCAGTCCAGAGCTGAAGTCAACCCAAGAGAATGCCACCAGCCTCTGTGACGGGCTCCAGGGGCCCTACGAGGGGCCTGCCCCTTCCTGACCCACGGCCCCCCTCTGGGGCTCAACTCAGTCTCCCGTTGCTCTAGCTGTGTGGTGTGACCTCTGCATCTCACCTCCTGTGCCATACAGTGCCACTACATCAGGGGTCTTCACGCCTGTGCATAAAGGGCACAACCCCATTTAGAAACCCTCTCCCAGCAAGTGTGCTCTTTGCTACTGGGCTCCCGGCTCCGGGGAACCGGCCTGAAGGGGCCAGGCCTTAGGACAGCCCCTCTTGATAGAGACAGAGTTTTATTTGTTCCTTGTTGAAAGTGTCTCTGGTACCTGTTCACCCACGAGGGCTGAGAAGGTGGTGAATGGGTGCAGGCACAGGTGCCTAGGAAGGGCTGTCCCCCACACTCTCCCGCAAACCAACATCACAGCAAGGGCAGAACCAGGAGCTACCCTGTAGGTAGCCGAGAGCCCCGTGTGCTGAGCAAGCTGACATTTCCCCATCCGTCCTTGCTGTCAGCCACTTGCTGCCCTGCTGAATGTCAGCTCTGCCTCCGGACGCCCAGAGTGGATGGCCAGGCCTCTGCTCCAGCAGCAGACGAGCACAGCGCGGGGCTGGGGGGCTGGAAAGCAGTCTTCCTTAACAAATACAAAACCCCCTGAGTAAGCTTCCCAGACCACTCAAACCAAACCCACCCACCCCCGGCAAATCCCTCTCCCTCACAGCACCTTCAGGGCTACCCAGCCTCTAAGAACCTGCTGTTGACATCCAATTCTTTAGACGTTTTCCTAATCAGATAGGATTTCCAGCAGGAACAGAAATGAATGGGGCACCTCATGAAGTCAAGTGAGCCCCACAGGGACTGAGGGGCTGTCCTCCTCCAGGCCCAGCAGAAGGCTCTTTGACTCCCTTTCTTGAAAGCGCGTCCCTTGCACCCTCCAGCCTATGTCTCAGATCACACCGGTCATTCCTTGGACGGACGGGCCACCCATGGCATCACCTGGAATACAGCACGGGGCACCACCATTAGGAGTCCAGGGCCTGATGCAATCACAGGGCAGGAAAGTGAAAGACAAACAGGAAAGGAAGCAAGAAGGAAGGAGAGACACCAACAGGACACCCCAGCCCACTGTCTTGGGGGCAGCTCATACCAAGAACAGGAAGAGGAGCTGCAGAGGCCATACAGGAGCCTGGAAACCACGTGGGAAGTAGCAGCGAGGGATCACCCGAGCCCTGGCCTAGGCATGCGGGTGGGTCGGGACGGGACTGGTCCAGCAGCCACTTCTGTCCCTGCTTACTCTGCCTGGCCACCATGGCAGACAGGAGCTCTGCTCAGGGACCCAGGGTGGGAGCCTGCCCATCTCTGCGCATGCTTTCAGGATCACGGGGGCGAGGAAAAGAGTGTGATGTGCTGGCTCTTGGAGCTTCTGCCCCAAAGTGACACAGGCCACTGCCACACATATTTCATTGACTCAGGCAAGTCACACAGCCACTCTCAGGTCCAGCAAGGTGGAAATGTGTAATCCTTTCACAGGAGGGGCACCAGGTATTGTTAAACAATCATGCAGACCATAGCAGAGGGAAAATTGGTACAAGCATCTTAGAGAACAGTTGACTGTCTAGGGGAGCTGAGGAAATACACATCCTAGGGTCCAGCAATTCCACTGCTGACAACACAGCCTAGAGACACTTAGGCCCATACACAGGCCACGCAGACCAGTGATGCTCCTAAGAGCTGGAAACGACTCAAATAGCCATCAAATGCAGAATGAGTACAAGATGATGGCACATTTAGAAAGACAGACCCATATACAGCAATCGAATGAACAAGTTAGAACTGCAGGCAGCAACATGGACTAATCTTAAAAACATCATGTTTAGCAAAATCAATGACTCAAAAGAACATCAACAGTGGAATTCCACTTTATAATCTTTGAAAAACAGCAACACTAAATCCTATTTTAAAGACACATGCGTTGTTCAAAACTACAGGGCCAAACAAGGAAGGGCTCCACATGGAAGTCAGCAATGGGGCTCCTCACGAGGAGGGAGGAGAACTTCTGGGGAGACAGCAGGGTCCTGCTTCCCTGAGTCAGTGGGAGAATCACACTGTTGTTTACAATTATTCACTATGCTGTCTGTGAATTTTATGCATTTTTTGTTTGCTTTATATTTCACAATTAAAGGTTTTCATAAATGGAAGCACGATGAATAATGCATTTGGTATTATTACACACGCAGTGAAGTCAGCGTGGGCCAGAGGGCAGGAGCAAGGAGACCTGCTGTGTTCCCTACATCCCCAAGAGGCCCGGATGGAGATGCTCAGCCTCCTGGGCCCTGAGTTTCCTGGGTGGCTACAGAAGTGTGCCAGAACAATTGGGTTTTAAGTCTCTCCCCTCTCTTTTTTATTTTTATTTTTTTGGTTGGGGGGCGTCAGGGTCTTGCTCTGTCACCCAGGCTGGAGTGCAGTGGTGCTATAGCAGCTCACTGCAGCTTTGACCTCTTGGGCTCAGGCGACCCTCCCGCCTCAGCCTCCTGAGTAGCTGGGACCACAGGCACACTCCCCAAGCCTGGCTGTCTCCTGCCTTTCTATTGTAGATTCTGATTCATATTAGGACAGAAAATCCTCTCGCTGTGATCCTGTGAAGAGTCTTTCATCCGAGACACCATGGGCCTTCCAAACAGAAACACCTCCATTCCTTCCCAGTGGCGAAAGGACATGAAGAAAGCCCTTCCTTCAGGGCCCGCGTGGCCGCCGTGGGCTCCGCCTCTGCCCCGCCTCGGGAGGGAGCGCTGTCGTGGGAGAGCTTTCTGTTTCAGGTCAGCTGACTGCGTCCAGGAGACTGGAGGGAGCCCATCACCGCCTGCCCCGGAATCACCGATTGGGAAGAATCCTTGGAGGCAGCCTCAGCTGACGCCTCCATTTCTGACTGACAGTAGTGTAGCGACCATCGCGGTCACGTTTGGCGTATTTCTCCTTGCCTCGTCTACCTCAGCGACAACCAAGTGAGGCAGGTACTGTCATAACCTTCATTTCACAGATGGTGAAAAGGAGGCTTTGGGACGTTCACGGTCATGTGACTGGTCAGTGGTGCATATAGAGCGACAGTAGCCCTAGAGAGGGTTGGTGGTGACCTGCCTCGGGCACGTCCGGTGCTGGTGAAAATTAAGACCGAACTTAACTTTCACTTAAAATTAAGGCTGACCCTAGAATACAGATATCTGGGATTTTCCTGCTCAAGAGCACTGTAAACTACCTCGTGTCCCCCTCCAGGATGCCCTGCCTAACCCAGCTCCCCTCAGCCGAGCTCCCAGCTCCCCATCACCTGGTATCGACCATGACAGCTCTGGGTGGACACCTTCTCATGTGTCAGCCCCCCCACAAAGAAACAGGAAAGGAGACCACCACACCAGGCCCGGACTGCAGCTACAGCAGAGTAGCTTCTCTGTATGGACTATGGATAGCTTGAGTCAGCTTCCAAACCAAAGGCCAGAGGACTCTTTCTCTGGTGTGTGGCCAGCACCAGTGACACAGCCAGAAATGGTATGTGGCCTTTCTGCAGGATTCTGGGGAGAAAACACTGTGATAATGACAAGGCTGATTTTTTTAATGTATTTGGATCTGATTCGGAATGAATTTGTAATTCCCGTAATGATGCTTTCCCGAAGGAGAGAGGGAAATGTTCCGTTGAAGAGGGTTTGGCAAAAGCCAGTGTGTGACATTGGTAGGGTGTTTGGGGGTCGAGGGACAACTGGAGTGTCCATCCTGAAATTGTAGGTGCTGGGTGCCACTCATACAGTGTTCAGAGTGGGGGGGCATCTTAAGTAACTGTGAAGGATTTCTCTTTGTACAATACTTCTTTACTTCGGAGTTGAGAGGGTAATGGCGGATGTAAGATGAGAGAGACAGCCACCTGTTTTCTGGATGCCTTGGCAGTGGGACATGGCTACGACCCTCCCAGGTGCACACCTCTCAGGAAACTGAACAGCAACCTAAGTGCTTTGGCCAGGTGACCTGTGTGCAGAGCTTGGACCGCACTGACTCCCCCAGTGGCCTGACAGTACCAGAGGCCCATGGTCAGCATTCCCAGGCAGAGCACACAGCGGCGGCTCCTTCCTGCCTGGCTTCATATCCCAGATGGTGGCATTGTTTCCAAGGAATGAAAGTCAAATACACTTTCAGAATCAGAGAGGAGATCAAGGGTTTGAAATAGCCAAGACCAGTGCAATGCCAACTCTCACATTTACCCTCCCGGGCTGTCCACTCCGTGAGTGTCGTTGGCATCTCTACTTTCCACTGTGCTATGACACAATTGGGACCACCTTCCTGGGTCCGGGGACCTCTGAGAAGTTGCGGTTAAGTGGGGGCTTGGGAAGAACAATATGAATGTGAAGTTAAATTCTGAGGCAACCCGGTTCCTAAAAAGTCCAAATCTTAGATTTTCCAGCTGCCTTGCTTTGAGTTTCTAGAACTGAGCTTCTAGAGATTGGGAAGACAGAGGGCCACTAATGGACCCCATCATTTTACCGAGTACTTAAAATGCAATCTTTTTTAAATTTTCTTTTTCAGTTGCTCTTTAGAAGTTATCCCAATATATAATTTTTGACAGAGGATAAACTTAAATACGTAGGACACCTCACTGTAAAATTATGGAGACGGGTTTTGCATGTGGCTCCTGGAACCCATCTTACTGCCTTACGGTCAAGCCACAGGCACATTACTGCAAGAGGCTTAATGTGCACTTGAAGTATGCGGGTCTGTTGGTGTGAAGAACAAAGTGGAATCCAAGCTGTGTCTGGGAAGCGACACAGTCTACTTAGAGACCGGATATTATCCTTGTCATCCATCAGATGTCTGTGGTGAGCCTGCAGGGGATGGAAAGCACCAACAGAATGGCAAGCAAATTGGGAAAGCCAAGGGAACTCCCAGAGTGGTGAGGGTGGTGGCCTTGAGCATCCACTAAGTAGACCTTTGGTCCAGCAGGAAGTGTACCAGTTCAGATTGCTGCAGCCACAAAACTCACTAACCAAAGGCTTAAGTGATACCCTGTCTTCATCCTACTCTGATGAGAAGTTGAGAAACATCATTTAAACAGACTCATGTGGTGGACTGAGCACCGCTTCCAGGATAGCCACAGACACAGCCCCCATCTTGGGACATTTCAGAAGACAGAAGGAGGACCCGCACAGGAGAGGAAAGGGCCACAGGATGGAACCGGGTGCTGGTCATGGACTCGTGTCCCTTGGAGGACGCCTTGGTGTGGCTGGTCCCATCCTCCAAGCATCACTCCTCAATATCTTACCAATGTCAAAGATGTCAGCCCATTCCTAAAATGTAAGATTGATCAAAGGCTTAAGATACAGCTCATATTCAAATGACCAGATCAAAAATGTTAAGGAAGCATGCAAATAGATGAGATCTACAGAAGAACTTAAAAGATGGAATTTATCTAGCACAAATACAACATCCTGAACTCAACTGTAAGCTGGAGAAGAGCCTAGATGATTTAGGACATGTGAAGAAGACCCAGGGAACCTGATGGCAGATGTGAGAGGTCTGCAAAATAGAATGCAATGTTTAAAACACAAGTTTGGGCTACATCAATAGAATTTAACATTCAGACTACAGCTGGTCAAACCAAATTCCGCATACTGGGTTCAGCCCCGGACCCCTTGAAGACTAACTCTTGAGAACACTAGGTGACTCCCAAAGAGAATGCCTAGACTAGACAAAAACGCTCATCGCAGTGAGGGATGTACTGAGGCATGTGGTCAGCAGGTGGGGTTTGCAGCCCATTCTCCAATCTGCCATTTAACCGTGTGACTTTAAACAGCTACTGAACCTCTCTGAATCTCTGTTTTCTCATCTATACAATATAAACTTTCTCTAAATGAGGTAATTATGTAAATCACAATGCCTGTCCCTAAGTAAGCACTCAACAAATTTGCTAAATTATTGTGATTAGTATCATTGTGCTAAAAAAAAGACCTCCTGCTGAGCTGAGGCTAGCATGTGGGAGCGGTAGGCCAGGTGTCCAGGGATAAGGTGAAAAGCCACCAGAGAGTGACACGCCCCCAGCTCCAGAGAGTTGGGTTGCAATGCAGAATTTCTGGATACTAAACTTGAGAAGCACTCCTCTGAAAGTGCTACACTTCTACTCAAAGTGTGCAGTCAGCTCAAGGTGTCCCGGAACGAACACCGGCGCTGAATGGGAACAGAGTGAGCTGGGTAATTCCCACGCCTCTGCAAGCTCTAAGATGCTGCAGCTCTTTCTCTTACACCTTCTGCAACTTCAGTATTAAATAACATAAATACGTATTGGGCATTCCCAATACCCAAGATAATAAAAAATATTCTCCAAGGAAGCCTTTTGCTCTCTGGAGGAATTAGCTCACCTAAGCCCAAACCCGTCCACAGCCACGTCCCAGGGCTAGGAACAGAAAATGGAGGGAGCGGGAGTCCCCTCCCAACCTCCCACACACTCAGAGCCCCTCTTCCACAGAGAGGCTGACTCCACCCCTGCCCCTCACCTCCTGGCATGAGCTCCACCCCTGCCCTGCACCTCTTGGTGAGAGGCGAGGAATGATGCTCAGCCGGTTCCAGTCTTCTGGGGCGCTGCTGGTCCCCGCACCAAGGGCTCCCCACAGCAGGGTGAGAACACATCTGAACAGTTCTTCTCCAGCCTGGGTGTGCGTCATGTAGGCCTAAAGAACGAACGGGTCTCGTGTGTCCAGCTGTCCTCTTAGACCATTTACTGTCTCCATTTCAGTCCACAGAGTTCCTCGTTGAGTCTCATGATGCTCCTTTCTCCCCACTGATTATAAAAGTAATACAAGCTCATTGGACAAAGTTTGGAAGACACAGAGGTCACTTTTTTTTTTTTTTTTTTTTTGAGATGGAGTCTCGCTCTGTCGCCCAGGCTGGAGTGCAGTGGCGCGATCTGGGCTCACTGCAAGCTCCACCTCCCGGGTTCAAGCAATTATCCTGCCTCAGCCTCCCAAGTAGCTGGACTTACAGGCATGCGCCACCACGCTCAGCTAATTTTTGTATTTTTAGTAGAGACAGGGTTTCGCCTTATTGGCCAGGATGGTCTCAATCTCTTGACCTTGTGATACACCCGCCTTGGCCTCCCAAGGTGCTAGGATTACAGGCGTGAGCCACCTCGCCCAGCCAGAAAGGTCACTTTCAATCACCCTTCACCTCATCATCTAGAACTAAATAATGACTACGTTATGGACTTGATATATATATAAAAGATTTATCTTACAACATGGGGTTTGCACAATTTCTTATGAGCAACATCCTTCTTTCCCGTATCAACACATTATGCAAATTTTCCAACTCATTAGATCATCTTCAAAATTATGGCTGTGGCATTCCACCCACGAACAGGGCTTTCCTTACTGGACAGTTTCCTATTTTAGCTGTTTGTGTTGTCTCCGTCTTTTGGTATTATATAGAGCATTGCAGTTAAAAAAAATTCTACTATGTAGCTTTTTATTATTTCTTTAGGATAAATTCCTAGGACAGGTTTATTGCTGGGTCAAATGGTTTAAACATTAAGAATCTTGATAAAAAGTCATAAAATTACTCCCAGAAAATTATACCAATTTACTCATAGCTGTATAGGCGAATGTTTGTATTACTCAACCTTTGTCAAACCTGACTGACTGTTATCTCACTGTTCTATCTCTGCCAATTTGAGCATTGAAAATTTTTTTTTTAATTTTACTGTGAATTATTTAATCACTAGTGGGGTTCAACATTTCACTTATTTTTGTTGGCCATTGGTCTTACTTTTGGTAATTGTCTGTTGACACTGTTTGCTAATTTTTCTCCCTGGATATTCAACATTGTTTTATTGATCCTTAAGAGCACTTTTATATTTAAGGTTTTTAACTCTTGGTCTGCCATACTGGAATATTTTTCCAGTACATTCTGTTTGCATTTTAACTTGAAATCTTATTTTTAATGTGCAAACATTTAATTTTAATACAGTCAAACCTAATAATGTGTGCATTTGTAGGTTTTCTTTGTTATGTTTTGAAAGGTCTTTCCCATTCTAAGATCAGATAAAAATTGCTCTGGTTTTTTCTCTCCAATTTTTTTATGGTTTTTTAAACATGGTGGTGTCTGATGGGAAGTAGACTATAACTCTTCTTTTCCAAATAGTAACCTAGTGTCCAGCACCCTTCACTCAATAGCCCATGTGAAATGTATGTTCTATCATATACTAAAGTAGTATAAAACATTTTAACATTATAAATTAATCAACATGAAATCAATTTTTTATAAAATATTTTGTTTTTCCATTTTTTGTTACGTTGATCTACCTTTCTCACACTGTTCGATTTAATATTTATTTATACTACCTGTGGTTTGGTAGAGCAAATACAACAACCAAATTTTATTTTACAAAAATTTTCATCTATTTTCACTCATTTGTTGTTTCTCCAATTTAGAATCACCTGGTCAAGTTCCAAAATTGCCCTGAAATGATTTTGGTTGGAATTACATTATGTTTTAAATTAATTATAGGAAAAGTATTACCTTGATAATATTGAGACTTCAAATCTGAGAGTATGGCAAATCTTTTCATTTAATTAAATTTTAAAACACTGTTTTGTTATACAAGTTCTTCACATTTCTAAAATTGATTCCAAGATATTTTATGTACTATAATAATTGCAGTCTTTTCTCCCCTATGTTTTCAAATCTTTTATTGCCAACGTATAGAACATCAATTGGCTAATATTTTTGTGCTATGACTAGCCAATTTAGTACAAACTCTTTCAATGGTAGCACTAGTGTTTTCAGTTTATTCTCTTGAATTTTTTAGGTAGAAAAGAAAAAGGTCTACAAATTACAATAATTTTTATCTGCCTTTTGGCAATGTATCTATTACTGCTTATGTTTTTCTTATCTTATTGCATCATTTAAAACTTATAGATCAGGGTTAAGATGGGGAAATGGGCTCTCCTGCCTTATTCTTCAGTTTAATAGGCTTCTTTTGATTGTTTTATCCTAATGTCTGATGTTAGGTTTTAGTTTAAAAGACAGAATATTTACCAAGTTAAAAAGTAATCATTTTATTCCTAATCCACTAAAAAGATTTTATCAGCATCTCCTAGAAGATCATCAAGATGAATATTTTTTCCTGTCCTTGAACCTATTGATGTGACAAATTATATTAACAGTATCCTATATTAAGCCAGTATCTCATTTCTGACATAAATCTTTATTAAAATTAAGATGTAATATTCTTTCAATATTCTGCATGATTTGATTAGGTAGCATTTTATTTACAATATAATGCATTGATAGGTATAAATGAGGATGGTTTATAATTTTTTTATACTATTTCAGCCAGGATTTACATAAGAATTTTGCTATCTTTGAAAAATGAATTCAGGACGCTTTTCATTTCACTGTTGGATATTTATACAGCACAAAAAAACTTGCCACTAAAATTGTCTGTGTCATGGAAGTACGCATTCTTGTTTTTGAGATAATTCTTTGACAACATTTAAAATGTATTCCAATGTCATCAATCTATCCATGTTTTAAACATCTTATTAGCCCAGTTTTGACCATCTTTATTTTCCCAAAAAATAATCAAATTTATCAAAACCTAAAAATTTACAAGCAGGATTTTATAATCATGTTTATTCTCATGTTTACTCTCTAAAACTTCATATTATGTTCATATCTCCTTTTCCATTTCTAATTTTATGCATTTGTATTTTCTCTTTATTATTTGACTTTTGGATGTCTTTTTTCCCCAAATAACCAATTGATAGATTTATAACCCATATGAATATTCTTCTGTTTTCTAACATAATAATTTTCACATATATCATTTTATTTTCTCTGCTTTTCTTCTTTTGTCTTTCTGCTTATTTTTTGTCTTTTTTTCCACTTCTTGAATACCTAGCATATCTATCTATGTTTTTTCCTATATGGTAATAAATGAATAATACAGCAATAATATGAATGAATAATATGGTAATGAATGAATAATAAATGTTAACTCCATATATTTTCACGAATACTGTTTTGACCACTCCTGTAATAGCTCATAAGCAGGATTCTATCGATACTAACTAAACAGCAAGTGCCATTTTGATTCTTGCTTTAATGCCACTTATTTTGTTGAATGATTCTTAATTTCCAAAAAGTTTAGGATTGGGGCTAAAACTTTTGGTCAAGGCTGACATAGCATATGAGCAGATCCGGATCTCAATAGTTGGAGGTAGATGGGAAGGCAGAGGGAATGTGAACAGAGACACGGACACGCACAGCCAAAGTGGCAAGTCACCAGAGTCCTGTGGTCCCAGCTCAGGAGGATGACACAGTCAGGACCACACAGCCAATGAACCTTTCAGGGTCTGGGCCTCCAGGCCAGTCCTAGGACACTGACTAGCACCAGAGAGGGGTGCACTCCTGTGCTCTCTCTCTCTCTCTCTCCCTCCTTTCTCTTTCTGTTTCTCTTCCTCTTTCTCCCTCTCCATCCCCATCTCTATCTCTCTCTATTTCTACATCAACTTCTTCTGAAAAAAATAAAAACTTTCTTTCAAAAAGGCACTATTTAAAATCTTAGTAATGCTCTCAAACCATGAAGTCTCCAATAGAAATCTCATCACCATCGCCATAAACAAATGTACTTGAGTGTGTCAGAGCCGTTTTCTCTGCCCACATGCTGGCAGAAAGCACAGCCTCCATGGTTGAGAGCTGAAACTCACGAACAGCTCTTGCCATCAGAAAACGGGGGCTTCTAAGCAAGTATCTGTCTCCCTGGTCTGCCACTGCCGCTGCCTGCTTGCCACCATTCACTGCTGACAAGCAGGTGCTGTGCACGAAAGTCACCCTAGGAACTAAAACCTGTTGTAAAACAAAGTGCATCTCCATGTGCCTTTTTGGACTAATTTCAAGCCCCATAGACTTGTCCCTACCAAATCCAAAGGAGCTTTTAATTTTGGATATGGGTTTGTGTCGTTCTTTCTACCTTTCACCATCTCCAACATGATCAACAATAGCCACGTACGTCCACGATCTAAGAAGAGAGAGAAGTGGAATAAGAGCCATCACTCACAGCCAGGCATAGTAGCATGCACCTATGGTCCCAGGTACTAGAGAGGCTGAGGCAGGAGGATTACTTGAGCCCAGGAGTTCAAGGCTGCAGTGAGCTATGATCACACCACTGCACTCCAGCCAAGGCAACAGAGCAAGACCCTGTCTCAAAAAAAAAGAAAGAAAGAACGAAAGACAGAAAGAGAGAGAGAGAGAAAGAAAGAAGAAAGAAAGAAAGGAAGAAGAAAGAAAGAAAGAAAGAAAGAAAGAAAGAAAGAAAGAGAAAGAAAGAAAGAAAGAAAGAAAAAGAAAGAAAGAAAGAAAGGGGAGCATCACCCATGCATGAAGCCAATGCCTCCCTCATGGCTGAGCAGAAAGAAGCTCCTCTGAGGCCTGACTCCCACCAGCATTGCAGCTGGGACCCCAAGGTTAGCGCCAGCATCATATCTGGGACCCAAGGTTAGCGCCAGCATCATATCTGGGACCCCAAGGTTAGCGCCAGCATCGTAGCTGGGACCCCAAGGTTGGTGCCTGCAGTTTTCACATGGCATTATGCACTCCTCATCATGCTATCCACCAAGGCCCTACCCGAGTCAGTGTAATCATTTCTTAAAAACAATGCAAATGGAAGACAAAGTTATTTTGACCAGCTCAGAAGCTGAAAGGCCTTGGCTGCCTCATGGCAGACAACAGAAGAAAAGACTGCAAACAGATAGGAAAGAAAACATGATTACATCACAGAGGTGACATTAAATCAATAGAAGCAGCACGAGATCGATGTGCCTTTGCTCGTGGTAAGAGCAGTGGGCTCGTGCATATTTTCAGATTGTGCCAAGATCGTTTCCTACTGGAGTTGTACAAAGGAAGACTTTGGGGGATGACATGGGCGGGGCTGCTGTTTTCTTAAACGTCTCATTTGATTCTTCAAGTATGGCTCTATTTTTCTTCCTTAATTCCTCAATACAGTCAATCAGTTCCAGCCCTGTGCACAAATGAGACGCCAGTACCAATACTAGCACAGGCAGCCGGGTAATTGCCAAAGAGAAGTTACTCGGAGTTAACCAGTGGAAATTGAGGCGCTGTGATTTGCCACTGCAATGACCAGACTGAAGGAAATCAGGTCATGCAAACAATTCACTTTCAAGGCTCTGCCTTTGCATCACTTAGTCTTGGACCGCGGGCCAGGGCCACAGAACAGCCCTCAAAGCGGGAGAACAACAAACCCCATGAATCCATGTTTTAGCTGAGGCAGTATCAGCAAAGAGGAAATTTCACATTGAGAAAGTGTCCCTGGGTTCTAGCACTGATTCTGCTGCTAACGATGAACTTAAGCTCTTTAAGCTCTCTGGGCCTCAGTTCTTTTTATCTCTACAATAAGGCTGTAGGAGCAGATGATCTTAACATCTTTTATTATTATTATTATTATTATTATTATTATACTTTAAGTTCTAGGATACATGTGCACAATGTGCAGGTTTGTTACATATGTATACAAGTGCCATGTTGCTGTGCTGCACCCATTAACTCGTCATTTAGCATTAGGTATATCTCCTAATGCTATCCCTCCCCCCTCCCCCCACCCCACAACAGGATCTTTTTTAACCTCCAAAATTTTTATTCTACAAAAACTGGACTAAAATTCCCCTGGATCATGTTTGCACGGTGGTAACCAAGCAAAGAGGCTAAAAAATATTGGGACATTTTTCGGCCACTCTGGACACATCATAACTAAATAATATTAAACATCCCTAAATGGAATGTTTCATCAGTAAAGAAAATACACATATAGCTCAAGCTATATCCTGCCATCGATCTGAGCACGGAACAGAGGCAGGATATGGCCATGGGTTTGCATTTGTTATTAATAGGAAGGCTGAATTTTTCAGGACAAAAATAACATTATCTTCTGAACTAAGAAAATGTGAAGCTGTAAATAAAAATATTAGGTTGGTGCAAAAGTAATCGCAGTTTTTGCTGTTACTTTTAATGGCAAAAACCGCACTTACTTTTGCACTAAGCTAATAGGTGTGCTTGCCAGCTGAGAGGACAGTATACCTGTTATTGCTCTTCAGAATCTCATCCTTGGGACTCAGTGACTGTTCTGGGCAAAAATGTTCTTGGATTCCAGTCCAGGGAATTATAATTTAGCAACATGAACCCTGGGCCAATTATCTAGAAATGGTGAAGACAGATTAACAGGGACCGGCGGCTCTGAGGGCTGGAAGGAATGCGTAACCTGGTGCCGCACCTGTGTCTTCCCTGGTAGCAAAAGAGAGGTCCCAAGGAGGCCTCAAGAACAAGGCAGTCAGGCCTCTCCTGCCTGAGAAATCTACCACATTTGGAGAAGAAGGAGAAAGAGGATTCCAAATCTCATCAATACTGCAGCTGCCATAGTCCAAGCAAAAGGATGCGATGGTTTGAGAAGAATGATAGGCCTGTGTTCTGCATCATAACAGGCAGAATTTCTGTTATCCATGCCCGTTTCTGGACCTGCCTCCTCCCTTGTGAAACAGGAGTGACCCCCTTCCCGCCGCTGAGCTCAGAGAGCCCAGATGGGGGCCTGGGAGGCTCATTCACCGGAGACCTGTTGGCCTCAGACAGTTTTTCCATCCATTCTGAAAAGCTTCCGGTCCTTTTTCTTATTTTTCGGAAAGTTTCTTTAAACAGTTTCAATATGGTTCTTCTTTTTAGGGTGTTTTGTCCTGTACTGTGTTCCCCCAAAATGTATATCTTGAACTCCTTATCCCAAAGACTTCGGAATGTGACCACATTTGAGAAAGGGCCCTTGAAGAGGGAATCAAGTTAAAATGAGACAGTTGGCTGGACCTTAATTCAATCCGACTAGCGTCCTCATAAGAAGACACAGACACACACACAGAGACGGCCATGTGAGGACACAGGGAGAAGATGGCCATCTGCAAGCCAAGGAGAGAGGCCTCAGGAGCAGCCAACCCTGCTCACATCTTGATCTTGGACTTCCAGCCTCCAGGGTTGTAAGACAATACATTTCTGTTGCTGAAGCCTCCTGTCTGCAGTGCTTTCTTATGGCAGCTCTAGCAAACTAACACAGGGCAAGTGAACACAGTAAACAAAAATTCCTGCAAGGCAAATGGTTGTTAAGAGAAATAGTCCGTTGGGTGAAGTGGTGGCAGGCAAGAGCTCAGATTTAGTACAGGAGTTTGGGGGCCCTATCCTGCCCCGCCCCACCGGCAGACAGCCTCAACTGCCCACAGCAAAGGGGAAGAGACCAGGGGAGGCAGGTCCTGGCTATGCTTGGGTCTGGGGAGCTCGTCCTCAGGTGCTGTGTGGTGTTTCAGGAGCTCCCAGGAGGGGACAGCAGGCCGGCTACGAACAGTGGCTAAAGGTGGGGCATTTGTGCCTGGCTTGGAGGATCAGATGGAGGAGGAGAGGAGACAGCATTCCAGGCCTGAGACAGGATGAGCTCAACCCGGGTGGCAAAGAGGAAGCACGTGTGGGGTGTTTGAGGCAGAGGGAGTGCCCAGAACAGCCACCGGGAGCAGTGGGTGGAGTTAGAAAGGGTAAGCCGAGATACCACGTGGAACTCAGGGCTGGGGCTCCTACGGAGGGCTCTGAACGCCTTGCTCAGGAGTCAACTTTGGACAAAATGAAGCTGTCCACATCTGAAAAACACTACTCTCCCCTTCACCACCACCCCCTAAGAGAAGACAAGCTGAATCAATGCACATTTTTTATTAATTTTAAAAATATGTTTTATTGATCTTCAAAACTCTTTTAAGGAAAGGGGAGTCATTGGAGATGTTCCAGTTTGGGAAGGTTGGTGCCCACGCATGGCGACCCTGGCCCATGAGAAGGATCAGTTTGGGAAGGTTGGTGCCCACGTATGGTGACCCTGGCCCATGAGGAGGATCTCCAACGGGGTGGACGAGGAGACTGTGAAAGCCCCTCCCCAGAGAAGTGCGGCAGGTCCAGGCCCCGAGAAGACCCAGGTATGGCCGCCGGATGCCTCCGTTCCCCGTTCCCTCCATCCCTGCCACGAGCCTGTGAGCTCACCCAATCCCGATAAGATCACAGCCCTCAGGGTGCACGGTTGCAGGTCCATTCCCTGCAAAATCAGAGTTAATTAATACAAGGCCATGGACAGAGCCCGACAGTGGGGGCCTATTCTCCCCCAGCTGTGCATGAACAACTCCATGTAATATTTATAAACCAAGTTATGCCTGTGCACTGAAGAGAGGCTGGGCCCTGAGGACTATTTTGCTGGCTGTATTTCATGAGTTCAGGAGCTCCATAGGGAGGTGACAGGCAGACCAGGACCCTCGAGGCACACTCCACACAGCAAACTCTGGGCTCCTGAGACCTTTAGAGGAAACTTCTATCCCACTCCACCCTAGGGCTGATGCCTGTCTTTGAGAAAGGCCTAATATCAAACTGAATTTACTCTACAGATCCAAACGGACAGCCAAGGTATGGCTGGCCAAGATGCCAAAGAATCCAAGGAGTCGTGTAGAAGAAGGGAGACCAAGTCATACGCTCTGTTCCTGGATTTCTGCCAAGGCCCCAAACCTCCCGCTTGAGCAGCTCGGATCCTAAATGCAGCTGAAGCTGCTTCCTGTGGCTCCCTTGAAGCCAGAAACCACTGGCAGGGCCTACACCACCACCCACCCCCATCCCCAGGCCTGGGGTCACTGTCCCACCATTAACAAGAGCTAGAAATGTGCTTTGTTGTGTTGCTAAATAAGTCTTGTTCTGTGACTAAGACTTTGGGGGTTGTTTGTTACACAGCAGAAGCTCGTCTGTCCTGTTCGATACAAGACCTATGTCTCCGCTTTAGAAACTATCTGTTGACTGCAGGTTAGGAAGGTGAAGCTTTCCTCACTTACACACTTCTCACTACCCCTTGAACAATAGGTGCCAGCTGTGTTTTTTTTTTTCTATTACTTACCTTTGCAAATTTAGATGATATTTTCCATTTCTTCCACCGACATTAAAGGTATCTCTTGGCTTTCCACCATGTGCATCAGGGTGGCAGTAAAGCAGTCTTCCTCTGCCCTCCTGGCTCTCCTTCTGCCACCCTACTTCCATCAGTTATCACTTTACCTTTTCATTGTGGGGAATCGTATCAACAGCATTCTATCTTGAAGCCACAACCAAGTCTTCCGGGCTTTATTCCCAGGTTGATTCTAAAAGAAAAATAATTTTTTAAAAAGAATGAATGCATTTATGTGATTATGACTGTATAAAACTGTTCCTTCCAGGGCCAAGTAGTACAGTAAAATTTTTTTCTCTATAGATCCAATGTTAAGATCTTCTGCCACTCAAGGGAGAAGGGTCCCAGCATCAGAGTTGAATGGATTCCCTCTTCTTGTGCTCCACCAGTTTCTCGGTATCATCTTCCTACCTGGAACATGGCTTTTTTGTACTGTTTTGGGGCTTTTCCTAGACATTATTATTAGTCCTGCCTAGCTGGTATGCCCTCCCTCTTCCTTCTGGCTAAACAGAACTTGACTTGTTCAGGTGACAATATGCCAGCCTCAGGAGTCACAAATAGTCCAGTCAGTGGGTCTCAAATCTACCGATTAGCATCACCCAGGAAACTTTATATGACCACACATGCCCAAGTGCCACTCCATGCCAGCTGGACAAGATGTCCTGGAGTGGGGCCTCATCACCCATTTATTTTAAGTTGAAGCCAATCATAACCATTCTGCTTCATTTTGCCAGATACGCACCTTCTCATCCCATCTGGCAGCTGGAGGTGCACATAGGACCCTCCTGTGGCCAAACAGACCTAAGAAAAGGTCTGCCGGAAAGTTCTGGAAGTTTTTCCTTTGTGACAAGAGGAAAGACCTTCTCCACCCACCCTCATTGCTCCTTTCTTGCCTTTGAATGCAGTATGGGTACACTGTGCCTGAAAATATGAGAGCCACCTGCTCATCATGAGGTGACAAGCTGGAGAACAAAAGGTCCTCGTGCTGAGCATGGCCAAACAGTGCAGTGGAAATAGCCAGGTCCTTGATGATGTCTTTGAGCTTCTGAGCCAACTCAGAGATGACCCGTCTCTGGAGTTCTGTTAAGTGAATAATAAATGCGCTCATGGATTAAGCCACTCTCAGGCAGATGATGTGTTACTTGCAGCCAAAAGCTCCCCAATTGACAGACCTTACTATGTTAGAGAAGAAGCATTTCTTCTTCCACATGCCACTACTATCTCCCAGCTCCTTTTTCAATCTATGACATAATCCAGTTTTGTTTTATGGGGTCCTCTTAATGCCCACTGACTTCGTGTGCTAACTGGGCTCTGTTGCTCTCTGAGGCTACAGTATAACATCATTCTTGAAGGCATTTTCCCTGAACTCCCAGGGTAGTGCCTCTGTTTCTTGTTTGCCTTACCTTATCTTTATTGACTTTCTGAAATATATCCTCAGGTAGCATTTTCAGCAAAGGCCTATCAGAAACAAAATGCGTTCACCTTGCCCTTGTGCTGAATCATACTTGACCTTGATGCGGCTGCTTATGAAAACACTGGCTGAATTTCATCCCTTTGTGGATGGCCCAATTCCCCCTCCTTGCAAGGTCCTCTATGCTTTTCTTTATCTTTAGTTTTCTAAAATTTCATCAAGATATGCAGGTCTTTTTTCACTTATCATGCTGGTCACTCAGTGAGTTCCTGTTATTTTGAAAATTTGTGTCTCTGTTCAGGTCTTGAAAGTTTCATATATTACTTCTTTGATAATTTTCTTGTCCATTTTTTCTCTGTTCTTTCAAGAAATATTGCAGTCTGATATTTTTCTTTCCTGAATTGATCTTTTATGTTTTTTGTCATTTTTCTCATAGTTCCTATTTTACTCTGTGTTCTGGAAATTTCCTCAACTTACCTCCCAACTCCTCTTTGATTTGTTTTACAATCCTTTTGTTTTTATTTCTGAATATTCTTTCTCAGGGTTTCATAATATCTGTTCTTTCTTTCAAATGCAGTACGTGCTTGAAGAATACTTCAAAATATTTCATTTTGAAATTAATTTACAATCCCAGAATTGTTTCTTTTCTGTCTGGGGTAGTTATCCTTATTTATTCTGATCTTCCTCTTTTGTGCTGCTAGTAGGTCTTCTTTATGTATTGAAGATTCTATGATTCTATGTCATTAATACTTAAGACAGAGAATTAGGTGGACTTCTAGGAAGGCAAATGGGGGTTTTACCTGGACACAGACCTGTTTTCCTGCCATTTGTCTCCTGAATGGGCTGATTGGTTAACCAGGTACTTTGTGTGCAAGTGTGGCGCTTAACGACTGGCCCACAAGGAGCTCACCCCTGAAACCGGGGTCCCAAAAATGCCAGGCTGGGAAAGGCATCCTGAAATTCCACAGGAAGTCTGTCCATGTCTATGGTAAAAATCCTGTTCCTGCAAACCTGCCACCTGCATTTCACTTGGGGCTGGCAGTGGGCCGGGGATGGGAGGCAGACCCACAGGCCAGGGGAAGAGCCAGGAGCATCCCCAAGACAGACTGGCGACCCCTCCGTTTCCACTCGCTGCTCCCACAACACCTGTGGCCACACCTGCAGCTCAGATCTGCCCCACCTGGGAAGCAGCCACACCCAGTCTCCCGTTCCGTCCAAGGCTGTGCTTCCCCCACTCTGCCGCCTGGACCGGCTTCCATCCACGTCAGGTCCTGCAGAAATCTGTTGAACCATCTCGCCGCCTGCCACCCGCTGTGACCTGCGCTGTTATGGGTGTGTTTCTGCATTCCCCTTCGCTGGGCTCTCAGCAGGATCTGATGCTGCAGGGGACGAGCAAACGGGTTGGCAACTTCTAAACATCAACTTCTCTCATTAAAAGAATCACATTCAGCTTAATTACTACAATAAGTCACGCTGGGCAGCTCTGATTCCATGAGGCTGTGCTGGACAGCACCAGGCTGCTCGCCCTCCACCAGGTCTTCTGGGCCCTCTCTGCTCTTTTGCCTGAAGCAAGCCACACACGAAAACAAGAGGAAACTAACACCCAGGGGTTCCCCTCTCCCTAAAGAGGAGGGTAGCTGTGGATCAGTGCCCCTGCCTCCCTTCCTTCTGGAGGCAGTTCTGGGAATCATTCCTGGCTTCTCCAAGCAAAGCCCAGACTGCCTTCGGCAGGAGCCCTAGTGACCTCCCAGCTCTTCCTCCCAAGTCTCATGCTCCTCCGCCCTCGCTCCTGATTTCTGGGGTCACCTCCCTCATAAATATGTTCCCCAAACCCTCATTTTGGGCTCTGCTCTCAGTGGGGCTGGACCTAAGGCAGGCGTAGCATCCTCCCCAGGGGACATGAGAGTTTCTGTTTATTGAAACATGCTGACATTCTTAGAATGGTGATGGCTGGAGGCAGACCGCCCAGGGAGCTGGACAGATGAACAGGTCCAACCAGGGGCTGTCGGGATATTTGCTCACAGGGCCATGACAGATCCCAGAGGGAGAATAGGGAAGGGAACAATGATGAGGAGGGCTTCATGGGGAGGACTCTAAAGCAGAAGTCAGCCAAGGCCTGGGTGGCATCCAGCTCAGAACCCTTGCTAAGATCTAGCCACAGTCAGCGGCTTCCAAGCATCTGCAACAAGGTCCAAGGGAGCACCAGCTGCACCTCCTCTGGGCCATGGGCAACCAGGGAGCCATGCTACAGACAGGGCCACCCGAGGGAAGCTCCCGCCCACTCCAGCAGAAGGAGATCTGGCAAGGCCCGTTAGCTGGTTAGTCTGTCCAGGAGAAAGTACGGTGGAGCCAGTTTTTCTTTTGGAGAGAAGAAAGCCTAATGGTGCATCCTGAAACCTCGGGACATGTTCTCATGCTCTCACCCTCTGTGCAATAGTGTATTGAGCAGGAACCACTCAGGGTCGTGTAGCAGGGGCTGTGTATGGTCCTCAATATCGACCTCCCTTTCCTTTTAATAATAGGATTTCCCTCATGACCTCCAGTCTTAGCTGAGGACATGGCTGCCTAACCAGAGATTGCATTCCCAGCCTCCTGGATAGCTAGGTTTGGCCATGCAACTTTCACCAATGGGCTATGAGAGGAAGAAAAATGGCAACCTCTGTATCACTAACTTAATAGGCCATTGTTGGTTTTTGGGGTTTCTTCATGTGTCCCCTTCTTCCCTTGCCCCCTTTCCTATGGCCAGGAAATTGTTAGGAATAAGCGCGCTGGACCCGGGACAGAAGCCCCATTTGGGAGATCCTGGAGCCCTGCCTGTCTTGAAGGAGCAGAGCCTCTGTAGCATGATGTGGAAGAGAGATGACTCCTGTTTTTACTTAAGCAGCCACATGTGAAGGTTTCTGTGACAGCATCTTAGCCTTTATCCTAATAAAAAGCTAGCATAATGGGGGATCATTCAGGAAGGCCTTCCTGAAGAGCTGGTGCTGAAGCTGGAACTGAACAGAAGAGAAAGGAGAGAGAATGGCAGCACGGTGAGGGCAGGGCTGCACCCAGAGAATGATGCTTACCAAGGACAAGCTGTTGCCTCGGGGTCGGGAACGAAGAAGGAAGAAGACGCAGTGAAGGGATTTGGAGCTACACAACCAAGAGATCTTCCTTCCTTAGAGCGGACCCCACAGGAGACAGCTTTTGAAGAAAGCAGACACAACTCTAAATGTGTCAACTCGTAGGTTCATATTCTTGCCTGCTGGTGTGAAATGTGCCCTTCTGCCACACACACAAAAAACCACAGCCACAAGTGTGAGGGGGGCATGGGCCTGGACTAGAAGGTCCACACCGACTCTGCGAGGAGACAGAGTGGCCACTGTGCATGCAGCAGACCGGAGAAATGTCAGGGAATTCACAGCACAGAATTGCTCTTAGAAAGGAGCTGTACTTGCTTCCCCAAAAATCCTTGGTGAGTGCCTGGCGTCGAGGATGCAGTCAGGGCCGCACTGTGGAGACCACGATGGAAGGGGAGCACAGGTGAAGCTAATGAGCCCCAGAAGCCTCCTCCGCTGTGTCTTAATGAAGTCTGCAAGCTCCTGGGGTAACCTGTGTGTGTGGTTTTCCCAGGGGCCTGTGAACAGGGCTGGATTCTGTCTTAGGATGACAGTCAGCTCTGGACACCCAAGGGTGCAGAGTGCAGAGGAGGCCGCCACTGAGATGTGTGGGCGGAAGGTGCAGGTCAGGCCGGACGGGGCCACCAGCTGCCCTCACAGGGCAGTGCTGCCGGGAGTTTGTGCCGGGCAGGTCCCCTCCAAGCTGAAGGAGTCCAGGGACCATGGCAGTTCTGGATAAGGATAAAAAGGTAAGGATGGGCCAGGTGCGGT
Source organism: Homo sapiens (assembly GCF_000001405.40). Lineage (NCBI taxonomy): Eukaryota > Metazoa > Chordata > Mammalia > Primates > Hominidae > Homo > Homo sapiens. The sequence goes on along the minus strand of NC_000007.14, from coordinate 155,863,669 downwards.
GGCTCACAGCTGTAATAGCAGCACTTTGGGAGTCCGAGGTGGGCAGATCATGAGGTCAAGAGATTGAGACCATCCTGGCCAACATGGTGAAACCCCAACTCTACTAAAAATACAAAAATTAGCCAGGCGTGGTGGCACGTGCCTGTAATCCCAGCTATTTGGGAGGCTGAGGCAGGAGAATCACTTGATCCTGGGAGGCGGAGGTTGCAGGGAGCCAAGATCATGCCACTGCACTCCAGCCTGGGTGACAGAGCGAGACTCTGTCAAAAAAAAAAAAAAAAAAAAGCCAAGGATGGACCTTGATCTATTTTGAGTTGTTTACTCTGAAAAGCTTTGGGAAATTGCATCCTCTCCTCACAAAGCCCCAGGGTACAAAATTCAAGGCAGTGATGAAGGTATTGGAAGGAGCAACAACCCCAGAAAAGGAAAGTGACTCTGAGCATGAGGGAGGCAGCACCCAGAAGGTGGGCCTGGCCCCCTTGCCTAGAGGCCGGCAAGCTCCCCGAGGGACAGGCCTCTGTGGGAGGAACAGGCAAGGGGCGGCGGGGAGGTCCAAGGTTCCAAGGGGGTTGGAGGACAATCTACCAGCAGCCCCCACACACCGGGAGCACCTCTTGTCTGCTGGGCAGCCCTGACCACGGGTGTTCCTGCCTGGTGTCATGCACATGTCGGAGTGACCCTGCAAGGTCCTTGCTGGGAATCCCATTTTACAGATGTGGAAATGGATGTATCTGAGCTGGAATTCAAGCAGGTTGGTCTGGAGCCATAGCTCATTTCCCTGTGGGTTTTCTTGTGTCATTCTGAGTGCAAGGACTCGTGCAGCGCCATCAGAGGAGACAAGGCCATAACATGAAGAGCCTCTGTTAGCTGAATTGGGAAAAACCATGTCCCCACGGCTTACCAGGACTGGCCTCCCAGGTGCAGCCACCAGAGGCGCCAGCGAGCTGCACCAGGCAGCTTGTTCAGAAAGGATCACCTGTGAGCGCTGAGGATGGCACCGTCCAGACAACAGATAAGGCAAAGCCCTCCAAAGTCAGGGTCAGCCCTGGGGAGCAGAGACAACAATCCCCGTCTGCCAGGAAGACGTGCAGGTCTCCGATGGCCTCTGGAAGGGCAGGCAGCACCCTTTGCATTTTATCATCATGCTAAACCTAAGAGTTATTTTCAAGTTGAAGTTTGCATTTAACTTTTTTTTAATTGCAAACAGAAGTTTATGGTCCAACAATATGTAACCCTGTAAATCATCATTAAAATGCCTCCTGTTGTGAAATAATGACAAGAATAATAATCGATGGGCATATATTAAGAGTGAGAGGTTTATGCAGGGCTGAGACAATAGCACAACAAAGCAAATGTTTGCATTCTTTAAGAATAGCATTCTCATTTATAAAGTATGAGTAATAAAATCAATACTGCTGAAATTGAGCCACAGCAGGGTGGAGCATGTTTTCTTAATCCTATGACAGGTGACTGGATAAGAATGTTCTATATTCTTTTCGCTAAGTAAAAATATGACCCAAAGCTTTCAACATTCTACATATGGACATGGTGAATTTTTTTTCCCAAAGAGATTCTAAATGAAGATGAGATATACAATTGCAAATATGTGAGAATAAGGCACCCTTATTAATTAGCCCCCTATCTTAACTATTCAACACTCAGTAAATATGTGCTGATATCTGCAAACTCCTGGGGTTAATTGATCATTGTCTTTGAGAACACCTGATCTTCAATGTGTAGACTGAGGTGGGTGATGATGCCCATCTTGGGTGGAGTAAGAAAGAGATGTGGGGAAGTGTCCCTTGCCTGGAATGGGAAGGACAGTGCCTCCAATAAAAAGAAAGATGACTGTGACGACGTCATCGCCGTGGTGACAGTGACAGAGAAGAATGGAGAGTGAATTCTGACACTGGGCAGCTCCGGGAATGTGTGTGGCTGACCCTTCTTCACTGCATGCCTGTGTCAGCAGTAGGGACCTGTGCGACAGAGCAGAGTGACATGCTTAACAACTCACTATTTATAGGGCATGCAGAGGGAGCCAGCCTGCAGGAGAAATGCACTTACAAAATTGGAACTATTACTCAGAATGTGAATTCCACTGTAATTCCTGTCAGCAGCCACGCGCGACTGTCATTACGACCTTGCAAAGCTGCCTGGCTCCTGTGCAATGCCACCATTTCGGTGTGCATCTCTACCTCACCCCTCCTGGACAGAGGACCCAGACTTCTGCAGTCTCCTGAGGACCAGAGCTCTGCCATGCCACCCTGGTGCTGGCCCTGGGGCCTTTCCTGTTCCCGTCCCTGCCCTGCCTCCCTCCCCATTTCGTGCCAGGGCATATCTGCTCAGTGGGCATGACCGTGATTTTCACTTATCTACAGAGACAAGCCTGGTAGTGATCTCCCTGAGAGCCCTTTTCATGACTGGACAGGGGCCAGCTCTTTGCTGCTTCTGCAGTGTTTGCAGAGCTGCACCAGGTGCCCTCGTCTCTGACATCGTCTCCTCACCCAGGACTGGAGGAGGCACCTCAAGAGGCACCCAGTGTACTGGAATTACCCCCAGGGAGGCACTCACAAGGGGCCAATCCCTCACTGCCCCCTCGCTGGGCACTGAGAAATACTCTCAATGATGAAACCGTGCCTTGGCAAGCCCGCAGCGGGCTGCCTGCCAAATGCTCTCCCAGCAGAAGGGGCCGTTTTGCAAGAAAGAGGAAAAATGATTGCAAATATGAGCAGACGTCAGCTTTCTCTTTGGAGGCTAAAGGTTGGTAGCAGGATGAGGTCATTCAGAATACACTCTCTCCTTCATCCCCATTCCTTTGGACCAAAGGAGACCTAACTCCTAGGTACAGCTGTGTTCAGATCTCCCATGCAGAAGTCACTGCCCAGGCCACTTGGGGTCTCAGATGACCAGGAGCTCAGCGCTGATGGTTTTAGACCTCACAGGCAGTAGGCTGCCTAAAAATAGAAGCCTTCAAAGCATCAGTGCTCCTGGAGCCAGACACTTTCCCAATACACAGAGAAGACACCTGAAAGCCTGATGACATTCTTCATCATGGGCTCGGCACTATTCATCCTACACTGCTTTGTTGTTGATACCCGGTTACCATTTGATGACCCAGGGACTGGTCCCTGTGATTCTGCCCCAGTTAACCCCCAAGGAAACGGAGGCAGGTACAGAAGAAGAGACCCACTCTTGGGATCAGCAACAAAGACATCATCCCTGGGGAGAGCCGAGGGTAGCCAAGTTTCAGGGAGATAGGGACAAGGAGAAGCAGACGATTCTGCTATTGGGCGCTTAGGAAGAGAAGCTGGGATACAGATGCAGATACAGTGAAAGATACAGATATAGAGATAGATGCAAATACAGATGCAGATACAGATACAGATAGATATAGATACAGAGATAGATGCAAATACAGATGATGCACATGCAGATACAGAGACCTGCAGATACAGAGATAGATGCAAATACAGATGTAGATGCAGATACAGATACAGATGCAGACATAGATACAGAGATAGATACAGATACAGATTCAGATGCAGATACAGAGATAGATACAGATACAGAAATAGATGCAAATACAGATGCAGATACAGATACAGATACAGATGCAAACATAGATACAGAGTTAGATACAGATACAGATTCAGATGCAGATACAGACATAGATGCAGATACAGAGATAGATACAGATACAGAGATAGATGCAAATACAGATGCAGGCACAGATACAGATGCAAACATAGATACAGAGATGGATACAGATGCAGATACAGATACAGAGATAGATGCAGATACAGAGATAGATACAGATACAGAGATAGATGCAAATACAGATGCAGGCACAGATACAGATGCAAACATAGATACAGAGATAGATGCAAATACAGATGCAGGCACAGATACAGATGCAAACATAGATACAGAGATAGATACAGATACAGATGCAGATACAGATACAGAGATAGATGCAAATACAGATGCAGATACAGAGACAGATACAGATGCAGACATAGATACAGATACAAAGATGGATACAGATATAGATGCAGATGCAGATACAGAGATAGATGCAAATACAGATGCAGATACAGATACAGATGCAGACAGAGATACAGAGATAGATACAGATACAGATGCAGATACAGATACAGAGATAGATACATATGCAGATGCAGATACAATTACAGAGACAGAGATATATATAGATGCAGATGCAGATACAGATAGATACAGTAGAGATGCAGCTACAGATCGATGCAGGTACAGTTACAGACATAGATACAGACACAGAGATTACAAATACAGATGAAGATACAGATGCAGAGATAGACCTCTTCAGAGAAGTATGGAAGGACTGTAGCTTTACAGTCACATGGACTGAGTTCACATCCCCACTCCTCCTCATCCTAGCTGTGTGGCTTTGGGTAAAGTTACTTAGTCTCTCTGAGCCTCATTTTCCTCAACTATGAAATAAAGATAACAATAACCCCTTCAGGGTTTCCTTAAGAATTGAATAATTATAGCAGCTATTGAAGACTTAAAATGTGAGGCTCTTAGCTAAGGGGTTTTCCTGGATTAATTCATTTAATCCTCACAAGAATCCTCTGTTACTGGTATGGGAAAAATTTGGGCAGCGTGGCTAAGTGATTGCCCCAAGGCAAAGTCCAGCACTGTCCACTAACTCACACAGTCACTCCACTGACCGGGAAAAAGGAATAAGACAATGACTCATGCTAAGTGCTTGGCTTGGTGGCTGGCTGGCAGTGATTCTCAACACATGGTAACTACTCATTATTACTAGTTCCATTGCCCCACGCTTATGCCCCTGCCACTCAAACACACACTCACATATGCACACACTCACACAGGCACACTCATATGCACACACACATTTGCACAAGTCAAACATGCACACTCACATATTCACATGCATACACACATGCACACAAATGCACACATGCTCACACATATATACACACACACTCACACACATGCACACACATTAACATGGACATGCACATTCATATACACATGCACACTTACACATTCACATTCACACATGCACACAAGCTCACACATGTACACACACATTCACACATGAACATATGCACACACAATCTCACACTAACACAGCTATACCACACGAATTCCCACACATATTAGCACACACATACATTTATACACTCACAGTCACATGCACATACACTCACACATATACATGCTTACATTCACATGTGCACACACTCATGGCATACGCCCACATATTTACACTCACACAGTGTACACTCAGATGCACAAGTACACACACATGCTCTTACATACTCAGACATACAATCATGTTCACACGTGCACGTTCACATGGTCACACTCATAACACTCACATGTGCATGCATTCATACACACGCATGCACTCACATGAACATATGCCCATACGCTCGTACATGCACACCCTCACATACACATGGTCAGATACATTCACATATACACTCATACATGCACATAACACATACTCGAACACATTCACACAAGTGTACACTCACACATCCATATGCAGACTCACACGCACACACACTCATACACACTGGCGATTACACAGTGTTTGTCGGGACATCTCACTCCCTTTCCTTCTCCCCTAGACTGCCCTCCATGTTCACTTCTCCCCTGACTTCCCGTGAACGAACGCCTGCAAAGGAAGGAGCATAGTCACTTTTTCCTTCATGTAGGCTGAAGCTCGTCATGATCATTCTGACCCCAATCCAGCTTTGGGCTCAAACCACAGTAACAGCAGCAGCAAAGGTCGAAGATGTACAGACAAGTGATAGAAAAATAAAGTTCTCATCTGTGACCTTCCTTGGGGCTTAGCGTGCACACAAACCACCTGGGGTGTTGTTTAACTGCAGATTCTGATGCAGGAGGTCTGGGTGAGACAAAGATTCCACATTTCCGAGAAGTTCCCAGTGATGCTGCTACTTCTCAGACCACACTTTGAGGAGCAGGTTATAGGATATTTCGGGGTTTGATCCAGATCCAAAGAGTGGAAATTTTTAGAGCACTTTGGGGTGTTGGAGCACTATGTACAGCTTTCAAGACTAAAGTGCTTTCAATGCTCAAATGATTACTTGCCAAAATCCTAAGCAACAACAATCACAAACATTATAGCAAGAAGGGACCTTGAAGGTCTTCAAATCTTTTACCCTCACTTAACAGATGGGGGGACTGAGGCCAAGAAAGGCTGCAGGACTTCCTCAAGGTCACACAGACACTCAGCAGCCAAGTCAGTCTCTAGTGCTTATTCCACTGTTGCCCACTGAGGCAGAAGCACCCTCACCCTGCTGTGGATTATCCAGGCATATGTACTGTGGCATTCCTGGGGATAAAGCCTTGTGAGCGATGGAAGTTCACACCGTTTCTTCTAGCCAATATCCCCTGTTCTTACTTTTCATCAAGATTACCCCCCCGTGTTGTGTGACTCTTGACCAGAAGATGACCCACCACTGAGCAATATGTGCACTCCTTTTATAAGTGGAACTTTCCAGACCAAACTAGAAAATGCTGCCAAGAATCAATAACATAAGGAGCCTCAGACATTTCTGTGCCTCCCAGTGTTTTGTACAGTATCTGGACCACGCATGTTGAACTCCTTGTCAAGATTGCAAGATAAGTAAGAAAGACCTCTAAGAGCTTTGGTCAGGTAGGGGCACAGCCAGAGGCATGTTTAGAGAGCCCTGCAACATACAGGAGGGACTTTGGCCCAGCAGGAAGGCAAGGGGCAGTTTGCAGAGGGAGCCAGGAGGTGGAGATGGCCTTGGAGGATGACCAGAAGCCCTCCAGACATAACAGCAGGAACACCAAGAACAAAGACCAGAAAGCATGATGTCACATGGTGAAGGCAGTCATGCAGCACCCTGCAGCTGGCTTAGAATGGGAAGGAACGACTGGCCAGGGAGACCATGGAAAGGTAGGCTTGGGCCAGCTTGCCAGAGATCTTGACGCCATACAAGACTCTAGGTTTGTTCTGTTGGGGGCTCCCACAATTCCCAGTTCTCCCAGGTTATTACTCAGCAAAGTCATGGACTTCTGTGAGAAGATCCAAGTCTAAAGCTAGCAAAAAGTGGCTATTCCTCCTTGGCAGTTTTTTAACTCCCTCTCCAAGAAAAGTAGATGATCTTTACCTTGGAACTGAATGCTCCTAGGAAATATGTTCCTTTTCCTTTTGTTTTCCCAATTCACTCTGTACTAGGGAAGCCCATAATTAGAAGCATGGCACAAGTCTTAGCCTAGGCATAAGCCATGCTGGATTTCAGTCCTGGCTGTGCTGAGCCATGCTAATGGGACAGGGACACAGCCAATGATGTAGCTGGCTACCTTCAGGTATCAGGTACCCTGAGTAGCTTTTATGAGTGCCCCTTACTCTAGTGATACACAAATGCCTCGCACAGATCATACAGAAAATCGAGTAAAAAAGTGTGAAAGGATGGTGAGGATTCAGCTTCAACTGGAAAAGGATACCCAAACTATGTTCTTCCCTAAGAAGATTCAATGGTGTCATTTATATGAGTAACATGGTTAATACATAAATTTAAATAAGCCCTATATTTGAATTTGCACAAAGTATAAATCTGGGGATGATTTTCTTTTTTCAGACTTATTGAGGTATAATTGACTAATAAAAATTGTATGTATTTAAGGCATATAACACAATGTTTGATATACATATACATTATAAAATGACACCACAATTAACATATCATCACTTCATATAGTTACTATTGTATGTGTGTGTGTGATAACACACATATATATGAAACCCACAGCTAATATCATACTCAACAGTGAAAAGTTGAAAGCTTTTTCTATAAAGGAACAAGATAAGGAGGCCTACACTTACCACTTCCATTTAACATAGCACTGGAAGTCCTCGCCAGAGCAATTAGGTAATAAAAAGAAATAATCTAAATCAGAAAGGAAGAAGTTAAATTGTCTCTGTTTGCAGATGACATAATCTCGTATAATGAAAACCCTAAAGACTCTGCCAAAAACAAAACCTGTTACAACTAGAAAACTAATTCAGTAAAGTTGCAGAATACAAAATTAGCAAACAAAAATTAGTAGGTTGGATGAAATCTTCTGAACATGTGTGTTAGGTCCATTTGGTCTATGATGTTGTTCAAATCGACTGTTTCCTGATTTATTTTCTGTCTGGATGATTTATCCATTGTTGAAAGTGTATTAAAGTCCCACTACTGTAATTATATTGCTATTTATTTCTCCTTCCAGTTCTGTTGACATTTACTTTATATATTTAGGTGCTCCAAAATTTGGTGCATAAATAGTTACTGTTGTTATAGCTTCTTGATGAAGTGACTTTTTTATCATTATATAATGACCTTCTTTGTCTCTCCCTTGGTTGCCATTTGCATGCGATTTTTTTTCACCCCTTTACTTCCAGCCAATGCATATTCTTAAAGCTAACATGAGTTTCTTGTAGGCAACATATAGTTAGATCTTATATTTTTATTTATTCAGCCACTGAATGTCTTTTGATGAGAAAATTTAATCCATTTACATTTAAAGTAATTATTAATAGGTAAGAACTCACTATTGCCACTTTGTTAATTGTTTTCTGACTGTTCGGTACTTCCTTTTTCCTTTGTTCTTCTCTTGCTTCTTCCTTTGTGACTTAATAAATTTTTGTAGTGGTTTGCTGTTACTTTTCTCTGTCTGTTGAGTATCTACTATAGGTTTTTGCTTTGTGTTTACTGTGAGTCTTACAGAAAACCTAATTGTGCAAATCTATATGGAACTGATAACAGCTTATCTTCAATCACATACAGAAACTACACTTTCACTTCCCTCCTTACCTTACATGTTTGTGAGTTCACAATTTACATAGTGCAAAATTTTTAGACAGTGTATCCATTAAGGAAATACTGTATAGTTATCTTTAATTTTATTAATTATTTAATTATTAATTATTTAATATTTAAGTAAGCTATAGTTAGCTTTAATATTTTTGCCTTTAACCTTTATATTAGAGTTAAAGGAGATTTACAGACCCATCATTACAGTATTAGAGTATTTGAATTTGACTATATATTGACCTTTACTGCTGAATTTTATATTTTCATATGGTTTATATTAGTAATTAGTATTTTTGTTTCCAATGAAGAACTCCCTTTAGTGTTTCTTGTAAGGTAGGTGCTATGGTTTGGTTTGTCTCACTCACCCACCCACAATTGTCATGTTGAAATTTGACTTCCAGTGTTGGAGGAGGGGCCTAATGGGAGGTGTTTGGATCATGGAGGTGGATTTCTTACAAATGGCTTGGTGTTGCCCTCATGGTAATGAATAAGGTCTTGCTTTATGCGTTCCCATGAAAACTGGTTGTTTAAGGAGAGTCTGGACCTCCCTCCCCTCTCTCTCACCATGTGGTTGCTGCACATGCCAGCTCCTCTTTGCTTTCCACCATGAGTGGAAGCAGCTTGAGGCCCTCACCAGAGCAGATGTTGGTGCCAAGCTTCTTATACAGCCGGCAGAACAGTGAGCCAGAGAAACCTGTTTTTTAAGGAAATGAATTATCCTGCATCAGTTGTTCCTTTATAGCAACACAAACAGACTAACACATGCCACTTTTCTATTGCGGCTTACAAAATTCTCTCTTTGTCTTTGACTTGATAAGTTGATTATAATGTGTCTTGGTGAAAATTTCTTTGGGTTTAACCTGCTTGGGGACTTTTAAGCTTCATGGGTCTAGATGTCCATATCTCTCCCAAGATTTGGGAAGTTTGCAGCAATTATTTTTTAAAATAAGCTTTCTGTTTCTTTCTCTCCGTCTTCTTTTTCTGAGAGTCCAATAATGCACATATTGGGTCCTTTAATGGTGTCCCATAAGTCCCATAGGCTTTCTTTATTCTTTCTTTTTTTTTTTTTTTTTTTGACAGAGTCTCGCTCTGTTGCCCAAACTAGAGCACAGTGGCACAATCGAGGCTCACTGCAACCTCCTCCTTCCTGGTTCAAGCAATTCTCCCACCTCAGCCTCCGGAGTAGCTGAGACTACAGGCATGCACCATCATACCCAGCTAATTTTTGTATTTTTTGGTAGAGATGGATTTTCACCATGTTAGCCAGGCTGATCTAGAGTATTCCCCCCACCTAAGCCTCCCAAAGTGCTGGGATTACAGGCGTGTGCCACTGTACCCGGCCAGCTTTCTTTACTCTTTTTTATTCATTTTCTCTTTCACCTCTAACTGGGCAATTTCCAAAGACACTTCTTCATGTTCACAGATTCTTTCTTCCACTCTGTTGGGAAGGTTGAAACTCCGCATCGCATTTTTCATTTTATTTATTATATTTTTCAGCCCCAGAAGTTGTTTGGTTCTTTTTTATGATTTTTATCTCTTTGTTGAATTTCTTGTTTTATTCATATGTTGTTTTCCTGATTTCATTGAGTTGTTTATCTATGTTCTCCTGTATCTTACTAAGTTTCCTTAAAATAATAATTTTGAATTTCTTTCCAGATAATTCCTAGATCTCCATTTCTTTGTAATCAGTTACTGGAGAATTATTTGTTCTTTTGGTGATGTCATGTTTCCTTAATTTTCCATGTTTTTTGCAGCCTTGTGTTGATGTCTGAGCACTTGAAGAAGCAGTCACCTCTTCCAGACTTCACAGAATAGCTTTGATGAGGAAAGACTTTCACCAGCAGGTGAGCATAAGGTGCCCAGTCGGGTGGGGTGTGGCAGCTCTGGCTTCAAGGAATGCAGTGTGCAGTCTCTATTTACCTCCATCAGCCTCTAGGCTGGAGGAGGCAAAGACCGTGGGGATCCTTGGTGACCAAGGCTGCAAGTGTTTGAAGTGGTGGTGGTGGCAGCAAGGGCTATTGGGATCTTTGGTGACAAAAGCTGCTAGTGTCCTCTTGGGGCACAATATCTTAGGTCTGGGGAGATGGGGTGTAGCAGTGGCTCAGGCCCCAGGGGGTAGGGTAAGCAGCAGCTGGGGATGAAGGTGCATCTCAGTCACTGGCATCTCGGTGTCATGTCAGTGGACCCAGCCCCAGGAAGAGGGGTACCACAGTGACTTGTGTCTTAAGGATGTCAACGCACAGTGGCAACTGAGGCCCCTGGGGTGGTGTAGCACTGTTATGGCTCAGGCTCTAGGAGGGCCTTTCCCCTGCAGGAGATTCCTCTTGGTTCTGGGCCTGGCACAGTCTGCGGGCAGTCATAGCAGTGCTAGATTTGAGGATACAGATGCTCAGAACAGCTACAGAGCCAAGTACGGGACTCAGGGGATTACAGAACTGCTGTGCATCCATGGGTCCTATGGCTTTGGTGCACCTGCTAAGGCACGGCCATGTGCAGACTGCTCACAGAGCTGGGGTCAATGATTCTAGGAGGCACCTCAGTAGCTTGGGCCTGGGGAGATGAGGCATGGCAGTGGCTCAGGCCCCAGGGAGTAGGGTAAGCAGCAGCTCAGCCCTGGGGATGAAGGTGTCAGTGGATGTCAGTGGCATGTCAGTGGCTGCAACCCCGAGAGGAGGGGTGCCACAGCAACTTGGATCCTAAGGCTGTCAGGGCACCGTGGCAATGGAAGCCGCTGGGGTGGTGCAGTGCTGTTGTGGCACAGGCCTAGGAGGGAGAGGGCTGCTGCCACTCATGTCCAGGCATGTCAGAACACCATGGCGGTAAGGCTCCAGGGACAGCAGGGTGCAGCCATGACTAGGGCCCCAGGGGCAGGGTACAGTGCTGGTGACTTCAGTTCCTGGGACGGCTGGGCCTGCAGCAGCCTAGAGCTCAGAGCTCTTTACGTGATTTCAGAGGGTCCTAGTGCCTCTGGTGTGGTTCCTCAAGAACACAGATATCAGCTCCATTTCCAGGATCCGTCTGAAAAGATGATAATGTTTCAGTCTGTGTTCTGCCCTCCTGTTCTTTGCTGAGCTGTGCTGCATAGCAGGAATAATGATTTTTAGTAGGAAAAGTTTGCCCCTTCATTGAAGATTCACACTTTGTGATTTTCTGCCTCAAACTGTTAATACATTTTCCCGGCTGCAGCAGCTTAGCATTTCATCTCGTCATTTTATGATGATGTTGTCCATACCCACATCAGACCTGGAGCCCCAGAAGGACGCTCCCGGTTCTACAAGCCGAGAAGACCCTTTCCAGGTAGCCCCGTGACCTGTTCATGCCAAGTAGGATGCGTCTCCCTGCCACCCTTTGGCGTGGAAGTCGGGGCAGACGTGTTCCCCACGTTTACAATGGGGGAGGGTAGGCATTGTGGGGTGCTTGGTTCCCTGTGATGCTTTTCCTTTACAGAGAACCTTGTAGAAGTGATTGGATTTCACGTGTAGACAGAGAGAAGTTTACAGAGAAGCAATGATGGAAGCAGGGTTCCAGTGAGGTTTCTAAAAACCTGGTGGCACTCTCCCAGACATCGGTCTGGCACTTCCTAGCACCACAGTGAGAGGCTGGACACGGTCCAGATGCCCAGGAAGGCTCTGCCTTGTGTGAGCGCCAGCCCTGCCCTGAATCCCAGAGCCTAATTCTGGACTGTCTTACTTCAGGGACCCTTTCTGAGGTGCCTGCACTCTGTATAGCTCACTCATATAGCCATACGAGTGACTTACCGTTTCTCACAGCAGCTATGCAGAGCCAGTCTCTGCAGTTTCTGCCTCCAGCCCGTCATTCTCCCCTCCTGTCTCCATGGGACTTTGCTCACAATTCCATGCTGTACAGAGCACGTGTTTCTGTTTCCTACCAGGCTGTAGGCTACTCGAGGCCAGGGACTTTGCTTTAAACACCTGCCTGTTATTCTAGTGCTTTGGAGCCTTGAGGAAGCAGATGTTAATCCAGGCGTGTTCTATTGGCTTCCTGAGAACATCGTAGAGGCTGGGGTGAGACCCTTAAAGTAACAAGTGATACAGGCACACTTACTCAACTGGGGCCTGTGGAAGACACATCAGAGGTATAGTAATACACTTTGGAAGCAAGTACTAAAGGGGAGCCCCACAGCTACAATGTGCCTCCCTTAGCAAGATATCAGCTTCCTGCAAAGTCATACACAAGGCACCTTGAAATCAACCAAGCATTAGTTTGAATACAAGTTGGGGCCCTTGTTATTAAAATCCACCCTGTGGACTGTCCCTTGGTAAAGTATAAAACCATTCCCAAGGTGACATCAGCAAGATGGTGGACTAGGAGATCTCAGTGCTTCCCCCCGCCCCACCCACAAAACAACAAAACAACACAAAGACACTACACACCATGGAAACCACGCTGGGATAGCTCCAAGACAGCAGAGAAGCCGCAGAAACCTTGTGGAGAGCAGAAAACAGAGATGCCACTCTGCTCTGCCACCCCATTCCCCCATGGGGAGCAGCTTGGAGCCGAGGAGGGATCCTCTCAGAGAGATTTCTCCCTGCAGGGAAAAGGTGAGCAGGATCCTGGTGGTCTCCATCACCCCTGCAGAACCCACAGCCTCCACCACAGGCACCTCTGTGTTAGTCAGTGAGGCTCTGCACAATGAAGAGAGATGCTCAGAGTCCACACTGCTGCGCTTCCCTGAAAGAAGGGGCCACTGTCATGCCCCCCGCCTGGGGCCTGAGTTGCTGCTGCACCTGCCCCACCCTTCCCCAGAGCCTGGGCTGCTGTGACACCCCCAGCCCTGAGCCCAAGTTACCTCTACCCCCAACTCTTGGGTCCAAGTTACCTCCACCTCCTACCAATGGGTCCAAGTTACCTCCACCTCCCACCCCTGGGCCCAAGTTACATCCACGTCCCACCCCTGAGCCTAAGTTACCTCCACCCCCCACCCCCAGTTCCAAGTTACCTCCACCCCGCCCCCTGGTCCTAGGTTTCCTTGCCCCCTGCCCCTGGGGCCAAGCTGCCACAGGGTTATGTGCACCCCAGGGCTAAGTCACTCTGTGCACCACCATCCCCAGGGCATCACTGCTACTGGATCCACCCCAGAGTGACCTCAGACGGGAGCTGTGGAGACACCAAGGTGCCCAACAGATTAGACAAAAGGCAGATGAGGAAACAGACAGCACCAACTCCCTCTTGAGGGATGATGGAAAGCAAGCACTGTTGCTACACCCAATCCCTGGAGCTGGGTGTGTGGACACGGTGCTCAGGTTGGCTTTCGGTAAGCGGCAGGTGGCTCCCTGTCACAGTGTGTGAGAGCCACCATCTCCTCCCTGCTTGTCTTTAAGTCTTGAGAGCAGTAACCCCACAGGTGTTCTTTATGGTCCACTGGCAGGCCCCAGGCGACAGCTGGAGTTAAGATTCTGGGGCCAGAGGAGTGGAGCCTGTTACAGACACAGACTTTTCTGAATGTGCAAAACCGCACGAGCAGAATCACTCCTGCGGAGGAAGCCACCCGGAAAATCCCATCTCAGAGTAGGAGGGAGGCCAGTGGGACAGCCCCACACTTCCAAGAGTGTCTTTAGGAGGATAACTGCCTTTTTTTTTATCGGATTGACGAGGCACAGTGGGCATTAAGAGTGAACTACGCACCTGTTAAAGGAAGCATATGCCCTCCCAGCCCCTGGGAACAGCTGTGGGACTTGCAACATATCTCCTCCCCTTTAGCTACATCCGTGTCACACCCTGTCCCTTCACCCCTACAACCATAAATCCTTCTGACAGACAGCAGAGAGCCCTGGACTCGGAGTGACGGTGGGAGAGCCAGGACCCCAGGACCGTGGTGGACACGCGAGACCTGTCACATGGGCAGAGGAAGAGAAGACGGGGAGGGGACACTGAGGGATGTGGCAGGAATTCCTGGGGCAACCCTGGTCTTCTGAGCCAAGTAGAAGAGGGGTGGGTCAATGAAAGTGGAGACCCAGGCTGGGTGCAGTGGCTCATGCCTGTAATCCCAGCACCTTGGGAGGCCAAGGCAGGCAGATAACCTGAGGTCAGGAGTTTGAGACCAGCCTGCCCAACATGGCAAAACCCCATCTCTTCTAAAAACACAAAAATAAGCCGGGCATGGCGGCGGGTGCCTGTAATCCCAGCTATTCGGGAGGCTGAGACAGGAGAATCACTTGAACCCAGGAGGCGGAGGTTGCAGTAAGCCGAGATCACACCACTGAACTCCAGCCTGGGCAACAGAGCAAGACTCTCAAAAAGAGAAGGGAAGGGAAGGGAAGGGGAGGGGAGGGGAGGGGAGGGGAGGGGAGGGGAGGGGAGGCAAGGGGAGGGGAGGGGAGGGGAGGCGAGGGGAGGGGAGGGACACACTAAGAGCCCCAGGCCTGGGGGCACCAGAGAATAGGAGACAGGAGGCTGGAGAGCGGGCAGGGAAGGAGGGAGGTGCAGGTCCCCTGCTCTCCCAACATTGAGGGAGGGACTTGTGCCTGTGCAGGCAGCAGGAAAGCTCCAGGCACCTCCTGTTCTTCCCTGAGGCCTCAGGGCCTCCTGCCAGGGCCTTCTTCCCACAGGCCCTTGCAGAGACTCCCTGCAGGACTGCAGAAGCGTGTCCCACACACCTGCCTCCTACCTGAGAAACACCCTCTGTTCCTGAACGCAGAGCCTCACCAGCGGGCGATCTGTCCGCGCTTCCCTGAACACACTCCGTTTTTCCGTTTCCGTGGCTTTAAAGCCTTCCCAGTGCTCAGAGCAGCAGCATCCTCAGCAGCCAAGGCGGGGAAACAACCCAGGTGTCCATCCAGGGACCCATGGGCGAAGAATGCGGCCACACACAGAGGAATGTCATTCTGCCTTCAAAAGGAAGGAAATTCTGACATCCCGCCACAACACCCACAACACGGGTGAGTCTTGAGGACCTTATGCTCCGTGAAGGAAGCCACTCACCAAAGAACAAACGCTGCGTGATTACACTCAGATGAAATATCTAAAATCCAGAGACAGAGAAGGCGGGCTCGAGGTTCTCACGGCTGCGGGGAGGAAGGTGTGGGGAGGTCTTCCCTAATAGGTACAGAGCTGCTGTTTGCGGTGATGAAAAAGGTTTGGAAGTAAATAGTGGGTTTCACAACGTTGTGAATGCAATTAATGCCACGGAGTTGTACACTTAAAAATGGTCTTAAAGGGCAAATTTTGTTATCCATATTTTGCTAAATGTTTCGTAAGTTAATAAAACGATGTAACAAAAACCATTGAATTGTACACATTAAATGGGGGAATTGTATAGTATTGTGAATTATATCTCAATAAAGCTGTTTAAAGGTGAGCACCCTTTCCCAACCCACAAAGACCCACGTGGTCTGGACCCCCACCCTCGCCCTCGGCCCTGCAGTCACGGCTCTCCCCGGGACCTGGGCTCCGTCTCACAGTCTCCTCAGCGAATCTCTGATTGCTCTGCTACATTATAATCAACTCCTTGACATTCGAGACAGTGTTTCCTTCCCCTCTGAGCCCCCCACATCACCCCCCACAGTGTGTCCTTCTTCCCAAGTAAAGATGCGTCAGCCCCTGTGTCGGCAGATGGTGCCCTGAGAGCCAACAGCCAGCCTTGTGGTCTTGTGAAGAGGAACCGCCCGGTCTCCTACCTCACAACCTCTCCACCTCACAACATCTCCAACTCACAACGTCTCCACCTCACGACCTCTCCACCTCACGACCTCTCCACCTCACGACCTCTCCACCTCACGACATCTCCCATCTCACAACGTCTGCCACCTCACAACGTCTCCACCTCACGACCTCTCCACCTCACGACCTCTCCAACTCACAACCTCTCCACCTCACAACGTCTCCACCTCACAACATCTCCCACCTCACAACGTCTCCACCTCACAACATCTCCCACCTCACAACCTCTCCACCTCACAATGTATCCACCTCAAAACGTCTCCACCTCACAACCTCTCCACCTCACAACATCTCCACTTCACATCTCCACCTCACAAGGTCTCCACCTCACAACATCTCCCATCTGGAGACGTCTCCCACTTCACAGGGTCTCTCACCTCACAATGTCTCCACCTCACAACGTCTGCATTTCACAACGTCTCCACGACCAGACACTCTGATATTCTCCAACCCATCCACCTAGTCCACCCAGGTCCAAGACATCTTTCCATGCTTTACTGGTCTCTCTGCTTTCATCCAAGCTCCTGGAATCTGTTCTCAACACAGCTCCAAACTGATCCTGTTAAAGCATAAGTCAGATCATTCTTCTGCCAAAACCCTCCAAGGACCCCACTTCTCTCAGCGTCAGAGCAGAAGTCCCAGAGTGGACTCCAGGGTCCTACAGATTTGCCCCAGCACTTCTCCAACCTCTTCTCCCTCAGCACACCCCTACCAAGCCCACGCTGCCACAGGCCTTTGCATGAACCACCCCTCCTCCCAGAATGCTCCCCCAGAATTCTGCCAGGCTCACTACACACACCCCGGCTTCCCCTTCTGCTCAGTCGGCGTCTTCTCAAAGGTCCCATCCAGATGCCTCATGCAGCTTGCATCATCTCACTACCCCAAGCATACCCAGGTCTTTACCTGGCTCTATTTTTTCTAAAACTACATATTACCTTTGTTGATTAAAGAAAAAAACATAAGCTTTTAAAGATTTAAAGTTAGTTTTTTTTGTTTTGTTTTGTTTTGTTTTGTTTCTTACAGAGTCTCACTCTGTCGCCCAGGCTGGAGTGCAGAGGTGCAATCTCGGCTCACTGCAAGCTCCGCCTTCTGGGTTCACGCCATCCTCCTGCCTCAGCCTCTCGAGTAGCTGGGACTATAGGTGCACGCTGCCATGCCCGGCTAATTTTTTATATTTTTAGTAGAGATGGAGTTTCACCGCCCGCCTTGGCCTCCCAAAGTGCTGAGATTACAGGCAGGAGCCACTGCACCTGGCCAAAGATTTAAAGTTAGTTTTATTAGAAGTCTTATTGAGAACTACAGCCTGAGGCCTCCAGTCGGGGAGTCCGGGAGTGGTCTTTTAGATGGGTTTTAGGAGACTACTTGAATCCAGTGTTTTGGTTTATGGTTCACATGCAGGTGGTAAAGATTGAGTATAGGTAAAATTATGTTGAAGTTCAGGTGTGAGAGCATATCTGGTTGTAGTTATAGAAGGAAAGTTATTAATTTTGTTGGACATTTTATGTATTGAGGGACAGGGCTGCAGTCCCTGGACAAACAGAGGCTATCAGGGAAAAGAATAGAGAATGTCCAACGAGCCCCGCACTGCATGTGAGGGCGACTGTTCTGAAAAGCAGGAAAATCAGGGGTGCCGGGGAGCTGTGCCCCTAGGTGAGAGTCAGGAGCCTTCATCCCCAGGGGACCGGGCTGCCAGACCCGATAAGAGATGCTGCAGGACCCGTCGGGCGCCATCATCCTCCTGTGAAAGAGCTGGTCCTGCTGAGCAGGAAGTCCGGGTCTACCCCCGGGAGCTCACGGTGAGGCACCTGGGCAAGTGGGAGGACCCCTGAGCCCCAGATTCCCGCTCACAGAAGAAATCTACTAGTAACGACCAAATAGGGATGTGGTGAAGACAACTAACCCATGCAAAGCCACGTGGAATGGCCTTTCTCTTCCCAGACCTGTGAATTGTGGACAGCCTGCATTCACTTCCAGGTTTCTAGCGGGGAAAACCCAAAAACTGGAAAACCTGGACCCCTCTCTCTCTCTGTGACCACAGATAGAAATCGGGAGGTGAGGAAGGGAAGCAGGTGTCTGGACCCAGGACCCTCACCTGGCTTAAGTGCAGGTGTGCATCTGCCTTACACAGGAGGGGCTTCCTCTGAGACATGGGCTCCAGATGCTGCCTTGGGGACAGGCAGGGCCCCACCAGGAAGACAGGCCTCCAATTCCAGGGAGAGAGAGTTCTTGCCCGGAGAGCCCCAAAGGTAACCTGACCATTCTGTCCAGGGTTCAGGAGACTTGCATTACCCAAGGAGCTGTCCCAGGCCATGGGCGGAGAGGGGCAAGGAGGGGACGGGGAGTGATGTGCTCGGGCTGGGGCATGGGGAGGACGGGCCGCTAGGAAGAGCAGAATGGCGACCTCAGCGGGGAAACATCCCCAGTGCCTACGGAGAGATAGGAAAAGGCCCAAGCAGGTTCCATGCCCTCGTGGAGCTCGGGGGCGCTGAAGTCCCAGCTGCCCGGGATCTTCCATGGAAGCACGTCTGGAGGTTTGCCCGAACTCTTGGTGCATGTTCTGAGTCTCTGCCACTGTCAGGTCCCTGGGTCTTCGACACAGACCCATGTTAGGGCAGCTTTGGTTTAGTAACTTCCTCCAGAGATTCTCAGAGTCAGAAAGTGGAGAAACTGGAATTGGGCCCCGCTCATGTTCTTCCAAGCCATGCCGCCTCCCAACGCCCTTCCGGCTCCAGTTCAAGAGCGGGGGAGGGGGACCCGGAGGGAACACCCAGGAACGCTGTGGTTAATCATTGCTGGGCTCCTGGGGCCGTCCAGAGCTCTTAAGGAAGTGGCCTGAGGATGCCGCCAGCTCGAGGGAGGCCCCTAGCTGGACATCAGAGACATTTTTCATCCACAGGCAGGCGGCGGGGGTGCAGTCCTCATGCCGGCCAGGGATCAGGTCTCAGGGTAAGGAGGGCAAGGCCTGTGGGGTGAGGGGGCGATGGCCTGCCCAGGACCCCAGCTACACAGGGCCTGGCCTGCCAGAAGTCAGGGCCAGCCACTCTTCATGGAGTTCCCCACCCAGCACCCCAGAAGTCACCTGAGAGTCCCCATAAGGTGGCCAGCACCACTCAGCAGGGCTAAGCCCACCACATGAGTGCCGGGCTCACGTCCCCCAGGCTTTCTGAGTTGAGGAATAAGCACTGACCACACGCAGGGGCAGCCCGTCCCCCATGTCCTTCTGTGGACCTGACCCCTTGCCAGCTGGCCTGGGTGCAGTGTGGGTTGGCCGACACTGCTCGTCCACACTCTGACCCCAGGGGACGCTTGCCCCATTCTGGATGCTTTCTCTCATCCCTTCCCGGTCTCTTTTCTTGGGAAAATGTCCAGCAGGTGCTGATGGAGCACATCAGTTGAGTTCATCCTACTCATGTCCCCCCCAGGAACCCCACAGCCCTGGCCTAGGCCAGCAGGCCCCGCAGACACCAGGCCCCGCGGACACCAGGCCCTGCAGGTGCCAGCCTCTCCATGCCCCCACACCACAGGCCTCGGGTCCACAGACAGTTGCTGAGAAGTGAAACTTCCCTAACCTGAAAATCTGAAATCTGAGATACTCAAGAATCGGAAATTTTCCGAGCACCGTCACAAGGCCACGAGCAGAAAATTCCACGCACAGCTCGAAACTCAGGCGCACAACACACACTTGCTGCAGCGTCCCTGAGGGGAGACACGTTACCTGTTACCTTCAGGCTGCGTATAGACAGCGCATATGAAACATAAATGAATTTTGGGTTTCGACTTGGGTGCCATCCCCAAGATATCCCTTATGCAAATATGCCAAAATCCAAAACAGTCGGAAATCCAAATCACTGCAGCCCCAAGCATTTGGATAAGGGAGACTCAACCTGTGCTAAGCGGCTGAGTTCTAAGCATGAGGACCTTGCCAGGGGGCAGGCCTGGTCCCCGCCCTTGAGAACAGGGGTGTCTCATGGGCTTACCGTCCGTAAGTGTAAAACAGAGCCTATGCCAAAACAAAACAAAACAAAACAACTCACAGACGCGCCCCTGAACGCTGAGGACACCAAGGTCAGCCCCTACTCTGCCCTGACCTGCTATGTCTGCAGCTCCCAGACCTGAGACGTGGATGAAGGTAAGCTGGGCCCAGCCGCTTCTTGGGGTCTCCGTGAAGATTTCCTCTGGGGAATCTCGAACAGTTTCACTTGAAGGACATCTCATGTGTGTCACTGTTGTCTCCTGGATACATTTGTAGGCAATGGCTCCATGAGGGACAGAGGGTCCTGGCCTGGTGTCCTCGGTCCTCCCTGGTCAGTGAGTCTGGGATGTGTTTCTTTGGCCCGTTCTGCACGGAAAGGAGCCCTCACCTGAGGCCCTGAACTCCCTCTTCACTCCCTGCTTCTGGCATCTCCTTTGCCCTGGCCTGCCCCCATCTCAGTGCTGACCACCCTTCCATGAAGTTCCTGTCCTAGCCCCCGCAGGACGTCACTCCTCCTGCCCTGGGCCCCGAAAGCCCTCGCGCTTGTTGTTGATGTTACACAAATCAGCGTTTGGTGCACGCAGTCTTTACTCCTGAAGGAGGAGCTAAGCTCTGTGTGGGCCAAAACAAAGAAATGACTTTTTTTTTTTCTTTTTGAGACAGGGTCTCACTCTGTCACCCAGGCTGGAGTGCAGTGGTGCGATCTCAGCTCACTGCAACCTCCGCCTCCCGGGTTCAAGCAATTATCCAGCCTCAGCCTCCTGAGTAGCTGGGATTACAGGCACACGCCACCACACCCGGCTAATTTTTATATTTTTAATAGAGACGGATTTCACAATGTTGGTCAGGCTGGTCTCAAATTCCTGACCTCGTGATCTGCCCACCTCAGCCTCCCAAAGTGCTAGGATTATAGGGGTGAGCCACCGCTCCCGGCCCTACTATTTGTTTTTTATGTATCCTCCACCTCCATCACCACCATAATGTAGACACTTGGTAAACACCTGTGGTTGGGGAAGAAGGAAATAGCTCTAAGGGGAAAGGTGCTGGTTTCCTGCTACCCTGACATGTCATCGGGGAGAGGAAGGACGTCATTCCAAGATATCTGTAACACAGGAGGATGAGGGAGAAAGGAAATGTCTGCCCACCGCAGCTTCTCCCATCTTACTGCAGATGATTTAATATCAAACGAGGTGGAAACGATGCTGGCAACTTATTTCTGGCCCACATCCTCACACCCAGGACAGAGCATGGTACTGAGGACACAGGTAGGATCTGTGGGCTATGATAGGAATTCACTTTTCCACTTCCAAGGTGAAGTTCTTCCAAGAATAAAAATTAATGATTTTCCTCAAAAATTGAAGGGGCTGCTGGGCACAGTGGCTCACGCTTGTAATCCCAGCACTTTGGGGGGCCGAGGCAGGAGGATCACCTGAGGTCAGGAGTTTGAGACCAGCCTGGCCAAGATGGCAAAACCCTGTCTCTACTAAAAATACAAAATTTAGCCAGGCATGATGGCATGCACCTGTAGTCTCAGCTACTTGGGAGGCTGAGACAGAAGAATTGCTTGAATCCAGAAGGTGGAGGTTACGGTGAGCTGAGATCATGCCACTGCACTCCAGCCTGGGTGACAGAGGGAGACTGTCTCAAGAAAAAAAAAAAAAACAACTGAAGAGGCTGAGGAAAGTACAGGTGAAGACACACCAGAGGGTGAGCACCTGCCAAGCTAACGTCCCAGGGATATAACCTCCACCCTCCTGTTTCTCAGCCGCTACAGCCCTGGGGGCTGTCACTGAACCAAAGGGGTAGCAAAACATTGGCAGTCGGCCTTAAGAGACAAAACTGTAAAAACCAGGACAGTTTAACTGCCAGTTCATGCAAACCAAACAGAATGCTGTTTAGTGACAAATTGGTCACTACTGAAGATGGGCAACAGCACCCAGGGTGTACAGAAACACACGCACACCGTGGGTGAGGAATAAAAGTGTCAACACAGGCGTGGTCTATTGTCTGCACATATTGGTCAGCACGTGGACCTTCATCCTGAGACACATGTGCCCACGGGATTGCATCGTCTTCCCTTTGGGGCAGGCAAGGAAGGAAAGAACGGGACATCACTCACCTTTCAGGGAGGAATAGGGCTTAGTCCACAAAGCCAAGAACTGGTCTTCGATGAAACCAGGCCAAGCAGGCAGCACTCCAATGCCATGTAACCCAGAAGCCAGCTTGCCAGAGATGACATAAGAAAACCTAAAAGTGAGATAATTTTTCAAGGGTCACTTGTCAAAAAAGGCAGAAAAATCCAACGCAAGGGCAGTCCAGAAGGCGCCGAGGTACCTGGAGACGACTGAGCCAGCTAAGTGACCGTGTGAGTTACGTTCCATCTCTGAGGCTCCAGCCTTCGTATCGATGGGGACAGGTGCCCGCGTGGAACAAACACACTCAGTTCTGACAACAGCACAGACTTGGACTTTCTCTACACAGGTAGGGCCACTCCTTCTGAAGAGGTTTGTCCTTCCACACAGGCTCCCGTTCCAGTCATGCAGCCGTCAACACCTGGGTTCAGAATCTGAAGTACGCTTTTCAGATATCCTCAGAAGAGACCGAGAGTTGTCCTTTAAGGATGAATTTCATCTTCTGAAGCGACCAGAGATATCAGAAGCCAAATGCAGTGACTACAATGAGCTGTCCAGCACGGTCAAACTACAGAAGAGCTCGGCTTCCTGAGGTGAGGACTTTGAAGGAAAAAGCGCTCATGGGGATGTGTGTGGTCAAGTGTATTGGATAAAGAAAAATCGGTGTTCTTTCCTTGCTAGGTGTGTGTGTGTGTGTGTGTGTGTGTGCCTGCTCGCTGGCACATCTCACACTTTGTTTTGAAGCCTCGGAGAGCTAACAGACTCACTAGTAAATGCACTGGGGAGTCTACTATTACTAGCCCATCCCTTTTGAAAGCAAATATACCTTCAAATAGATACGTTTTGTTTTGATTATGTCTCAGATCTGTTTAAAATAGGACCTAGCTGAATCCGGCAGAAATGCACATGCATTCAAAATACACTTTGAGAGTCTGTGAACTCTAAGCAGAAAACTGCTCACAAATTCCAATAAACTCTTCCAGTTTTCTATGACAAGAAGGGAAACAGCTGCAGGAAGCTTCCAGGACAGGGAACCGGTGGTGGTTGCTAACTTCTGGAAGGAACATCTTCTCAAGACTCCTTGGTCGTTTCTACCATCCGACCTCTGATTCTCCTCACCAAAGCCTCTACACGGCAAAGGTCCTCTTAGCTGAGAGCAGAGCTTAGTATATGAGCATTAAAGCATGCTGGGAATTAGAAGTTTGGCCTGTCTCTGCACATAGCTGCAAATGAACTTTATCAGAGTTCAGGGGAAAACAGTCTTCAGGTAAACAGGAACATGTGCCAGTGGAAATCCCAGCCGTTTGTATACTGAGCAATGAGAGAAGATTTCTTCTTTGACAGCACGACGGATACCATCATAAAACAGTCCTGCGATCGCAGCAGAGAATCTGTCTGAAGAGCAAACCCAGTGCTGCACCTGCACATCGAGCAGGTTCTGCCCTCCTGTGATGTGTGGTACCCAAAAGTCAGCCTCCCTCACCAGGAACTGGGTAATAGTCCCCGGAGGTAATGGTTCCGAGATGGCCACAGCCCTCCAGATCACCAAAATTAATGACTTCGCTTAGCATATTTGCGTAGCTTCATCCAGATTACCATCATCAAGATACAGTAAGTAAAGAACTGCTGACTTCAGAGAAGCCTGATTCACACTCTTCGTTTCCCATATCTCTGCTGTAACTTTATAATAAGCCATCTGCACTATGACTTGGAGCTTGGCTTCCAGTATCCCACTGAAATGAGCTCATGTGTCTGACCCTAAATCCTTAACCACAGAAGAATAGGAGAGCTACTGGGCTTCGTGGTGACCCTGGAATTCAGTGCCGAGTCCTCCCACTTTCATGCCCTCCCCACAAAAGAGCTGTCATAGACAAGGCAGTTTTTAAGACTACCATGACAAATGCACTGATCTAATGCAGTTATAGGAGTTAAAATGGTTTTCTCATTGAAAGTTTCACTTTATAAGTTTGTATACAATCAGTCATAGCCACAAAGACGTGTGTCCACCAAAAATAAGTCACCTAACTTAGGTTAAGAACCTAACATAATTGTTTTTGGAAAGATTCTCACCTAGTACTTACCACACTTCATGTGTTCACTTATTTTTGTCATCTGATAACACTTGATAAGAGATGCCACAGTTTAAGAAAATTCCATGGGTCATAAGCTTAGCGTGGAGGGAATTACATCCATTAACTTATATTTCTAATTCAGTTCATTGAGCTTTAAACCTTTATTATCACAAATGATTCCGGAAAACAACCAAAGCCACTCTATTTTCTCTAGGAACCTCTCAGTTCAGTCACAGAGCTACAGTGCTTTCCAGAACCATCATTTTGAGACATCCTGAACCACAACTTTCTGTCTCACCTCCCAAAAATCTGAAGCACTTAATACTGCTTTGAAAGAAGACCCACACTATCATGAACAACATAAGAAAGGTCGGGCGCGGTGGCTCACACCTGTCATTCCAGCACTTTGGGAGGCCGAGGAGGGCAGATTACCTGAGGTCAGGAGTTCAACACCGGCCTGACCAGCATGGTAAAACCCCATCTCTACTAAAAAAATACAAAATTAGCCGGGCGTGGAGGCGCATGCCTGTAATCCCAGCTACTCAGGAGGCTGAGGCAGGAAAATCGCTTGAACCTGGGAAGCGGAAGTTGCAGTGAGCCGATATCGCACCATTGCACTCCAGCCTGGGCAACAAGATTGAAACTCGGTCAAAAAAAAAAAAAAGAAAACAGAAAAGAAGAGCAAATTCTGACTGTATTTGTTTGTGCTCCAAGACAACCTGCATCAAAAAACAAGTAAGCAGGTCCCACAACCATTAACAGTAATCATGAGCACGGCATTAGTTCTATTTCTCTGTACTGGTCAATTCTCTTCTATACTGATTATCTCACTCCTACACCCAGTGTATGCATTCCTTGAGCCACATGCAAACCTGTGGGATAGTAAAGGGACACTCTCCCCCTTTACAATAAGAGCATGTAGCTAAGAAGTGGCTTTCCCAAGGTCACTGAGATCAGGGGAGACCACACTGGATCTCCCTCCTAAGCCCCATCCCAGCATCACAGGGAAAGAAATTGGATGGCAATGCAGGGGCCCCAGTGCCCAAAAAGTGAGCATGTTTGAAGAGTCTTGGCCTCTGTCACCCTTTATGAAAAGCAAAGTCAGCCAGGCGCGGTGGCTCATGCCTATAATCCCAGCACTTTGGGAGGTCGAGGCAGGTGGATCACTTGAGGCCAGGAGTTCGAGAACAGCCAGGCTAACACGGAGAAACCCTGTCTCTACCAAAAATACAAAATTAGCCAGGTGTGATGGCAGGCACCTGTAATCCCAGCTACTCAGGAGGCTGAGGCAGAAGAATCACTTGAACCCTGAAGGTGGAGGTTGCAGTGAGCCAAGATCACACCACTGCACTCCAGCCTGGGCAAAAGAATGAGACTCCATCTCAAAAATATAAAAAATAAATAAAAATAAAAATTTTAAAAAAGAAAAGCAAAGTTGAGAAGAGTCATTATTTGAACAATTAGCTGACAAAGACTCCAGCAAAAAGCTGGCTCTGTGATTGGGTTTCTCTTAGTTGAAATGGGCATTGTCATGTACACACTGTGACTCAAAGCCGTCTATGCCAGCAAGGCCCAGGTAGCCAACGTGAAGAAGAAAATGTGTTCTCCCAGGCTAAACAGTCAAGGCAACTCCAGTGTCCCAGACCACCCTGCTAAAACCACATAGAGACAGATGAATCACTCACATGGTGTTCCAGTGATGTCTTCATTGGTGAGGTTTGGGGACATCACTTAAAATTCATCAAGCGCTTGACAAGTATTTATTAAATACCCTTTGTGTGCCTACACCAGGGCTGGGAGTTGGGGTTGGGGGACATGGTGGGATCTGGGAGGCATGTTACACAGAGGCTCCTCCCCAGGACCCTCCCCATTCCACAGCAGCCTCCACAGACCTCTCCAGCCTGCTGTGCTACAGCGTCCCCTCCCTAGACGGAGGAGGAGAGACAGCCCCGGAGACCGCAGCCTCACACCAGTCCTGAGCTACACAGCCAGAGGCCCGTGTCCAGCTACCGAGGGCCAGAGCCTGCTGGTGGCCCCTGGCCGCTGCCGGCCCCTCAGCAGACACCAGCCCCTCCAGACACCAGCCCTGTCGCGCCCTCTACAGCCCGGGCCATGCACCAGTGGGCATCAAGCCTGGCAGGGGGGTTTGCTGGCCAGTCCCCACACACAGGGCCTTCAACCCGCCCTGTGTAGCTGAGAGACGTCTGATCCAAGATGAGCCTCCAACTGGATGACAAAGTGCAAGGACTGTTTTTCAGAGGAGGAAACTCAAACCCACCAGGACGTCGGGTGCCCACCTGAGGTCAGGACCCCGGGCTCGCAGCTCAAGGCCACCCTGCCCAAGTCACTTCCTGCCATCTGGGGATGGAGAGGGGCACGTGTGGGTTCACACAACGGTGAGTTCTGCCCTGACAGATTTCCTCCCTGTCCAAGTTCATCTTGTGCAGCTGCCCTGTGTTTCCGTGTGACTCCGTGGGGCTCAAGGAGGATGGCGTGCTCCACCCCAGGTGACAGTCACCGACAGAGCTGCGCTCACACCTTGTCTCTACCCATTAATGTTTGTGCCAAGCGCTGTGTGTGTTCATGGATAAACAGGCCTCCCTTACCTGACTCAACCACAAAGGGCAAGAAGAATCGGTCTCCACAACAACAGATCAGAGAAGCCCGGGGCCCGGGCAGGAACAGCCAAGGGAAGTTTATTCAGATGCAATCACCCCAAACCCCTGCTGTCCACGAGCAACAAAAGGCAAGGAGGGATTTTTAAAGGAATCCTTGTCTCAACTCAGTTTCCTAAGACAGGGATTTCAGAGCAAGCAGTTGTGGGGCGGTGACCCCAGGAGTTGATGCAGGGTGACTGACAGGCAGGTCCCTGGCGCAGACAGTGGGGCTCTGTCCCGCCAGGAGCTCTGGTGATCAGCACAGGACACAGCTGGGTCAGCCCACCAGGGACTGGGGCTTATCCTCCAGCATCCGTCTGCCCTGGACCAAGGGCTGCTCCCAGAACCTGAGCCCGTGGCCTCCTACCCACAGGTGGTGTCACAGGTGCCTGGGGAGGGTGACCTGGGCGTGGCTGGAACTAGGGATGCTGAGGAGGTGTGGGCAGGTTCTTGCAGTGGGGACATGAGAGATGTGAAGATACACACTCGTCAAATGGCAACGGGTGTGCTGTTTCAAAGCTAGGGAAACTGAGGCCTAGAGACACAAGGAGCACTGGCAAGTTTCCTAGGAGCATAGACCAGGAGCCTGGACTGGAAGTGACTGGGCCCAGGGGACCCTGAGCTCAGGGAGAGAGGGCAGCCGCCCAGCTCGGGCCCCATGCCATCCCCCTTGGGCCTCGCCTGTGTCGTCACCATCTGCAGGCACCAGGGCCTTCCCTGTGGCTCAGAAGTCTGTCCTCAGAGTGTGTTTTTGTCCATCATTTCAGAAGATAAACTAAAGGAGTTATGAGAATTCCAGGAAATTATATATATAGGAGTCATTTCCTACGTATAATCTCTAAACATATCGTTTTGTAAATAATTTTTATTATATACAGAAATTGGAAGAATTATAGGAAGGAGCCAGGTACAGTGGCTCATGCCCATAATCCCATTTCTTTGGGAGGCCAAGGCAGGAGGATCGCTTGAGCCCAGGAGTGCAAGACCAGCCTAGGTAACATAGTGAGACCCCATCTCTGCGAAACATAAAATTAAAAAAAAAAAATTAACCAGGCCTGGCGTGTGCACCTGTGGTCCCAGTACTTTGGGAGGCTAAGGTAGGAGGATCGCTTGAGCCCAGGAGGTTAAGGCTGCGGTGAGCCAAGACTGCACCACTTACTCCAGCCTGGGCAACAGAGCAAGACCCTGACTGCTCCTTCCCACCAAAAAAGAACTATAGGAATGAACTCAGAGACCCTGACTAAGGGCAGGGGCTCAGAGACAGTCACTGTCTTCACAGAGCAACATGATAAAGGGCTGGCTCTGCGGAGGGAAACTCTGAGAACGGCCACCAGCCCCGGGCCTTCCCCTCTCACCACCCAACCCTTGAGGGAGGCCTCACCCCTCACTCTGCCTCCGCTGTTGACCTGGCTCCTGCGAAGCGAATGCAGATTCCAGTCGAGGAATGCACACCTAGACACACACCCAGGAGAGCTGCACACATCACAGCCACAGTAGCACGGCTCACAATGGCCAAAAGTGGAGAAAACACAAACATCCATTGTGGACAAACGGACACACAAAACGCTCCTCCGTGCCCTGTGGTGTCGCTCAGCCACAAAGTGACAAGGAGCCCCATCATACACCACAACACAGGCGAGCCTGGAAGCATCGTGCTGTGTGACTGTTCTAAAGAAGCTGCCACAGGGACCTTGCATTGTGCCATTTCATTCATGCCAAATGTCCAGACGAGGGAAACCTGCAGAGCCAGAGAGTGGATCTGTTGGGAGAGGCCGGGGGAAGGGAGGGTTAGAGCCCAAGGTTACTTTTGGAGGTCATGAATAGCTCCGAAACTGTGGTGATGGCTGCACGTATCTGTGAATATGCTGAAAACCACTGGATTATACAATTCAAACGGGTCAATGTATGGTGAGCGTATTACATCTTGAAAAATCTTTTTTTTTTTTAAGTGACAGCTCATGGACCCAGAAAACCACCAACCAATTCCCGCTATGGGCTTAAGGAGTGGCCTAGCAGTCTATGAATGGGGCTTGGCCCACTGGGCAGCCCCCGTCCTCCCATCCCCCCAGGTCCTTCCAGAGCACTCCATCCCCACTGAGCCACACTGAGCCTCATCTAGCAAATGGCACTTTTTTGAGAACCAAGCTCTCCTTAAAGAACAGAGCAGGAAACTCACAGTGCACTTGCAAACCTCTGGCCTTTAGAATGCCAGCTGCCAGAGACCTCTGTCACCCCAGATGTGTCAGCTGGCCCCCAGCTGCATGCTCCCCACTCGGCCCCAAAGAGGACAGGGTGGAGGCATGGCTGGACTTCCCAGGCAGCAGAACCAAAGACCGTTTGGTTTTTCAGGAGGAAGCGGGTGTCCCCAGGCTTTGGCACCCTCCATCAGAAACGCCACTGCGTGTCCAAAGCCTCAGGCTTTCTTGGGAGCAGCTTTCCGTGATGGGAGGGACAACCCACCAGCTGTCACCACTCAGCGCAGAGGCAGGCAGGTTCCCAGGGCACTGCCTGGGAATTCCGATGGGGGTGGTGCAGACTCGGCCTCAGGTTCCCAGCAGGTGCGGCTGGACAACCAGTCAAAGAGCCCCCAAAGAGCAGCCTCACCGCAGCCGTGCCCACAAAGGATCCCCAGCACGCCGAAATGCCACGAGACATCATTGTGCAACTAGCCAAGATTTCAAATGTCTCCAGAGCTTAAGCCAAGTTCCATTTTGCTGTTAGTTTCTGCTGAGATGCACAGAAGTTTGTAAAAAAGGCTGTTTTCAGGATTCACCAAAGAAATTGTTTGGGGGACTCTAAATGCCTGCAAGATCCAGAATTGGTATTTTTGAAAATTATTCCATAGCCTAAACCCACAGTCTCTGAGAAGCAAGCCATGGCGGGCAGAGGGTGTGAGGCCATCAGAGGCCTGCGCCGCAGCCCCCCCTCCAACTCACTTCCCCACTCTGAGCCACACAGCTTTGGGATCCGTGAAACTCAACCCTGGCTACACATCAGAATCACCTGGAAGATAATTCCTGGGCTCCATCCCAAACAAATTAAGTCATGGCTTCTGGCAGTGAGGCTAGGCAGAGGCATTTTTCTAGAACTTTCCAGATGATTCTAACGTGCAGCTGAAGTTGAAAACCTGATGAGATTGGCTGGGGCCTCGGTTCCTTCCAGCTCCAACATCCTTTGGCGCTTCTCTGTCACTCTGGAAGATTCTCTTCCCCCGGAAACTGAAGCAAATGCAGGGTCAGAGCAGCATTTGACCCAAGGAAGTGCCAAGCCCATCTCAGCAAAGTCACAGAGCAGGACTGACCTGCTGGGCTGAAGACAGCAGCATGGGCTACACCGGGGTAGCGACTGCTCTCACTCCTTGTCAGGACCACCGGGGCTGCTCATCCAACTGCAGGGAGCACCGAGGCAGGAGATCCATGTGGGGAGGTCTCAGGGCCAGGGCCAGGGTGGGGGCTGGAAGGTGAGTAGACGCAGAGAAAATCTCTGGGCCCACAGACCAGCAGATCCCAGCTCTCCAGGGTCACTCAAGACTGGCTGAGCCTTGACCCAGTCCCGTTTCTCCTTGACATCTAGAAGCTTTGCCTCACAGGCACCCTCCCTGCCCCCAGCTCTCCTCCCAGCCCAGCTCCTGGGGAGCTGTCTAAGGCCCAGCTCCTGCGGGGAGGCAAGGGGCAGGGAACTTCTGGCTCCAGCTCACTCCTTCTGCCACCTCGGGGTTGGGAAAGGGGCTGGTCCTCACCTCGTGTTCCTGAAGAGCTCTGAGATGTGAGCTCCCGCCGGTCTTAGGAGGATACTGGAAACTTGGAACTAACCTTCCTCTAAATGTTAAAATGTCTTGTATGTCAACCATTTTGCATGCAAATGTTTCTCAAGAAGGATTACAACATTTCTCTGCATCACTGAAGCCCGCTTTGGACAAAGCTGCCTTCCTCACGTGCCTGTTCCTTGCTTTACACAATCGCAAAGTCTGGCGGGACTGAAGGCAGGAGCGAGCTGAGCACCCTGAATGGTCGGGTGTCCCCAGCCTGCTGGCCAGGAGTCCCTTCGCCCAGCTTGTATCATTTTTCGATCTCTTCCCTTCATGAAGTCAACCTCTAAGAATCCCTCCCCTTTCTGTCATTTTATTTCTGAAACTGCTGGAGGTTTGCAGCCAGATAACCAAGTTAGAAATGTTTCCAGAGCAAGCAGCGTCCAAGTGGGGGTTACTGGTGCGTTCTGAGTACACGAGGCCCCTGCAGAGATGGGGTGTGTGAGGGTAAACAGTTTGTGTGTTTGCAGAAGGCCTGATGGAATTTTCCCACCAGAATTGTAAGGATTGCACCAGCTGATTCCAGCCTCCATAGGAGGAAAGTCCATGCAGAACCAGCGCTGAAATGGCCGGCTCACCGCTTTCGGAACAGTCTGCCCTGGTGTCCTTATCTACTCGTCTCTGTGTGTCACTGGCCAGGGGCTTGAAGGGCTGCCCTGGTTTTACATTTGGAAAAACTGAGGCCCCAAGAGGCAAAGAGGCTCCCAGGCGCACCGTGGGAAGCAGAGCCCCCCGACCCCGCGCTCCTCCCACTGCACTCTCTGTCTCTCTCCTCGCTGAGCACAGGCCTCCTGCACAGCGCCCGAGCCGCGCAGGATATGAAGAAAGGAGAGGCGTGCGCGGTCAGCCCACCCTCTTCCTTGAGCGTCTCTGCCAGGCTCCAGGCTGAGGAGTGGGGACCACCGTCTGATCTCTCCGTGGCTCAAGGGTTTCAGGCTGGTGACCACATCGGTATCTATGGCAACAGCCCCACCACGTTCGCATCCCAGAATCGGACCTCCTGGCCCAGGCCGGGGTCTCCTGACAGCGGAGGACTCAGCCAGAAGATGCAGAAGACCGCTGCTGGGAAACCCGCCGGCCTCTACCCAGCTCCACAGGCTTCTGCCCGGCTCCACCGGCTTCCCTCTCCCTCCCTGAGGCTTGGTGTCCTCCTCTATAAAATGGACAGCCCCGGCTGCCCAGCCTCCCTCACTAAATTGCCAGAACGAAGGAGGTGCTTTGAGAAGTGACAGGCACTGTGCAAACCTCAGGGGCCTCTCCCCTGTCACTCACAGGGCACCCGGTCCGCAGAGCCTCACCTCCTCGGGTGCATCCGGGGTGCTGTTCGGGCAGTGGCTCGGCAGAACCAGCAGCCAAAGTGGCTGAGGGCAGAGTCCCTGACCCCCCGACAACCCGGTCAGAACTCACTCTCCCTTGGTGCCCGGAACGCAGAGGCGCTTCGGAAACAAGATTTCTCATCTGGGTAATTTCGGGATGGCTCCTTCGCCTCGGAACCTGACTTCACTGCCGGGGTCCGCCTCTTACCCCATCCCTGTCTGCCCCCTGCACGCTCAGCCCACTCCTCCCTCCCAAATGTCCCCAGCTCTCTCAGGTCCTCCACCTTGACTGAGAATTCCAGATTTACAGCCTGGGCAACATGGCAAAACCTCACCTCTAAAAAAACACAAAAATTAGCCTGCCACCTAATTAACCAGGCACGTGCCTGTAGTTCCAGCTACCTGGGAGGCTGAGGTGGGAGGATGGCTGGAGCCCAGGTGGTCAGGGGTGCCATGAGTCAAGATCATACCCTGCCCTCCAGTCTGGATGACAGACTAAGACCCTATCTATCTCAAAAAAAAAAAAAAAAAAAGACAGAGAGAGAGAGAGAGAGAGAATTCCAGATTTTGGTCCCGCTCATGTAATTCCCAATTTCACTTGGCAAACGTGGCCTCTCCCTGACTATCCTCCAACTTAGCATCAGTGAGGCCCAGAAATGGCAGCACAGGGCAGCCAGCAGGGTGTGGTGATGGAGCTGTTGCTGTAAGGCACGTGGATACATTGATGCCAGAGGTCACGTCCCCCTTGCCCACCCCTCCCAAGGAGGACGTGCAGGGCTGGACTGGGTGAGAGCCTCACTGATCCAGGGCCTTGGACTCCTCCCCTGGCACGCACAGTGGGTGGTGTTTTACCCATCCTCCTACGAGTCACTCCTTTCCAAGTGCCACATCCCCAGAGGACGTGCCAGGTGCGGCTGCTGACTGCGCTGGGGCCCCATTAAGGCATCTGTCTGCCTGACTGCACAGCTTAGGTCATCATTGGACGGGGTAGGACCCCGTGGACCCGGCTTCCCTTGCATCTCTCAGCTCTTCTGGGAAGGAGGCCACCTCCAGCACTAGCCCAGGAGACGAGTCAGTTACTGGCGTCAGAAGGGGAGGCCCACCAGAGAGAAAGAGAGAGTGGGCCCCTTCTCACTGGAAGGAGGGGACGGCCTTTGGGCAGCCCTGGGGTGTGCACCTGCTGGCACCTGGCCTGGCATGTGCTCCAGGTGCGGGAGTGACTTGGGGTGCAAGGCAAGGCTCTGTGCTGAAGGCTTCATGTGGGCACTCTGTGTTCCAGCTTTATGGAGGAAAGACTGAAATATAAAAATCATAGGTATTTAGTGCGTGCAACATGGTCTTTTGTATAAGTACACACTGCGAAATGGCCATGACAATCAAGCTGACTAACACATCCAATAGCTCACACGCTTTCCATTTTCCTGTCTTAAGAACACTTGAGATCTACCGTCTTTGCAAATTTCAGATATACTTTATTACCGACTATAGTCACCCTGCTCCCCGTTGACCCTCCAATGATAACTGAAACTTTGTACCTTCTGAGTAACAGCGCCCCATTCCCCCAGCCCCCAGCCCCCAGTAACCACCATTCTACAGGCCCCAGCCCCCAGTAACCACCATTCTACTCTCTGATACTATGAGTTCCATGTTTTCTTAGATTTCACATAGAGGTGAAATCATGTATATTTGACTTTCTGTGTCTGACTTATTTATTTCACTTAGTATAATGTTCACCAGTTCCATCCACGTTGCTGCAAATGAGAGGATTTCACTGCTTTTTATGGCTGAATAGTACTCCATTGTGCACATACACTGCATTTTCTTTATCCATTCATCCACCAGTGGACACTTAGGGTGATTCCAAACCTTGGCTATTGTGGACAGTGTTGCAGTGGACATGGGTGTGGACAGCTCTTGAGGGCATTGATGGCATTTCCTTTGGGTACATGCCCAGGAGTGGAATGACTGGTGATATGATTTCGATTTGTGTCCCTGCCCCAATCTCACGTCTACTTGTAATTACTAATGTTGGAAGAGGGGCCTGGTGGGAGCTGATTGGATCATGGGGGTGGAGCTCCCCTTTTCTGTTCTCATGATAGTGAATGAGTGCTCA
This sequence comes from Homo sapiens, assembly GCF_000001405.40. Taxonomy (NCBI): domain Eukaryota; kingdom Metazoa; phylum Chordata; class Mammalia; order Primates; family Hominidae; genus Homo; species Homo sapiens. The sequence goes on along the minus strand of NC_000007.14, from coordinate 155,829,051 downwards.
CAGGGTCTCGTTGTTTAAACGTGCATAGCACCTCCCCCTTTGCTCTCTTCCTCCTTCTCCAGCCATGGAAGAAGTGCCTCCTTCCCCTTTGCCTTCCGCCATGATTGTAAGTTTCCTGAGGCCTCTCCAGCTAGGCTTCCTGTACAGCCTGTGGAACCATGAGCCAATTAAACCTCTTTTCTGTACACATTCCCCAGTCTCAGATAGTGGTTTGTTTGTTTTTTGGGTTTTTTTTTTTTTTTTTTTGAGACAGAGTCTCGCTCTGTGGCCAGGCTGGAGTGCAGTGGCGCAATCTCGGCTCACTGCAACCTTCCAATTCCCTGGTTCAAGCGATTCTGTTGCCTCAGCCTCCCGAGTAGCTGGGATTACAGGCACACACCACCACGCCCAGCTAATTTTTGCATTTTTTTAGTAGAGATGGGGTTTCACCATGTTGGCCAGGATGGTCTCGATCTCCTGACCTTGTGATCCACCCGCCTCAGCCTCCCAAAGTGCTGGGATTACAGGTGTGAGCCACTGTGCCTGGCTCAGGTAGTTCTTTATAGCAATGTGAGAACAGATTAGTACCACTGGATCATATGGTAGATCAAATTTTGGATTTTCAAGAAACCCTATACTGTTCTCCACAGTGGTTATGCAGTCTTGATAAGTCAAAATAACCACAATGTTGAATAAATGAAGCAAAGCGTGGCAGCCTGTCCACATTGTCACCTCCTTCTTCTGGTTACAAAGTCTCTCTGTGGACTTTGTGCCCACCTGGCAGGGCTTTCCACTGGAAGTCTCCTCCTGGAGAAGCACTCTGCCCCAGCCAGAAGAGCGAGAACCCCAAACTGTGCACACAGTAACCGGCCCAGAGGAAGCACGTGAACCAAGAAGGCCAAATCCAAGCCTCTTAGGGAAATTACTAGGGATGCCAAAGACCCCAGAGCCAGGTGCTGCCAAGAGCCGTCTCTGCCACTAAATAGAGAGCTGCTTGAAAATGAAATCAACAGAGACCCAGGTGCAACAATATGGCAGACTGAGCTAAGCCGGGACCACATCTCTCCTGCACAAACAAGAGATGATGGGTAACATGTCAATTAATACGTACCTGGAAAGGAAATAAAGAGATATCCTCTGGTGACTACAAAAAAAAAAAAAAAAACTTAAGCCAGATCCTTAAGCTTGTGAACTGTCATTGCAACAACCCAAGGGGTTGACTTGGCCTCTGCTCATTTGAGGCAGGGACCTCACTCTCACCCTGAACATGGAAGGGCTTCTATCACAGGGAAGGGACTGACAAGGGGATGGGAAAATGCTAACCTTTCACTCCAAAAAGCAAAAAAGAAACATGGCTCTGCCCAGGACTCTGTGTCAGAAACAAACAGAAGCCAAAACAGAAAGTCCTCTGCCAGGAGGAACTGGAGATCCCAACAGTGCCACAGATGGGTGTGGTCTCCAGGTTTGTGCCCACTGCACGGTGCACGGCACCCCAGCCAAGAAATGCACACGACCCCTGAGGCACAGAAGCAAGTGTGAAAACTCCGTGCTTTCCTCTCCAGGGACTCAGAGCCCCTTTGGTGTGGTTCATGACAGGACTCGCTGCCTTGAGTTACTTAAACCACAGGACTGGGTGTTACATTTCGACCAAAAGACAGTCTGGGAATGGTCTTAGACAATAGGAGCTGACTAAATGCTTGTGAAATAAACGGAAGTAGGAATAAATGATGGTACATGAACCAGAGAACACGCTTCTTCCGGATGTCTCCGGCCTCTGGAAAATACCGGGGTGCACGGTCCCTTGAATTTTAGGGCTGGTTCATGGGCGGGACTTTGAACCCACCAGAGAAGCCCAAGTGGACGGAGACCTCACACTGTGATTGAGGGTCAGGGTCTGTTTTCTAGTTCTGCCCACGCAACCTCCTCAACCCTTGACATGAGCGAGGCACCTGCATTAGAGAAGCTTCGGTTTCCTCGTCCAGAACATTAGAGGGTTGGATCCGATTCCTGGCTTGCATTTTACTTCTAAGTTTTGATGACGGCCTCCTGAGATGATACCATACACACTTTTCCTTTTCCTTTTCCTTTTCTGGTTGTTTTTGGGGGGTTTTTTTGTTTGGTTGGGTTTTTTTTTTTTTTTTTTTTTGATGAGTCAGAAACTCAAAGATTTCCTGGGATGTCTGCGGACTCTGCCCTGCTCAGAGACAAGGAGCATTTTCTAGACCACATTCTGTTCCCTGTTTCATGGTCGGCTTCTGAGCACTTTGTTTTTGTTTTGATTTTCCTCTTTGCTCTCTGAATGATGATTTATCTGGTTTTTGGAATAGAGGCTGAAAGGCCTAATTGTGTGTGTGGCTTCTGAGGTTGTTTCAATTTATAAATATTTTAATAGGACTTTTATTCCTTCATAACAAATATCTTAAAAACCTTTGTACTCAGAGCAAATGCCTTGGTTTTTCCTATTTAAAAAAAAAAAAAGAAGAAGAAATTTTTTTCTTTCCCTACCTTAAAAGAGAGAAAAAAGGAAAAAGTCAGGAAAACTGCCACAATGTGAGGCATCCCTAAGGAGCCTGTGGTAGTCATACCTGATTTAAAGCAGCTCTCCAAAGCCCTGATGGCATTAATTTTCCATTATTCCTTACAGAGATTCCAAACCTAAGACAACAGTCAAGAACAGATATCCCTCATTTTAATTAAACTTCTTAAGGACTGTATTATTGAGTACATAAGACATACAAGATATTTCGACCTCCAATTTGAGAAATCGTAAAACCAAATGAGACCACAGAAAACTCCGTAGTTCAGGAATACAGCAGCCCAGACCTATCCGGATAACACACTGAGATGAGAGAAGGACAGAGCAGCCCAGTTCTTTTTTTTTGTTTTTGTTTTTGTGTTTTTTGAGACGAAGTCTTGCTCTGTCGCCAGACTGGAGTGCAGTGGAGCAATCTCAGCTCACTGCAACCTCCGACTCCCAGGTTCAAGCCATTCTCCTGCCTCAGCGTCTTGAGTAGCTGGGACTACAGATGTGTGCTACCACACCCAGCTAATTTTTGTATTTTTAGTGGAGACGGGGTTTCACCATGTTGGCCAAGATGGTCTCGATCTCTTGACCTTGTGATCTTCCCGCCTCGACCTCCCAAAGTGCTGGGATTTCAGGTATGAGCCAGCGCACCCGGCTCCAGAGCAGCCCAGTTCTAAGAGAGAGTGGAAGCCAAGTGAAGGCAGGGAAGGAAAGGGAGGGACCACGTCCTTGCAAAGACTGCCCCTCGCGTCCACGCCTATTTGTGCTGGCTTTTTCCCTTCCAGTGTGCTGCTTAGCCATGTAGATACGGGTTTAGGTTTGAAAACTCTGCATAAGATTCTTGGTTCACCTCTGACCTAATGCCTTTTCTTCTCAATCAATCTTTCCTCTTGTGCTGAGTGCAAGACCTTACAGAATATTCCCCCAAAAATCACTTCAATCATCCCAGGGTGTGTCTACCTGCCACCAAACGTGTCTCTGGAAACTCAGAAAGACGACTCATTTCAGGGACTCAGATGTCTGACATTCTGAAGACACAGACTCCCAGCACACTTCCTTCCTGTACCAGGGGGATTGAGAATAAAGTGTGGAAACATGCACTGTGTATTAACCTAATGGTTAAGCCCAGGAAAAAATACTGTCTGGGCTTGGATATCGTCACAGTGAAATGTATTCTTGCCCTTAGAGCTGCTCAGATGATGTGATGATGCTGGAAGCCAAGAGATGACAGCAGGATTGAACTATTGCCCAAAAGCAATTACTGATTAGAATTGATTATTTCTACAAAGAAAGGTGACTGATGGATTAGTTGTCACGTCACAGCAGGTTTGGGAAAAACTGTCATAACTGAAAGGGACTAAGCTACCAAAAGACCATAATGCTTCAAGGATTCCTCTGGATGCAGCTCTGCAAACCTGAAGTTAAGAGAACGTTGATGCAACCCCTGGATTTTCCAGGGCTGTCCTTGAAAGATCCCATCCTTGTTCTTCCCCTTCCACCAAATGAAATGATCCCATCATTGTCATAACACCTTGCGGCGTGAGGAAGTCGTGTTTAAAAGCACACGCTTCTGCCATGCCTCTGAGCTTTACAGGGGATTATAAAAATGCAGACCTCATTTAAGCCCACAGTAAATTAATGGGAAATGATATGTGACTAAATATTTGAAAGCTGTTGCCGTGCCTTATTTGATTTGCCTAATTACGTGTTTTACTGCCTCCTTTATGGAACTGTTGCCTAAGGTATCTGAAGTCTTTATACTTACTTCTTCCTTAATAGCTGAATCAAAATGCCACGTGATCACGTTGGCATGCAGCCTTGAAATTGCGTCCAAGCCCATTGACGTGTGTTTCCGGGAGGGAGATGACTCTCCTAGCCCTTGGTGGTAGAATGTTGGGAACCGTAGATCGGCCTTCTTAACCAATCTGATACAAAGGCTCTCCCAGCCACTCCGTCACCTCCTAACCCCATGGCTTCTCCACCAAGCAAAACAAAACAAAATAAAACAAAACTAGGGTATAAATATGTCAGGATAAGAAAGAAAACATGTACACAACATTCAAACACCGTCTGCCACTGGAAGAGACTCCAGGACAATTGTGCACATACTTGGCCTGCTACCATGGCCCGGCGAATTCAGCGGTTACCATGGCGGGGTAGAGCCTGGAGGAGGACTCCAGAGGGCAGGCTTTGTGTGGGCACTGCTCAAACAGAGAGCTGCGATTCAGTCTGTTGGCTTGTGTACTTTGGTGTGAGCCATCCTCACGCTGAAAAGGCCAAGAGGAGAAGTGTTGAGTTTGACTTGATCTCATGCCTTTAGGTTTCTCTTGACATCCCGCCCGCTGCCCCCCACCCCAGCCCGACCTCCTTCAGGCCCCTCTAACTCCCCATCTGGGGAAACAAATGACATTGAGCACTGTCCAGGGAAGATGACACTTAGGGGTCTCCCCTCTCTGTGGATAAACTGCTCTAAAAACAGCCCAGACCCCACCAACAACAAGTCCGTGCAGAAACCACAGGAACCGTCTTCACTAGGACAAAGAAACATGTTGAGAGGGCACTTCGAGGCCCGGGCCCTGAGACACCACTGGCAGCTCGAGCATTAGGCTTAGGAGAGTTGAGTTCTAGGTAACCCCACAGCAGCACACTCAGCTCCTGAGTTGAAAGACAGAGAAATGGAAAGAACAGTGGAGCACGGGCGAGAGACATGGCTCAGTGACTGTAGGCAAAGTCATTTAGTCTCTCTTCAGACCTAAATTTCCTCATCTGTCAAATTGAGTTAATAATACGTGGTCTGTCTCTCCCCCACAGCATCATGGCGAGGACTAGGCGCCCCCTGAAAACACATCATTATTAGTGGCGCCTCACCCTCAGGCTGCCTTGCACTGCTGCAGAGAATCCTCACGTGTAAAGAGCCAGAAAGCCGTGGAGAGTTTCCACCCTAAATAAAAGAATTCATGAGGTTATTTTTAAGAGTGTAGACGCTCCGTGAGTGACATGCACACACTAATGGGACAGGTCCCATCAGGATTCCCACGTGACGCCTTCACGGTCGCTCATCCCATTCGCTGCTCGGGAGGGGCAGGGGGAATACAGCCCCAGCAGAAAGAAACATTATTTAAATTAACTCAGTCCGATTGAATGTCCTCTTTTGTCAAACGAAAGAAGTGATCTCTGCTATGTGGCCTGATCTGTTTGAAAACAGTTGAATATTTTACGTTGAATTGCCTTTGGCCTTAAGTGTATTTGTGCCAACTTAAGTGGCACAAAAGTCCCAGAAAGAGAATTTGTAAGCAATGTCAGTTGGTCTAGGTGTGAAGCCACTTGCAGAGCACACCCTCGGCTCCAGGCTCTAGCTGTGCATCACACACTCACTGCCAAACCTCAGGGGATCCTATGACACCCACGAAGTAAACATTTGTCCCCATTTTGCTGATAGGGAACTATGTTCAGAGAGGTGAAGAGATTTGTCCAAAGTCATGCAGATAGTGGACTTCAACGAGGGTTCCGAGACAGTTCAAACCCACTGGCTCCAGAGAAATGACACTGATTCCAGCCCCAGTGCACGGTCACGTCCTGAAGCCCTGTGGTTCCTCCAAGCAGTGCTGTGGGCCCTTTGGCCAAAGGTGCAACACCTTGAAATAGGAGGAAAACAACGACCTTCCCTCCAGGCCCTCTCTGATCAACGCTATCATCAGAACAACAGAAAACCAAGTTTGCAGCTTCTGCTTGGGAAGAAAAGAAGCTACGTGGATTCCGAATTTGATATTTCAGCTGCCATAGTTTTTTGTTGTTATTTGTTGTTGTTGTTGTTTGCTTGTTTTGGTGTGTTGGTTTACTTTTTAAATAGCAACCACTGAAACTCATTCCATAACATGCCACTAGTTTAACTGGCTAATTAGTAAGAAACTTCTGGTAACTGACAAATATTTGTTGAGCATCTTCTGAGCTGGGAGCTGTGTGACCTACAGAGATGTGTAAGACAGATACTCTGAAGGCTTTCTTCTGGAAATTAGCAAATATATTGAGGATACTAATAACTACCCTGAAGTCAAAGGTCAAACAACAACCCCCAAAGTGAAATATGAATATAAGCAATGATCCAGAGGTCACATCAGCCAAACAGCTATGACATGATAAGCCAGAAGCCCCAGGGCCACAGGTCGAGAAGGTGGGAAAGGCACAGAGGAGGGGGAGAGGCTGCCACTGGACCAGGGGGCAGAAGCGAGACAGAGTCACAAGGCATGGTCTGGACTGAGTCATTGGTTCAGAGACATGGGGATCTGCAGGCTTGAAATGGGAGATCCGAGTTCAAGGGACAGAAATGCAGGGAGAGGAACACATCTGAGCTCTCCCCTCTCTGGATTCATGAAGAGTTTATGAATAAAGATCCCGGAACCATGGGCTGCAGTTACACCTCTGCTCCCCGCCCTCCAACAGGGTGTCCCGTGGGAGACCACGTAACCCTCTGAGCCTCCATCTTCCGGTCTGTGAATATAGGGGTGCCCCCACCACCTCGATGACCACACAGGGATGCTGCGGGTCCCGTGAGATCATGGGTGGAAACGAGCTTTGCCAACTTTCAAGTCCTGCCTGATTATAAAGTCTTCCTCCTATACCTCAGACTCAAGAGTCGAGCACCCTCTCAGCCACCCTGGAAGACACAAAAGAGATCAGGCACACAGCCTTCACCCTTCAAACAAACAACAGCAATAACAAAAGATGTACTTCTAAGCTCCTGAAATGGTGAGAGAAGAACTTTGTTGTTTTCAGCCCCCGTCTGTAGCAGGTTGTCACGGCAGACCTAGAGAAAGCACACACGCCGAGCAGTGAGATGCCCAAGGCAGGAGGGACGCTGGTACTAACCTCCCCACACAAGAGGCTAAAGGCTGCAAAGACAGTCAGCCAGACTTCGTGGTGGTCCCTCCCATCTGAAATGATGAAAAAGGGGCTTCCTGACGGCCAGGCATGGTGGCTCATGCCTGTAATCCCTGCACTTTGGGAGGCCAAGGCAGGCAGATCACCTGAGGTCAGGAGTTCAAGACCACCCTGGCTAACACGGTGAAACCCCACCTCTACTATAAATACAAAAATTAGCCAGGCACGACACTGGGCACCTGTAGTCCAGCTACTTGGGAGGCTGAGGCAGGAGAATCGTTTGAACCTGGGAGGCGGAGGCTGCAGTGAGCTGAGATCACACCACTGCACTCCAGCCTGGGCAACAGAGTGAGACTCTGTCTCAATTAAAAAAAAAGAAAGAAAGATAAAGGAAGGAAGGAAGAAAGGAAGGAAAAGAAAAAGGGCCTCCTGGGAGGTAGAGGCAAATGGAAGACCTGAGGCTGGAGTGAGCCCTGGAATCACATCGTCTGCTTAGATTCTTGTATCACAGCCACTGCTTGCACCAATCATCTGTCAGGAAAATAAAATCAAAACGAGCAAAAGCAGCCATCTGCCCAGAGGAGAGAACAGGCATCTCAGCCTCTGTGAGCAGTAGCTAGTGTGCCCACCACCTCTGTTCTCCCATGAGAACACGTGTTCTTCACGTGACACATGAAGGCTTGAGACGCGCTGATCGCGGGCATGGTGCTGTGCACAGAGATTGCTGAGGGATGGGAGCAGAGGACCTGAGGGTGAGGCGGCTACGTGGCACAGCCTCCATCCTTTCTGAAGCTGCAGTGCCCTGTGCAGGCCTCCTACTGTGGGAGGGCCCCAAGCTACAAAACAGGGCCTCTCGCTGAGGACGGCCGGGGAAAGACTGTTCTGCATAAAAGGTCCTTCCCCGCTGGGCCTCGTTCCTTCCCACAGTTGCCTGAAGAACCCAAAGAGCTAGAAGCCCATGACCTTGACCGTGACTAACTCTGAGGCCTGAATTTGTGTCCACCGCCTGGTGACACCACGGCTTGCCTGGAAACGTGGCCCTGCTGGGCTGGAGTGTGGTGCTTGCCGCGTGGAGCCTGCGGTCAGCCCTGGCCCCACACTGACCACTCACGACTGAGTGGTCCTGGGCAAAGTCACCTGAGCGTCCTGTGTGCAGGCGCCAGCTCCGCCCTGACACTGCACACTCCTCCATGGTCAGCTCCTTCTCTGACACGCTCCTGGGACGTCTTCCACAGGCACCCAGTGGAGCCGTGGACCGCAGAGGAGCATCTGTGGAACTAGATGGCCCCTCACGTGTGTGTAGTGCTTCTCCTGACCTGGCATGGCTGGGCCTGTTCCCTCCCAGCGGCCCTGTGAGTGGACGGTAAGGTCTCGGCGGGAGCCTCAGCCTCCTCCTCTGGAAAGTGGGGAAAGGGTGGAGGTCGGCCGCTCTGCAACAAGGGAGCATAGGCACTAAAGGCCCTGCACAAATTGAGCCCCACTCGGCAGTGCAGGGTGCTGCTGTCCAGGGGACGGGGCCTTTAAACTGTGCAAGGAGTCGTGGGGCAGGGCAGGGCAGGAACACCACTCTCAGGCACCCCTGATGCTCCCTCTTCCCAGAACCTCGGGACTACTTCCTGCCTGGCCCAAAATGCATGGCCCTGGGTACTGTGGTGTCTCTCTTCCAGGTCATCTCCTATTTCCATATGTCCAAGTGGGGCTCCCTCCTCTGTATTCCTGGTGGAGGGGGCCCTCTTTCTACCCTCCTCCCTCCCCTTACCCAATGATACACCCAAACAGAAAAGTGCTGAGCGCCACATGGAAGCTTCCGGAAGCATCACTGCCTACAGAGAGAGTCAGAGGGCAAGCTGTCAGCCAGGTCATCTGAATTTGATTTAAGGCCCTGCCACAAATCCGGCGTGTGATCCCAGAGGAGATATTTAACCTCCTTGTGCTTCAGTTTCCCCATCTGTGCAATGGTCCCTCCTTGAAAGGGTTGCTTGTATTAACACATTAAAATTTAATCCAAGAGCAATTCCAAGACATGGCCAACACTGAATCAGTATTACTATTACTATCACCCAAAGTTACGAGTTCCAACTTCCCTTCTCGCTGAGTGCAGCTGCCTGGTGAGATGGTCGATGCATAAAGCGCACCGGTCTGCCTGCCAGAGAAAGCTGGGATCTCTTTGCTGTGTTCCTTGACTGCAAGTCAGTGGTGTGGCTGGGAGAGGAGCCCCGGAGCCGCCCGGGTAGAATCATCACCCCTTTGTCTGAGCACACATCTCACAGCGCTGTGCTGCTGCCAGGCCAGGCCCCTGGAGCCCAGAGCCCTGCACGGTCTGTGGACTCCTCTCCCGTTGGGGTTCTGTGTGCGATCCCAGAGGTGCCCTGCACAGCCCCCCTCTGGAATGCTGCTTCTGTCCTTGTACCGGGAATTCCTCCACAGGAAACACAGGTCCTTCTCTATGCACCCCACAGCCCCAGAGAAAGAAACAAGCCACCAGCCACACAGTCAGGTGTGCCTGTCAAAAATCCCTAAACATGAGAATAACGTCAAAATTACAAGCACAAAACCTGGCAAATTATTCCTGTTCTAGCAGCTTTTTTCAAAGCCCAAATGTGTGTTCGGCCCTCAGTTTCCCTTTCTGTGCCCTTCTCCCACCTCTGGATGAACCCAGCCCCTGCCCCACACATTCTCCCTGCACCTGCGGTGCGCGGACCTCAGCCCCTAAATCTGCCTCTCTGCATCTGCTACCAAAACAGCCCTGGCCACTGATGCCCCCTGGCTCTTAATTTTGCACATTAAGAGGGAATTGGGCTGGATCCCCTCTCAAGAAAGCGAAGAAGGGAAATACTCCTTGGAGAGATGAGGTTGGGGGGGCTTCCATGCCCCTCAAGCCCCTGGGGCAGCGTTGCCCTGTCCCCCCGGGAAGCCGACCCAGCAGGTCCCTGTGGTGATACGTGGGTCCCCCCAGGGAGCACGCCGGCTGGCACTCACTCGAGTGAAGGACAGAGCCAAGGCCCCAGGGCAGGAACGGCTGCTGGAACCAGGCTGACCTCCAGTGTGGGCGGGGCCACGATCCAGTGGATGCCACAGGAAGGGGCAAGGAGGGGGTCACTCTTGGGTTCTGCCTTGTATACACGGCAAGAACTGGGGTGGGATGCGGGTGGATTCTTAGTTTTCTTCACTCTGAAGAGGGACTGTTGCATGAGTTCTCCTGAGGCTAAGACCAGGGGCTCATAGAACCCAGGGCTGAAAGGGCTTCTGGCGTTGGCACTGTTGATTTTGGCATCGTCGACTTCATACTCCCACATTGCAGATAAAGAAACAGACGTCTCGAGGGGCTGCGTGGCTTGCCCGGGAGCTTGTGGGTGGAGCCCTGAGGATCTCCTTAGTCCACACAGACCGCAACCCTCCTTCACCACAGCCCAGTGCACGGGGACATCTCCAGATAATCTCTGACCCTACAAGGATGTTCAAGTCTCTAGAAAATACAACCCTGAAGGGCCTTGGAGACCAGCACTCTGACTGTGGAGATCCCAGGCGACATGGGAGCCCACTGCTCTCAGGCCGAGTCATGACAGTTCCGTGGCCCAAGGGAGCATGGAAGTGGGCAGAGCAGAAGCGGGGAGGGGCACAGGGCACAGGGCACAGGGCACAGGAGCAGCCTCGGTGACTGATTCTCTCAGTGGAACTTGTGGCATCAGCTGCCAGCCCTGCCTGGTGGATCTCAGCTTAACTCTGCTCCTGTAAGGAAACAGCCTTTGTGCAGGAAGTGGGTAAGAACAGGCTCTGTGGCTTCACTCGTGGAAGAAGAGCAGCTATGGAGCCAGCCAGGGAACCCTCCTCCAATGGGAGTGGCTGAGCCAGGGAACCCTCCTCCAATGGGAGTGGCTGAACCAGGGAACCCTCCTCCAGTGGGAGTGGCTGAGCCAGGGAGCCGTCCTCCAATGGGAGTGGCTGAGCCAGGGAACCCTCCTCCAATGGGAGTGGCTGAGCCAGGGAACCCTCCTCCAGTGGGAGTGGCTGAGCCAGGGAGCCGTCCTCCAATGGGAGTGGCTGAGCCAGGGAACCCTCCTTCAATGGGAGTGGCTGAGCCAGGGAACCCTCCTCCAGTGGGAGTGGCTGAGCCAGGGAGCCGTCCTCCAATGGGAGTGGCTGAGCCAGGGAACCCTCCTTCAATGGGAGTGGGCTGAGCCAGCTTTGGGCAGTTCTGGGAAAAACTGCTCGCGGCAGTACTACCCCAGCACGCCCCAACACACAGCTTCATCCTCAATCCTCCGAGGCACCCCAGCCTCCAGGCACTGCATGTGTCCCAGTCACATTCACCCCTCACCGTACCCCCTCCACACGCTCTCCAGAAAGAATCTAAAGCTCACACATGCACACCCGCTGCTGTCTGAAGTTCTGCGTGCAGCTCCATGCCAGGCCCAGCCGGGCAGACGGGACCCAAGGCACACAGGCATCAAGCAGGACTGGGGAGCGTCCAGGGGCTGGGGGGCCAAGCAGACGGAGCATCCGGAGGCTGGGGAGTGTCCGCGGGCTGGGGGAGCAGCAGGGGGCTTGGAGCTGGCAGTTGCACCCACATCTCCCCCTCCCACGTTCGCTCCTGGGTTTTGGGATCCCCATCAGGGAAGTCAGCAAAGGAGAAATTCTGATTTGAGTGCTCGGGAGTGAGGCCTCAGCGCGGCCTGTCGGCTTTTTCTCAGCCCCCAGGTGAGGCCCATGTGCGCAAGGGTTTAATGCATTAACTGTCTGGGGCACCTGCCTCTTAACTAGGCTCCAAGATGGAAGCAATGATGGTCTTGTGGAAGGATCTCTAGGTAGCTGGGGTGCAAGGAGCAGCATGCAGACGCAGGGTCCCTTCCTCCCTGGGCACGAGGCCACCTGCCCACACTGTGCCTCCCTTTCCAACTCCCAAATGTAGCTTCAGGCTCCCCTGACAACGGTGCTAGAGCACTTTGAAACTGTACAGAGGCACACACCTGAGGCATTATTTAGACCTAAGAAGAGGTGTCCATTACTTAAAATGAAGACGAAGTGACTCAACAAAGGCAGGCAATGGTCTAAAGAGAGAAAATCAGCTCAAAGGCACACAGCAACATAGTTCAGGCTGCACGTTCACATCCGAGCTGATCGCCTGCCTTAGGATGTCTACTTCGACAGAGCTGGCTGTGTGATCTTTCCAGCGTCCCCAGAAACTGCAGGGTCCTCATCTCTCAGAGCCTGCAGCCTTCATGCATGTGAGCCGGGTCTCCACGGGGCTCCACGGGGCTCCACGGGGCTCCACGGGGCTTGGTGTGCAGGCGGACAGGCATGAGGGCAGGAATCCCAGTCACCAAAGTGTCTCCTGCACCCTGCTTCACAGAGTGGCCCAGGCCGGGAAGAAGCCAGGCTGCACCCACAGTCATGGGGCCTGTGGCAGCTTGGGGGTGGCCCCGTGCCCGCTGCACAGCACTACTGAGAAACGCTGCACAGTGGGCACCCAGCGTAGCTGGCTCCACATGCCAGCCATGGTCCCCCGAGGCCCTGTGTGTCTTGGCAGCTGCCTCCCAGCGGGCCTGCCCTCAGCGCTGGTGCCATGAGGATGTGGCTGCAGGAGTCCAGAGAGCCCTGCAGCCACCCCAAAGCTCCTGGGCTTTGGCACGGAGAGGACAGCATTGCCTCAATCCACCTGCAGCCAGGCCACAATCAGGGTGCTGTGCAGAGTGTGGCTGGATTTCCTGGGCTATCCAGAGCCTGAGCCCTCCAGGAAGCTGGAGACTCACATCCCCAGGGCCCGGGGATGGGGAGGACCATGGAGTTAGGGAAAGGGGGCTAAGGTGCAGAATCCCTCCCAAATTCAAAAGGCCCTGGATGCAATCACAAGAGAACTGGAGTGCAGAAGTTCCACCGGCCAAAACAGGGAAAATCCAGAAAGAAGTGGAGACTGGATGGCTGGATGGAAAGAGATTGCGTGGAATTACTATAAGGAAGAAAAATCAAAGGGGAGAAGGACATGAAAGATTAGAGGCCAACCCCAGAGACTAGAAACAGAGGCAGCACCTGGAGATGCCAGGCAGGCGGGCTCCATAACTGCAGAGCCCAGCGGGTACAAATCTGGGAAAGGAAAGAGGGGATGAGGGGGGCGCAGAAACTGCTGACGGGACCAGGGGAGGATGAACGAAGGAGGCTGCCTGGCTTCCGGGCCTCCCGACCTGGGACTGCGGGGATTTCCCAAACCGGCCAAGCCCGAGCCGAAGGCAGAGTGAGGAGGCCATCTAGCGGCAGGGGCCGGAAGGAGGGGCAGGGGCAGTGCCCAGGAGGGAGCCTGGGGGCTGGGGCAGAAGAGGAGGCAGCTTCTGTCCTCAGCAGGGATGCTGGGCAAGGGGTGGAGGTGGGGGAGGGTGGGGGAGGGAAAGCTGGAGGAAGGAGCGAGGGAGGGATGCGCGTGACCCCAAGGAAGAGAGGCAGAGCCCAGGTAGATGAATAACGGAGCCCCAGCATGTCCGGATGTCTGGCCTTGTCAGGGAGGCTGGTGTTTGGAGCCTCTGCTGGTGCGGGGAGGGGGCCAAATGGTCTGGGGGGGGGGGGGAAGGCAAAGAGATAGAGCCACCTGGCCTCTGGAGGGGAAGGCAGTGCTGGGCCGTGGGGAGCAGGTGGGATGGAAGGACAGGGAGTGAAGGGCGGGAGGGCAGAGCAGCAGCTTCTCTGGGGGGCTCAGTCAGCAGCCTGGTCTATAACTGGGATTGCTTTCTGCGCCGAGCTCCCCTCAACCCATGCAGGGGGCAGGCCCTCTGAACTTAGGCGTGGGGGCAGGCTTTCTGGCCCATCATTATTTCACTCTGGAGGATCGGCCAGTCTACAAGGGGGGCGGCCCCTGAGGTGCTCTCCAGGGTGTCTAGGGCTGTCTGGAGATGGAGGGGAGGGAGGGGGCCTCACGCCATCCCTTAGGGCAGGGAGGTTTCAGGAAATGCCCTGAGTCACCCAAGCTCAATGCCAAGCCACGTCTTCTCCCTGCGCTCTGCTAAGAGGGAGCTGACCGCACCTGGGGGCACCCCACGTCCAGCTGTGCCCACAAGGAACTCTGTGCAGCTCAGGCTTTTGCTTCCAAAAGCACACCCCACCCACCCTGCCCCTTGCAGAGGTGAGCTGTGTGCACATGCCACCTCCCGGCAGGGCTGCACACCCAATCTCTCAGGCCCCAGGGTGGCAACCCGTGTGGGGGGCCTTCTGCCTGCATTTGGAAGGGAGTAAGTAGCGGGGAAAGACAGGGGGAGGAGGAGGGACTGGGGCAAGAGGAGATGCCAAGGGTGGAAGGCAGGGCAGTCAAAAGTTTGCAAATGTCCCACTGGGCCAGGTCGCTGGTCCAGCCCAGGCACCACCCAGTGATGTGACATCCACATGCTGTGCAGGTAGACACATCAAACAGGCCGGCCTCCTCTGGAGAGAACACGGGTCCTGTTTTGTGTCTGTTTTTACTGGGAACGGGACAGGCAGCGCAGACACACCGCCTGGAGAATCCCTGGGCTCAGCTGAGCTCCAGCTCCGCTCAGTGGAGGCTGCCGGGGCCTGGTCAAGTGGACGCTGCTCCCCCACGGTGCTCTCCTCCAGGGATCACGATTCGTCACAAACCATGGAAAGGAACAAGAAAGAGAGGCGGGAAGGGGAGCCCGGGTCAACCTCCCCAAAGGCACCCAGGCCACCGAGTCTTGTTAACGCTCAGCCTCTCATGCCCAAGACAGATGTGTCCTAAGATGCTCCTCTCCTTCTCTCCCCCACCACACACACAAAAAGTTGATCTGCAAAGGGAACTTCTGGAAACTTCCATCGTTTGAGGGCTGAGCTTCACAGGGGTCCTCTCCCCCTCCACTCCAAGGGCCCGGGGTCAAGGGAGAGTGTTTAACTTCACAGGGCCACATTTGCAGCATCTGATGACTCCTCAGGGTCAGGATTTCCCCTCCACGTAAATAACCCTCACTCTCTAATCCTATGCTAGAGGAATCATTGCACATGAGTGGGATGGCGATTGAGAAGGGGAAGGGCATGATCTGTTTTTTTTTTTTTAAAAAAAAAAAGAAAAGCAGGGTTGAGAGGGAGCTTCAAATTTTATTTTCCTGGTTTACTTAGGACTTTTGAGTTTTTTTCCTTTTTCTGCAAAAAGTGAGGTGATTATAGACTCAAAGATTGCCACCTCCTGGGCACTGTGCCCTCTTTCTAGGAAGCCCCTCGTTAACCAGAACACTGTTCCCCCAGGGCCCCTGACCCCTTGGGCTGCAGCCCCTAGGACTGGTGGCTCCTGTGCCTGAAGACTGCTGGCCTGCTGAGCCCCCACACAAGGCCAGCTTTGCAAGGAGCCTGAATTCCACATTCAGCTCACCCCTGGCTCTGCACTTTGCTCTGATCGATCGTGGGGGTTGTGTGAGCACAGCTTCGCCCACTCGCCTGCCCCCCCCCCAACACCCTGCAATGGCCTCCACACACCCAGCGCACACACTGGCCCCCACTCTCTCCCCTGTGCTGGGGTGCAGCCCCCAGACCTGCTTTGCCCATCCACCCTGACGCCCGCAGTTCACTCTGTAACTGCCCTTGAGCACGCCTCCATCCCATTTGCAGAGCTCTACAAAAAAAAAAATGTATTAATTGAAGCACAATAAAAGAGCAGTATTTTTACATTTTTCTAAGGCACTTAAAGCATTTCAAATACCAGTGCTTTAAGTTATGGTCACTCATAATTATCCTCGGTCCACAGAGGCTGAGTCTTCAGGAGGGGCTCAGTCCTCTTTCTTCAAAATGCAGGGAGAGCCAGCCTGCACTATAAAGTCCCTGGGGAAGAAAAATTAAATAACAGCTGGGCAGCTGTGCCCCTCAAATGTGTGAGCGACTCTGTGCTTGATGACTGAAGCTTGCGGGGGTTTAAACTGTCCTTTAAAAACTTAAGTTGGTTTTAACTGAAGCACCTACCATTCCAGGGAAAGTCAGGGGGAAACGCAAGGATGTACACAAAGCCGGGAGTAACTGCTGTTACCACAAGACATGCGCTCCTCCCTCCCGCCCACCTTTATCTTAGGAAAGATTTTTTTTTTTTTAACTCGAATCCTTCAGGTGAAAATAAAGCAACAGCAGCAACAGAAAAAAAAAACGTAGTCTTCTTCAGGGTTAACATCAGAAGACAAGCTTGTGCGGCTTTGGCCAATCAGATGCGCCCCTGGCAGCTATAATATAGTGCTAAAGGCAGCCTCTCTCACAAGCTCTCCAGGCTTGCTACCATTTAAAATCAGACTCTTTTTGTCTTTTGATTGCTGTCTCGCGACCCAACTCCGATGTGTTCCGTTATCAGCGGCCGGCAGCCTGCCATTCCAGCCCCTGTCTGGGTGGGGAGCGGTGGAGAGTCCCCCGCAGCCGCGGCGGGCAAGGTTATATAGGAAGAGAAAGAGCGAGGCAGCCAGCGAGGGAGAGAGCGAGCGGGCGAGCCGGAGCGAGGAAGGGAAAGCGCAAGAGAGAGCGCACACGCACACACCCGCCGCGCGCACTCGCGCACGGACCCGCACGGGGACAGCTCGGAAGTCATCAGTTCCATGGGCGAGATGCTGCTGCTGGCGAGATGTCTGCTGCTAGTCCTCGTCTCCTCGCTGCTGGTATGCTCGGGACTGGCGTGCGGACCGGGCAGGGGGTTCGGGAAGAGGAGGCACCCCAAAAAGCTGACCCCTTTAGCCTACAAGCAGTTTATCCCCAATGTGGCCGAGAAGACCCTAGGCGCCAGCGGAAGGTATGAAGGGAAGATCTCCAGAAACTCCGAGCGATTTAAGGAACTCACCCCCAATTACAACCCCGACATCATATTTAAGGATGAAGAAAACACCGGAGCGGACAGGCTGATGACTCAGGTAGGAACCCAGCGCCGGGGCGTGGAATGTGTGGCTTTCCAGGGGGTTACGAGAAGCCGAACACTTCCAGACTTAACTCTGTTTGCTCTTCGGGCAGATAGGAAGGTGATTTCACCCGCTCCTTCCCCACCCACCTGCCCGCCCCCCATCTCTTCCTCTTCCTGGAGGAGAATGGAGGTCAAGGGTCCAGCTGGAGAAGTTTAGGGTGTGGTGGGGGTGAGGACGGTAACAGACGTGGTTCATTATGGCCCTGATTTGATGAGTCTTGCTACAATGGCCTTCCCCATCCTACCTCTGCCCTGGCTTGTAACTTGGGGAGACCTTCACTTTGGGGGCGTCGGCCCTTTCCAAGTCAGGAGTGGAAATGGAAGGAGAGGCTGGGAATCCCCCTCCCACAAACATGAAGTGGTCTCCTGGTACTGTACGAACGAACGAACGTAGCCTTGGGCATTGGAGCTCAGAGCCCCCACGTTTCCCGTTGCCTCTGTGGTTTTCTTTCCCACCACTACCCCCACCCTGCACCTCCCCACCAAAGAATTCTCAACTGGAAAAGCCAGGAGGCGGTTCTGACAAAAGGCAGGGGCTCCAGGGGAGACTCCGCCCGTCCCTGGGTGGCTGGCTGTATCGCAGAGCTGGCTTTGCGATTGCGTGTCCGCAATTGTGCCCATCAGAGTGTGAATGTATTGATATTTCTTTAAGGATGCTCTTTCGTTCTTCCAAGCCCGAGGTACCTTAGGGGAGGGACTTAGAACTTATTGGCATTGCATCACTTTAGTTTTCAACCTGCTTGCATAAGAATTAAGAGCGAATAAATATTAGTGTGGGGGGAGGGGAAGCTAAGCAAAATATGAATTCCTCTCTCTCTCCCCACCTCCTTTGAGATTTCTGAGCTGCCAATCTCCCAGCCAATTCTAGACTTTCTGAAACTCCATGCACGTATAACTGAAGCCAGAAATGGGTTTCCTTGCAAATATAGGTCAACATCCTTTTTATTGCCCTATTAAAATATTCAAGTCCTACCTTTAGGGCTAGGTGCGTACAGCGGCTGATGGAGTGGCGCTGGTGGGGCGCAAGTGCAGGGGGAGGGTACTGACGGCAGAGAGAGAGGAGCTACCTCCGTGCCGCCCTGCTTCCCGACCCGATTCCCAGGCTTGCTTGAGGCCGAGAAAGGCGAGGGGCAGGCAAGGTAGCCTGCTCCAGCTGTCGGAAGGGAGAGGAATGGGAAATGGTCCTGATTTCCTTGCTCTCCCTCATCTGCTCCCGACCACCTTAAATCTGGACCGCGAGTGTGGACGCGCGCGCCAGTGCCAGACAGCAGCGCGATCCACAATTAACTCTGCACGGGCCATGGGGTGCCCGTTGCGTGCAGCTGGCTGGAGGGAGTTCTCCGGCTAGCCCGAGGCGCCCATCCTCTCGTCACCCTCACTCCCCGCGGAGGAGGGGCCTTGCCAGGGTCCCTCGGAACCCGAGAGGAGGGAGGCACTGCGGAGAGAGCGGCGGGGGCGTGGATACCCGAGGTCCCAGAGCCAGAGTGGGTCAGCTTCTGCCCTGCTCTGCGGGAGGCCAATACCGCAGAAGGGGTCCTGGGCTCGCACACCTTCCCAGGGCTTGGGCCTTGCAGCCCTGCTGCAAAGCTGCAAGCGCACAGAGCCGCGCAGCGAGGCAGACGCCTGCAGCCCCACTTACTCCCGGGTTATCGATCCCCCGCGGCTAGGGTTTCAGTGCGCGAGGGGCTGGGCTGGAGCCGCCGGGCTCTGCTGCTCCACGCGCGGGAGCGCAGGCACCGCAGGAGCTAACAGCAGCGCCGGGCTCGCTGTAGTGTCCCCGGCGGCGGGGGCGCGGAGATGGGGGCGCCCGCGCAGGGGCCGGGGCGCATCGCGGGCTCCGCCGGCCTGCCCTGGGACGCGCCCCCATCCCCAGTCCGCCGCCTGCCTGGCCTCTAGGCCTCCGCGTCCCAGCCGGAGCCCCCAGCCCGGGGGCCTCCCCCCGACCCCCGTCCGCCCTGCCGGGGGACGCAGGGCCCAGCGGCCCCGCGCCCGGCCACTCTCGCCGCCGCGCGCACAGGCAGCATTTGAACTTCTGACCTTCTGTCAACTTCCCTCAGACGAACGAAACGAAAACAAATACTTTTTTCCTTGGGCAGTGGCTATTCCCGTTCCCAACACAAAAGGAGGGGGAAGGACGGCCCAAGTGGGGGTTGGGTGAGGAGAGCCAGGCCGGGATTATCAGGCAGACCCCACAAAGGTCCCCTAAAACCGAGGGGGGTAGGGGCTGGCAGTCTGTGAGGTATCCCCGGTTGATCCCTCCCCTACCTTCCTTCTCCCGATTCCAGGAGTTAAGGGTGGGGGAGGAAGGGATGGGGAAGGCGGAGGCTCGGGTGCTGAGGGCAGGGGCGGGGTGCAGGAGGCGGCAGGGGAGCCCCAGGCCGGCGGGAGGTTTGGGGAGCCTGCTCGGCCGCCCTCATTTTAAATAACCACCTAGGCTCTGCCCCAGGTGCGTGACCCTCTTCTTCTGTCTCCCTCCCTGTCTCTGGGTCTCTAATGTGACTGCCGCCCAAGTCCCTCAACCATGGCGAGATCGTCCCCAGTGGAACTTTCGGAGCAGTTCCGGAACGCAGGAGCTGCCGGTTAATATTAACCCGGGAGAGGAAAGCGCAGACAGACACGCTCTCCCCGCGCGGGCCTAGGTGCCAGGCGAGGGTGCTGGCGGCCAGGGGGCTCCTAAGGGGCAGGAGGCCAGAGGGCCGGATCTGAAGCCTGGAGTGGGGTCCCGAGCCGCTACACTAAATAGATTTAATGTGCGCTCTGGGGCCGCCAGGAAAGACGCTCAGGTATGGGGTTGGGGAGGGGCTGTTCCACCAAGCTTGGGGGAAAGGACAGTGGAGAGAGGTGCGTTTAGGGGCTGGGGCTGTCTTGAAGCTGGGACGCCCCCGCCCCCGCGCTGGGGGAAGCCCACCGGCTGCTGGCGGTGACACTCGCCGGCGCGGCTCGCAGATCAGGGAGGTAGGCGGGAGCTCAGGCGTGGGGAACAACTTGGCCTCCGCCGACACAAAGCCCGGCCCCGGCGGCCCTGCTGGGCTTCACGGTGGCTGCACAGAGTCGGGCTTGATTCGCGGCACACGACCCAATGAATTAATAACCGGCCTGGGCTTCCCGGCTTTGCCTGCGACAATCCCGCCCAGCGCGGGCGGAGGAGAGGCCGCCAGCCGAGGCCGCGCGGAGCCCGGGCCGGAGGAGGGCGCAAGGGGCGGGGGCGCCAACTCCAGCAACCCTCGGCCTCCGCCCCTCACTCGCGCAGCCACCTCCCGTCGCGGCCCGGCTGGACCCGGGTCTCCCTGCCCGGGGTCCTCCATGCCTGCCCAAGTGGCGCAGCTCACAGAGCTGGGGGCCAGGTCATCCTCACCCTGCCGCCCTCTCCCTGGCTGCCCTCCTGGGAAGCTGTTTAAAGCTTCTTCGGCACAGCCCCAGGGGAGGGAGCTGCGGTGGGGTGGGGGGCTTGCATGGGGGTCCCTGTGCGTGTTGGTGGTGTGCGCCTGCGCGCAACGGGCCTCACATCATAGCTCTACACTGACCCTGGTTTACTGATTGATTTTCATGTAAAACGCGTTCAATCCTCAAGATGACCTCACTCAAACTCTGCCCTTCCGACTTTTTTTTTTAACTGCTGGCAGGCCCACAAACATGCAGGCACTGACCTGTTACCAGGGCGGCCCCCAGCCCTACCCCACCCCCAGTTGTTGCATGTTGAACTCTACAACCATATTACTGGGTTTTATTGCTGCCAGATACACAGGACTTTTCCTGTTGCGCAATTTGTCACGTCCCCTTAAAGCGCCGCAGCAGTGGGGCCAGCGTCCTCGCCCCACCCTCTCGAAAGAGTCCCCCCAACCCACGCTACAGTTAGGGCCCTGGATAGAAGCTGTCCCTCCATGGCGACAACCAGACTCCAAGCAGAGCATCCTTCCAGACTGGAGGAGGTTAGAGGTCAGCCCCGCCCTCTGCAGAAGTCACCTTGAAATTGCCCCTCGGCCTCCACTTGGCGCAGCTTCTTGGGGGATGCCACCATCGTCATCTGTGCCAGTTCCCCCTCTTTAAATCCCATGTCCCACCAGCAGCAGCAGGGTAAACATCCAGGAAGCAAGTCAGTGCCCCCACAAACACACACAGTGGATTCAACTGCTTTCTGTCGCATCCTTATCTGAGGGTGACCCCAGAATTCCAGGGGAACCCCCACAATCTGAATCCCAGGTAACCCCGTCTGCATCTGCCTAGTCAGTGTTTCCTGCCTCCTCCCAGGCAACTTCCTGGGAAACTCCCCAGGCGGAGGACTCCGAGACCTCAGGCCTTCCTGTCTCCCCTCCCCCTCCTCTCAAACCCCTCCCCCTCCCTCCACCTCTTCAGTTTGCTCTTCAAACTTGCTGGACGCCATTCTATGCTGGGGCCAAGAACACAAGAGCGGAGGAAGGGAACAGGTTAAAGAAAACAAGAAACACAATCAGACCACAGAAAAGCCAGGCAGAAAAGGGTTCGACGGGCAAAAAGAATGTGGCTGTCCAGATAAAGAATGTCTGTCCCGGCCCCGGCCTGTGCTGCAAGTGGCAACTCACCTAGCCGCCTGCCACCCAGGCTCCCGCCCACCGCGCAGCCCCGCCAGCGGCTTCTCGCCTCCCCTCTGCCTCGGATAGGGTTAGGGCCTGAGGTAAATAAATGCAAGGCCTTCAATTCTCCAAGCAGTGCGCAGTGCATTTTTCTTTATTTCTGGGAACTTGCGCCCAGGTCTCTGTCAGGCCTGCTGTGAGGGATTCTACGCGGGGAGAAGGTGGAGGCTGCGCAGGTGGAGAAAGGGGCCCCAGAAGGGGGGCTAGAAGTGGAGGGCAACGTGGGGGCGGGGCGGGTATCCCAGAGGGTGCCCCTGGAGGGTCCTGTAGTTGATGTCTTAAACATGCAGGTCACTTGTTTCAGAGAAACTTTATTTGCTTCTTAGGCCTCGCTAGGAGCATCGGCTGTTTCAGGACCTGGAGAAAGGCCCCCAGCTCTACCCTGAGAGGACGTGCTCCTCCACGCTCCTCCGCAAATGCTGTCCCTCTTCCCCAGCCCAGGGCCCGGCTCTTCGGTGTGTCTGGGCCATTCCAACCCCCGTCTCCCCACCTCTCCGCATGGCCCTCGCGCCTTGAGACTGGGCAGGGCAGGCTGATGGAGGGGCCGGGAGGGGTGGCGGTTGCCCAGGCTAACGTGTCCGTCGGTGGGGGTCCCCTTGTCTTCGCAGAGGTGTAAGGACAAGTTGAACGCTTTGGCCATCTCGGTGATGAACCAGTGGCCAGGAGTGAAACTGCGGGTGACCGAGGGCTGGGACGAAGATGGCCACCACTCAGAGGAGTCTCTGCACTACGAGGGCCGCGCAGTGGACATCACCACGTCTGACCGCGACCGCAGCAAGTACGGCATGCTGGCCCGCCTGGCGGTGGAGGCCGGCTTCGACTGGGTGTACTACGAGTCCAAGGCACATATCCACTGCTCGGTGAAAGCAGGTAAGCTGGCCCTGGCCCCCCGGATCCGACCCAAGGAAGGCCATTGGCGCACCTCGGCTTGATTCAAGAGAAAAAGAAACCTGGGGGGAGGCTGAGGGCCAGGAGCAGGGTCGCTGGGCGATGACTGCGTTTCCGCGGTGGAACCTGCCCTGTGAGGTGCCGGCCCCTCGAAATCACCCCTACCTTTGAGGCCACAGAGCCCAAGGTTCTCCATGCCCCGAGATGGGGTCCTGTGGCTTCCTGCCCGCTTCTGGAGCCCCCACTGCAGGGGGTGGGAAAGCGTGACTGGGGGAGGGGCGCTAGGCCCTTCCAGGCGAGGGAAGACAGCCCTGCGCGGTTAGCCAGGTCTGGGCGAGCTCCTTCCTCTCGTTTAGGGCTTAAGAACCAACCGCCCCCACCCGCTATCCCAAGCGCAGGGGTGTCTATCCTGCCCCGGAGCCCGCGTCCTGGCTCCTCCCCGCCGGGCGCCCGTGGATCCTAAGCTGCCTTTGGGGAGAGGCCTGGTGGGCGGCAGTAAACCCAGGGGCAACCACCTCCAGCATCTGGAGGCGGCGCGCCCGGAGCCTGCGTTCCTACTGGGAGCCGGGCCGGGACGCCCTGGGCGGCGGGCAGGCCCCGAAACGCCGGCCCGAGTCGGCGCGAGGCTGTCTTCTCTGGGCCTGCAACGCCACACGCTGTTGCCGGCGAGGAACAGCCGTGGAGGAGGCGCCATCGCGCGCACGCAAACCTCCGGCCCGAGGCTGTGTGCACAGCGCTCTTCTCCGCCCGCATAAATTGGCACGTTTAGCAAAGCCGTTCACGGTGAATTTCGGGGAAACTCTGCCTTCCTCAACCCCCTTCCAGGCTTCCCTACTTGTCTCCTAAATTCCATGTTAATGGCACTATGTTAGTAGGAAAACACTGTTAAGGTGTCAAGGCACACTTGTAGGTAAAGGCTAGAGTGGCTTCTCGTCCCCACAGAAAGCAAAGGCGTGGAGCGGGGGCGGCAGGGGCGGGTGTGCGGCCCGGAGAGCTCCCGGCTGCAGGCAGGCAGGAGGCGGCGCCCCCACCTCGCGGGCTCGGCGGCGGCCCCTGGGCCCAGGGCGCCCCCTGCGCAAAACCTCCTCCCCGGCTCCCTGCCCGCGGGGTCCCCCTAGCGGGGGTCTCCGGAGGCCTCCTCCCAAGTGAGCAGCGCTAATCCATCCCCCGGATCGCGCCGGGAGAGCGGAGCCGCGGCGCGGGAGCCGCTCATTGGCATTCTGAGCACACGGGCGGGGGCGCGGGGCGCAGCGTGTCAAGCCGGGCCGTGCGACTCGACGACTCGGGCTCGCCAGCGCCCGGGGTCGCATTCCGGGGGGCTACGGAGGGCCTCCAACGGCCAGCCCCGCACTTCATGCCAGAGAAACCGATGAGAAGATTAAAAGCCCCCTGTAATTCCAGCAGGAAGATTCTTTCTGGCAATCTCTATTTGCAAAAAGCATGATCCCGGAGATTGGAATGCAAAGAAGACGGCCCTCCCCGCCCTCCTCCCCGGCCCCCTGCGCTCCGCCCCAACTTCAATTATTGTCCTGGGGACAGTGAGCCTCAGAGAGCGACAGAGGGCTCGAGAAAGCGGGTAGTCAAGGGGCCTTGAGACCCGGCGCTTCCAGCGCTCCGAACAGGCCCCGCCATTTAAAATTCAAATACACATCTTGAGTGCTTGGAAGAGAGGCCTGGCTGTGCAAATAGTGCTTGTGAATTGCACACGGGGTGGGGGGGGGTTGCACCTGAGCAAATAGGGAGGGGGAGGCCCGCGAGCTGGGGAGAGAGTGAGCTGAGAACAGGGAGGGGAGAAAATGGAAGTGTCCCCTTCCAAGAGTGTCTCCTGTTTATCCCAGAAATCACAATGACAATGCTGGGCCCTTTATTGGATTTTAATTAGAAAATCCACACAAGCCTCGGATTTTCACACCTCGGCCAATCTCTGGAATGTTTGTCCAGTTGCTACAACTACTGCAGCTATTTTTCACTCCCCGCCCCCGCCCCTCCGCAGGCCCACGCCGAGGCGCGGCAGGGTGCTGCGGGCAGGCGGGCAGGCGGGCAGGCGGGCCAGGGGTTTCCGCCGCGCAGCCCGGGTGCTGAGTGCGCGAGCAGGCGCCGCGCCCCGCGCCGGGGCGGGAGGGAAGGAGGGTGCGCCCGGCGCCCGCGGGAGCTCAAGGAGGCTTCCTGAGGAATCCAAGTGCAGAGCAAACACCCTCTGGATGGATTCGCGGCGAGGCCGGGTGTGTGCGGAGCTGGGGGTGGGGTTGGAGGAAGGCGGAAGGAAAGAGTGTCACCGGCCTCTGCAGGAAACGCCAGCCAACCTCTGTGACCGCCAGCCCAGACTTAGAGAGTCGTTAAGGAATGTGTCGGAATCCTGTCCCTGGGGCAGTGGGGTTGGGGGAGGGAGGTGTGTGCGGGACCCGCCTGGAATCAATCGCCCCGCCCCGCGCCTTGCGCACCCCTGGCCTAGGAGCGCGGGCACCAAGCGTGCGCCCTCCTCCCCGAGACGCGCCTCCCTCTCGGAACTCAATGCCCTGTCCTCTCTTCTTTCCCTTCTCCTCACCCGCAGAGAACTCGGTGGCGGCCAAATCGGGAGGCTGCTTCCCGGGCTCGGCCACGGTGCACCTGGAGCAGGGCGGCACCAAGCTGGTGAAGGACCTGAGCCCCGGGGACCGCGTGCTGGCGGCGGACGACCAGGGCCGGCTGCTCTACAGCGACTTCCTCACTTTCCTGGACCGCGACGACGGCGCCAAGAAGGTCTTCTACGTGATCGAGACGCGGGAGCCGCGCGAGCGCCTGCTGCTCACCGCCGCGCACCTGCTCTTTGTGGCGCCGCACAACGACTCGGCCACCGGGGAGCCCGAGGCGTCCTCGGGCTCGGGGCCGCCTTCCGGGGGCGCACTGGGGCCTCGGGCGCTGTTCGCCAGCCGCGTGCGCCCGGGCCAGCGCGTGTACGTGGTGGCCGAGCGTGACGGGGACCGCCGGCTCCTGCCCGCCGCTGTGCACAGCGTGACCCTAAGCGAGGAGGCCGCGGGCGCCTACGCGCCGCTCACGGCCCAGGGCACCATTCTCATCAACCGGGTGCTGGCCTCGTGCTACGCGGTCATCGAGGAGCACAGCTGGGCGCACCGGGCCTTCGCGCCCTTCCGCCTGGCGCACGCGCTCCTGGCTGCACTGGCGCCCGCGCGCACGGACCGCGGCGGGGACAGCGGCGGCGGGGACCGCGGGGGCGGCGGCGGCAGAGTAGCCCTAACCGCTCCAGGTGCTGCCGACGCTCCGGGTGCGGGGGCCACCGCGGGCATCCACTGGTACTCGCAGCTGCTCTACCAAATAGGCACCTGGCTCCTGGACAGCGAGGCCCTGCACCCGCTGGGCATGGCGGTCAAGTCCAGCTGAAGCCGGGGGGCCGGGGGAGGGGCGCGGGAGGGGGCGGGGCGGGGCAGCAACAGCAACGCAAAGCAAAAAGACACTCGGAAAAGGCGCACGAACCAGACTGAGTTATAATAAGAATAAGAATAATAAAGTAGGACAGTCCAAAGTAGACTCTAAGGAAACAAGGACCCCGGGAAGTTTTGTTGTTGTGCTTAGTTGATATATATTTTTTGAATTTTTTTGGTTATTGTTTTATTTTGGTTATTTTTTCCTCCTCTCCTGGCTATTTATTTGTTTGGTATGAATAGATGTTTTAAATAATATGAACCGGACCTTCAAGAGCCTTAAATAGTTTGTTTCTTGGATAATTTATTATGATCATGTGAACTGTACTCACGGGGGAAAGATTATTTTGTGAGGCCAAGCAACCTGCTCAGAGTCTATTTTTCTACATGTCCCTCGTCCCGGCTGTCAGAAAGCAAACCTCTGTCCCCGCCATCCCTCCCTTCCATCTCCTGCTTCTCAGCAAGTGCAAACTCAAACGTGCTTCATGGGGGTCCACAAATTATATTTTTATACACAGAATTGTAAATTAGATTTTTTGAGAGATCAATACTTAACTGAATTACATTTCATTTTTGAAATAGTGTAAAATATGAAAATATATTATTTTAATTTAACTAGTTTCCGATGTAACAGCCATCTCCTCTGTTGTCTTTATGGTTTCATATTCCCTTTGTATTCACCATTTTGCCACATTCTTGGAAGCCAAGACTGTTACACACACAACATACACACACACTTTTCTTTTTCTTTTCTTTTCTTTTTTTTTTTTTTTTTTTTTTTTGGACAAACTGGAAGAACTGTTATTTTTAACTTCAAAGAATTTATTAGAAAATAATATTTTTTAAAAGCGCACATAGTGACGAGCCCACGAGGATGGAGCCTGCAGTTTGTACAGAGAAAACAAAGGATGTTTTTGCATTAATAAATTGAGAAATAACGCTGTAAATTTACTAAAATGTATTTTTGAATATTTTGTAATAGTTTTATAGAAATAAAATGTGCCATGCACAGAACGCTTAGTATCTAATAACTAAGAATTCCTGTTGCAGCCCTTTTTCTTTTAGTTTTTGGCTTCTTTGTTTGGGAAACCTAGCGCTGACAGGAGCTCCCAATATTCTATTTAGATGTGTTGCTTATACTGTGAACTCAGACTGACTGACTTAGGTAACCAAAGTAGGCACACAAACCAACTTGTTTCTTCTCATGGCTGGAGAAACCTCAGCTCTGTTTGTATTTATTGTGTGAAGCTCTTTCTACACTCCCAAAGGTTGGGAGTGCCATTCGTGGGGACTGTGCTGTCCCCCTCACCCCACCCCTTAACTAGCAAAGCCTGATGTGTAAGCCCAGAGGAGGTGGCCTGGGGATGGCCACCAACAACCTTCTCTTAGGACTCCTGTGTGTGGTTGCTGGGCAGACCCCTGGCCTGACCCTGTTTGTGCTTCTCTGATCTGTAGGGAGGAGGCTCATTGCTGCTTTCTGAGGTCCTGTTGTGTCCCTTCCAGAAAGCATCCTTAGAAGAGAGGACCCGGTTTGATCTTCTCTGAAGCTCCTATCCTCTTTTCTTGAGGGTCCCCTTAAATCTGAGTGGCAAGCCCACAGTGGCGAGGGCCAGTCGCTGGAATGTCGGGGCTGCTGTTGAGGTCCTCAGGCTACACTGGTTGTCTGTGTCACATGGCGGTCGGGCGTGGACTTTGATCCCTGTTGAGAGAGCATGCTGCTGTGGGCGCTGGGCTGGGGAAGGTCCTTCCATGCTTCATGCTGCCTTGGAGGTTTGGCCAAGAGGGTCTCTGCCCTTGGCGGTTGTCAGGGTCCCAGGTGGAGGACTACTCCCAGTTCTTTGGCTTACGGAAGGTGTCTGCCATGCTTTGTGCTTTGGGCCGAATCGTCTGAGCAGGCTGGGCCTTGGAAGAGTTGCGCTGCATGAGCTTGGGGCCTCCCAGCAGCTGCAGCCTGTGTAGAAGGTGGTCCAGGCTTAGGGAACAGGAGTGAACAGACTTCAGCCCCACCTGGCAGGGGCTGGCTCCCGAGGTTGGGCCCAGTCCCTGAGGGTCTGCTCTGCTACGGGTCTGCCCTTGAGTGGCCTTCCGTGGAGGGTGTGTGACCAGGTGGATGGCGCAGGGCCTCTGGAGCCCTCTCCTCAGGAGCAGTCCTCAGCCTTTTTCTGTAAAAGACTTTTCTTTGGTGTTCTAGGTGGTCAGCAGGTTCCAGGCTGGTGTTTACAATCTCGGAGGAAGTGCGATGGTTTCTGTTCTTTTGACAGTTCAGTCTGATTTCAAGTCAGTCGAAAGCGAACCAGAAGCACCGGGCACAGCAGCTCCTCTGGCTGTGTAGACAGACCTGGCAATGTGGCCGTGCAGCCCAGACGATCAGAGAGAAGCCAGGCGTTGACCAAGCCCCAAGGTGCCTGAGGCCATGGTGCAACTCTGCTGGTGACTGGGGCACCTTGGAGCAGAGCTTCACCCGGATGGGAAATCCTCACTCCTGGGTGGCACTCCCTCCTGGACAGGCCCGGTGGCAGAGTGTCCGTGCTGCTGGGTGCTGTCCCCAGCCCTCCTGGTCCATCTTCTTAAGATGCGTCCACTGCTTTATATTTAAAATTCTCTTTTTCACAGGCAAGGAAAGGAAACCACTGCTTAGAGACACTAGGTACAGGGCATCAAGAGGGTGCAGCCCAGCCCCGCCAGGACGAGGCGCCGACTTCTCATTCAGGGTTGACGGAGCCAAGAGTTTGTGCAAAATGTATGCATGGTGGTTGCTGCCAGCCTCCCTCATGACTAAATGCATATCTATTCCTGTCAAAACGTGTATCACAATGTACTTGAAACTGTTATCTTTGTGCTCTATTGTTTGAATAATTAAAGAAATTACAGAGACTCTCTTCAGTGTCTGTTATGTGGCAGAACCCCGCTCCCGAACTGTCATCTGTGTTTCTCATCGTCTTCCACGAGGTAGTGCTGGGACTGTGAGGGAAATTCTCATTGAGAGTGCAGACTCCATTCTCTCAATGGGTGGGTTTGGTCAGGCTTTGGGAATTTTTACTGGCGCAAGGAGGCAGGCACGTGACTCCCCTGTCTGAGGGAGTTGACAGAGCTGTCAGCATCGCACCCACGTGGGAAATATGGGGCAGACATGCAGGGAATACCGGTCAGTTACAAGATTTGGCAAGAAAGCAGCAGAGTGCCTGCCAGGGAGGCGGGCGGGCCTGCAGGGAACCAGCTCTTCCTCGGCGCACGCGCTCCGTCCTTCCGGATGGTGATCCACTCTAGGAGGCTGAGAAGCCCAGGAAGCGACTTCCGTATGACTTCTTACAAACGAGTCACAAAACCCTTCGTGAGCCCTGCCGTTTCCGGGCACTCCCTGGGATTTATGTTCCAGGACAGAGCTGGGCAAATTTTGGCCTCTGGGACAAATCTGGTCCGAGGGCTGTTTTCACACAGTCCCTGAGCTGAGACTGTGTTTACATTCTTAAAATGTTTAAAAACAAAAAATCTAAAGAAGACTGCTATTCTCTGACATGTGACAATTCTGTGAAACTCAAATTTCAGTGTCCATACATAAAGTTTTATTGAAACACACCCACACTCACTCACGTGTTGTCTGGAGTAGCCTCTCCACTAGCCCAGAGGAAAGCCACAGAAACCACCTGGCCCGCACAGCCTGGTATTTACTCTCTGGCTCTCTGCCCAAGTCTGCCAACCCTCTTTCTAGGATTTTGGATTGAAATCAAGCTTGGCGGTAGGGGCTGGGGGCTGAGGGCAGGAGCTGGAACACAGTGCCCTGTCTACCATCGCAGCATATTTCTCAATTAGAATTCAATTAGAATTGCCCACTCACTCCTGCTTCTCCCTGAGAGCCGTAGGGGCCTCGGGAGGTTAACAAGTCCAGGAAGACCCCGGAGGCAGCCACGTCTGCCTGGTAGAGCAACAGCACCCTTCGATGCTGATCAGGTGTGAGCTAAACTGCCAGGCACACCCTGTGCAGGAGAGGCGGGGTCCAGACACAGCCCGTGGAGTCCCCAGAGCAGTTAGCAGAAGCCGCACCGTGTTACTCTCTCATCTGTGCAGATCACCCCATAGTTAGAAAACAGGAAGTCTGGATTTGGAGATGACTTTCTTTTCTTTTTTTGGCTGAGCTTAATTTTCTCAAATTAAGACCAAAACATTTGTAATTCACACTTCACTCTATAAACAAGCGCTGGGTCCTCATGCAGGGAGGCATGAGAGTGGGTATGGAGGGTGCATTTTAACGGCTACCTTTGGTTTTCAAGATGAGGGCAGCTGTGTTTTCAGATGGGGCAAAGAGGTTGAAACAAGAGGGTTGAAACATCAGAAAACTGAAGATATAGTAGAAGAGAGAGTATGCCAGGAATCAAAGGAAAAAACTCTCCCCCACACAGAATTGATTCCTGGATGGAATCCCCCATCCCAGGTCAGGGCCCAAGCCTTTGCTTCCAGGGGAAGTGGAAGGAAAGTTCCTTCCTCCAGATCTGAGGTTAGCGTAAGGATTTGCCTCAGAACCCTGCAACCTAAAGCCAGCAAAACAAACCCACTGCCTCTGCGAGGAGCGTCAAGGCCCCCACCCCCTGAGCGTCTGTTCACTCCATGGCTTAGGTCTCAGAATCCCAGCTGAAGGCCTCTGGCCAGAACTCTGCGGCTCTCATGGCCCAGGCGGCCCACCTAGCAGGCAGGCCCCACTGGGCAGGAGCCTCCGCAGAGGAATGGGGCTGTGGAGAGGACAATGTGGTCCCTGCCATTTCAGAAAGAGGATGAGAGCCTCCGCGCAGCCCAGGAAGCCAAGGCACGGTTGAGCCTGCCCGTGTTTACTCCACGGCGCGCCATTCTAATGGCAGCTGTTCTTCTTACTGCTCTGTGAGTGGCAGGGGACGGCGCAATCTTCCCTCCTGTGCCTGGGGCCTCGGAGAGTGGAGTGAGCCTCGGCCCAGTGTCCAGGTTCCTACCTTCCAAAGATTCCGGCTGGGGCACTATCCTGGGCCTGGTTCCCCCAGGGCCAAGCTGCAGAGCGCCGGGCACCACCCGCGAGAGAAGCAGCCACCCACCCCTGGGTGTGCCCAGGAGCCCATCCACAGTTTGGATCTGCACCGAACACCAGCAGACTGCAGCAGGAGGCTCCTTCTGCAGTTCCAACTCGGCTTCCGAGGGATGCAGGCCGGTGCTCTCCTCCTCTCCAGCCCTGGTCAAGCCAGGGCTCCGGTGGTCTTTCAGCCTCCACAGCCTCTGCATGTAAAAGGCACTGGCAGCACAGGGTGGACGTTTGGGGAGTTTACCTACCCACGTCCGGGCTCTCTCCTCTCCCTGCACCTCCATGCTCTCCCCAGAATTGCAGGGTGCTGGGTGCAGGTGGCACCTGCCATTGGACCAGCTCCTGGCTGCTTCTCCAGAAGTGTCCCGGGGCTGGAGGGAGCCGGGGTCCCGGGGCTGGAAGGAGCCGACACTTGGGGCCCGGGGATGGAGGGAGCCGTGGACTTGGGGCCTGGGGCTGAGGGAGCCGTGGACTTGGGGCCCGGGGCTGGAGGGAGCTGGGGTCCCAGGGCTGGAGGGAGCCGTGGACTTGGGGCCTGGGGCCGGGGGGAGCCGGGTCGGGGGCTGGGGGGAGCCGGGGTCCCGGGGCTGGAGGGAGCCTTGGAGTTGGGGCCCGGGGCTGGAGAGAGCGGTGGCTGGAGGGAGCCGTCCCCGCGCTGCCCTGGTGGAGTCCGCGCGCCCTCTGGTGGTCGCCTCGGGGAAACGCCGCGGGGCCGTAGCCGGCGGTCCGACAGCCCAGGTGAGCCCTTAAGGATTCAAGCGTCAGAGTCCCTTCAAACCGAGGGCGGGTGACTACAGGCCACCTCCACCCACGGGAGCGTCAAGGAGGGGCGGCGAGGTGAGCACCAGGGGGTCACGCGCCTTCCTCTCCAGAGGGGTCAGTTCAGCCTCGGGGGGCTGGGGCCGGCCCGGAGAGGCCGCCCTGAGTCCGGGACCCGCAGGAGGCCTCAGCCAAAAACAGAGGCAGGGGCGTGGGAGAGTGAGGGGATGGTGCCGGCCGTCAGCACAAGAGAGGAAAGAAACTGAAAAATCTGGAAATCAGGAAAAGTATTGGCTGAGGGCAGAGGGCAAAGGCCACCTCTGACATCTGACCCTGAAAGCGACCGAGTCCCGAGCGTCCAGAGCTGTCCCGAGGGTTCCACGGGAAACCTCGTCCTGTCACCACGACTCCCTCTGTGCAGATGGAAGAGCGGGTCTCGGAGGGGGCGCAAGGTCTCGCGGGGAGCAGGGAGCGGCACAGACTTGGCCGGGGCCACCCACCCACTGCAGCAGCCCCTTCCCTCCAGCCCATCTTCTCTAGCTCCAGAAGCAGGTCTCAGGCTGAATAAACAGGTGTGCTAGGCGGTGAAGGCCAGGGAGCGCGGAGGAGGGGATGGGACAGCCAGGCCGAGGGGCGCCGAGCCCTGGACAGAGGTGCATGGATAGAAACAGTGTTCGCTCTGAAACAGGGACTGGTGGTGTCCTCTCGTAGTCAAATCCTGGGTGGAAAGCGTTCTAGGACATATGAGAACCCAGGTGAAGAGATGGAGCGTTTCTGCTGACCCTAAGGAACACTCTTCTGGAATCCAGGTTGGTGAAACACAAAGGCTGCCCCATCACTAGCAAGTGCTTAGAGCCCGGGTCCCAGCCCAGGCAGGCGGCAACGCAAGGCCAGCATCAGGAGGACCCAGGGGCCGGGCCAAGGCTGGCCGTCCTGGGATAGGAGACCCTCCCCAGCGCCACAGAAGGCCCCATTCTCTGGGTGGTGACCAGCTGCCCCAGGGATG
Source organism: Homo sapiens (assembly GCF_000001405.40). Lineage (NCBI taxonomy): Eukaryota > Metazoa > Chordata > Mammalia > Primates > Hominidae > Homo > Homo sapiens. The sequence goes on along the minus strand of NC_000007.14, from coordinate 155,796,052 downwards.
CCCTGCCTTGAGGTTGGATCTGAAAAACCACCTCTTTCAGCTTTTTCTCCTTTGTCACAAAAAAAGTTTCAGAAATAAAAACCTACTGGAAGATTCCTTATAACATGTACAGAAACCGTGTCAGGCTGAGTGTGCAGTAACCGTGTGGGATGACGGGCCACACACACCCGGGAGTACACCCTCACCGCAGCACCTACACACGTGTGTCACACCAAAGCCAGAGTTTGCCAAGAATATTTACCCTACACCGCAGTATCGTCTCTTTATTCAAGCCGGCGACTAATTGATTTCAGGACCCACTAGTGGGTTGTGGGAGCAATTTTAGAGTCCCTGCTCTGTGTCCAGGGCCACATCAAGAATGAAAGAAGGGAGTACTGAGGGAGCCCCAGCCCTGGATGCCCCTCCCTGGGGAGCACCTGCCCTGAACACCCGGCCAGCCAGGCAGAGTGGGGCAGAGGCGCAGCCCACCCTTCCAGGGCAGGTGAGCCACAGGCACCCCTCCCAAGACCCCTCAGCGAATGTGCCAACCCTGCCAACCTCTCCTCTGGTCGCAGCTCCCTCTCTGTTCTAGACACTGGAAGTTTCCTTGCTCCACTGGGAGGGCTGTGAGCATACATGAGGGAAAGACCCCAGGAGAAGAGAAAAGAGAAGGAAAGAGAAGTGGCTGAGATGTACCCAGGACTTCCACGAGGTGGATTGGAGGAACGCTGCCCAGAGAACTGACCTCAGCCAAAAAAAAAAAAAAAAAAAAAAAAAAAACGAAAAAGGAAAAAAAAAGAGCTTTCAATCATCAGGCAATTATTACAACTGTGGAAAAAGATAAATGAATGTACAAAGCTCCCAGGCAAGGCATCAAAACGGTCCAAGGCAGAGACAGATCATATGCAGCCCGCAGAGATCTCAGCTGTTGCTAAGATGAAGCATTGGCTGGAATTAGGCAGCACACCAACACGTGGTGGGGTTTCAGTAACTTTATTTATTTATATTTATATTTTTATTTTTTTGTTTGAGATGGAGTCTCACTCTGTTGCCCAGGCTGGAGTGCAGTGGCACGATCTCAGCTCACTGCAACCTCTGTCTCCCAGGTTCAAACAATTCTCCTGCTTCAGCCTCCCAAATAACTGAGATTACAGGCACCTGCCACCATGCCCAGCTAATTTTTGTATTTTTAGTAGAGACGGGGTTTCGCCATGTTGGCCAGGCTGGTCCCGAACTCCTGACCTCAGATGATCCACCCACCTCGGCCTCCCAAAGTGTTGGGATTACAAGTGTGAGCCACCGTGCCCAGCCGGATTTCAGTAACTTAAAAAAATACAGGCAGATTTGTTCTATTTGCTATATTTTCCTAGTTCAATGTAAGGAACACACTTCCAGAGCACAAGACGATGAACTAATTTTAAAATGCACAGACGTAGGATCCCATCCAAGGCATCATAGGCCACTGTGGGTCTCTGGTCCTGCCCCCACCCCCCTCCTGAGCCCCTCTCTCTCCCACCGCCCGTCACATCCCCAGGCTGAGGTGCCCAGGCAGCCTTGGTGAACACCAACCAGGGCGAGGGCAAGGAGGCAGCTGTGAGATGGGGAGGTCTCAGCCACCTGCCCGGGCATGGTCGACAGAATGCCAGCTGACAACATGCCCCAACCCTGGCACCTCTTCCCAGTTCTGTAATTTAAAATAACTCCATGTGATCTCCCACGCTGGGGCCACAGGCAGGGCAGGAGGTGGCCTTAGGTCCCCAGACACCTGCAGAGGCCCAAGCTGTCCCTGACCACCACAGCAGCCATGGCGACCCTCCCAGCAGGCGAGCGAAGCTATTTATAGGCAGAGTGCTGGTGTCAGTCCTCAAAGACTAGGTGTTCAGTCAAAAAAGACCCTTTTTAGGTCAGGGAAATGAGTTTAAAAATACTTCTGTCTGCAAGTGTGCCAGACAGAGGGTGGAGGCTTTCATTGTCTTGAGCAGCCCAGGGGAGCTTCCTCCAGTGGGACCTGCTAGACCAGGGCAGGCCTACCTACCTCCCACACCTGCCCCGGGCCCTGGCTGGGCACACCCAGTGGCTCTCCCTGTCACATTGTGTCTCACTGCCCAGCCCTACCAGCCTCTGGGGTGGGCTTTCACTGCTGGTCCTCCTGCCCCTCCTGCAGCCTGTGACCTTGGCCTCCACCAAGGAGCAGGTGGGTCCCTGGGGCCTCCCAAGAGAGACTGGGCTCTGGCCACTCTCTGTCCGTGCCGCAGAGACACAGATCAGCTGGCTGCCACCAGAGCCACTGGGGTGTCCAAGGGGATGGCTGTGTATGAGTGTGTGAATGTGTCCATGTATGAGTGCGAGTTTGAGTGTCTGTGTTTGCATATGTGTGTCTGTGTGTGCATGCACGTGTGTGTGAATGCATGTGTGTGGGCATGTGAAGTGCATGTGTGTGTGTGTCTGAGTGTGCGTGTGAATGGTGTATATGAGTGTGTGAATGTATATGTCGGTGTATGAGTATGTGTGAATGGGGTGTGTATGTGTGTCTGAGTGTGCATGTGTCTGTATGAATGTGTGAATGTGCATATGTGTGTGAATGTGTGTATGAGTGTGTGTGAATGTGCACCTGCGTGTGAATGTGCGTGTGTGAATGTGTGAGTGAATGTGCACGTGTGTGAATGTACAAGTGTGTCAATATGTGTGTGAATGTGTGAATGTGCACGTGTGTGAATGTGCGTGTGTGTGAATTGTGTGTGAATGTGTCTATAGTGTGTAAATGTGCATGTGTGTGAATGTGAATTTGTGTGTGAATGTGCATGTGTGTATGTGTGAATGTGCAAGTGTACGTGTGTGAATACGTGTGTGAATGTGCACGTGTGTCTAGATGTGTGTGGATGTGCATGTGTGTGTGGATGTGCTTTTGTGTGTGTGTGGATGTGCATTTGTGTGTGCGTATGAGTGTGTGTGAATGTGAGTGTGCATATGTGTGTCTGTGAGTGTGCATCCTGTGCACGAGTGCATGAGAGAGAGGCACAGAGGGGCAGAGGATGAGGCACGGGGGGAGAAGTGCTGGGTATTGTTTTCAGGGCCAGCCTCACCCGGAGTTGGAATTGCGTTCCCGACCACACCTCAATTCAGGGGCATCCAAAGCACTGAGCAGGACAGCGATAGCTTGGAATAGAAATCTTCTAGCCTAGGGGAGGAGAACATCTAATGCACATCTTAAACACCAAATCCCTCTCTGAGAAGATGGGAGGGCTCCTGGGACAGGGCCCGTGGGGCGAGTAGGGCACAGGAACTTGTGGACTGGGTGTGGACACTCCTTCCCCAGGGCAAGAGGCAGAGCCGGGGAGCTTGGGTGAACGAACGGTGTTGGAGGACACGGGCCATGAAGAGAAGGGGGATCATGGAGAGAATGAGAGTGGGGCCACAGAGGGAGACAGAGAGAGAGGCCAAGAAGAGAGAGGGAGTGGGGCCACGGGGGGAGGGGGGAGAGAGAGAGAGAGAGGCCACAGGGAGAGAGAGGGAGAGAGAGAGTGGGGCCACAGAGAGACGGAGAGCAGGGCCAAGAAGAGAGGGAAGGATTATGGAAAGAGGGAGGGATTACGGAGAGAGGGGGCATTACGGAGGAGGGATTATGGAGAGGGGGATTACAGAGAGAGGGAGGGATTATAGAGAGAGGGAGGGATTACAGAGAGAGGGAGGGATTACCGAGAGGGGGGATTACGGAGAGGGGGATTACTGATAGAGGGGGAATTACGGAGAGAGGGAGGGATTATAGAGAGAGGGAGGGATTACCGAGAGGGGGATTACGGAGAGGGGGATTACGGAGAGAGGGGGAATTACGGAGAGAGGGGGCATTACGGAGAGAGGGAGGGATTATGGAGAGGGGGATTACGGAGAGGGGGAGGGATTATAGAGAGAGGGAGGGATTACAGAGAGAGGGAGGGATTACCGAGAGGGGGAGGGATTATGGAGAGAGGGGATTATGGGAGAGGGGGGATTATGGAGAGGGGGGATTACGGAGAGAGGGAGGGATTATGGAGAGAGGGTGGGATTATGGAGAGAGGGAGAGAGAGCCGCCCATCTTCTTCCGTGGCTCAGTCATGGTGGAGCCTATCTGTGAAGAAACTTTTGATTCAAGCTGGCCCTATTCCAGGGGCTAAGGAAGATCTTAAAGAATTCCAACTCTCTTCCCTGAAATTTCACAGGATCTCGTGTGTGGGTGGGGGAAGACAGATTCTTGACATGAAACACTAAGCGGGTGGGTTCTGTCTTTCCTTCCAGTTGTTCTGCCTCTCCGCTCATCCTATCACTGATGAAAGTAACAGTGGTTCTGAGCCCGCCTTCGCCTTTGACCTCCGGATGGTGCTGGCGGGTCTGCTCAGATCACAGACAAGGAAACCTAACTTTGAGAAGGTCAGTGGTTTTCCACACTGCGCAGCTAAGGGGAAGGAGCCAGGAAATGTTCTTCTTTGGCGCTCACGGTCTGCATGGTTCCTTGCACCGTCCCGACGAAGCGAGAGTGGGGGACGCTGCCCAGAGGCTGTCATTCTTCCCAAACACCCTCCCTTTTGGGGGCCCATTCCGGCTTCCACCTTTGCGCTCAGTCTTTCTCGCAAAGGACAATGCCCACCTCTTCTTTCCAGGTCTTTACATTCTACGTGACAGACACAGAGTTCAGGGCCAGCCCCGCAGTTCCGGGGGGATGAATGCTGGGAGGAAGAAGAGGGGGAGGGAGTTCTCAGGACAGGACCGTATTTAGAGTTGCCATGCCTCGGGAGATGCTCGTTCTCCTAACCTGGGGTTCCCATGGGGGCAGAAGTCAATGTATCTTTTTAAAAATTTGGCCATAAGTTACCAAAGCCTTTGCATTTGTGTGTATTCACTGACTCAGTAATTTTAATTAATTAGAATTTATACCAAGGAAATGATTATGGATTTGCACATGACATAGCCACTAGTATGTTTTCAACAGTGGTATTTATAGTAGAACAAATTGGGCAGCAGCCTAAATTACCATCACTGGGGAATGGATTAAGGAAATTAAGGCACATCCACTTAAGGGATTGCTACTCAGTTATGTGAGGTGACACTGGGGAAGAATATTTAACCTCCTCAGCAAATATTTACCATACATTACGTGGTGACAAGAGCTGGTTCCATAACGCAGTGTACACCCTGGTCCACTTGGGTGTGTGTGTGTGTGTGCGCGCACGTGCACGTGTGTGTGTGTGTGCAAGAACCTACTCTCTGGGCAACGCAATTACAAGTGACTTTGTTTTCGCCCTTTCCTCCTCTATATTTTCCAAATTTGTCTCAATGACAACTTAGCTCTTTGTAAGCAAAAATAAAATATTTTAATTTAAAAATGTTTAAGAAATGATTTGTTTTGTTTCTCCTTTCCTCTCTAAATCCATGCTGGTTTTTACCTGGTCACGAGAACATCCTGGAACAGCCACCAGGGAGCTGGCTGGGTGCACATTTGAGAGATTTGGGGCCTCTGCTTTTGCTATTGCTTCCAAAGCCAATGGTGTAGGTTTTTTGTTTTTTTGTTTTTGTTTTTGTTTTTGTTTTTGAGGAATATCTGAAACGATAGTAAGTCTTCAACCTTTGATGGCGATGTTCACTTTTTAAGTAATCAGAGCCATTCAGAGAAGGATCTTGTGGACTGTGGGGTGAAAAAAGGACTAGGTGGGCTGGCCATGAAGCCATGAGGTTTGCCTTCACGCCAAGCTCATCACTGGTGCCCCAAAAGGCCTTTCTCAAATATTCTCATCCATGGAAAAAGTGTACTTTTTCCCAAGATGGCTCCATGGGGCTGGAGCCCCGGGTCCCAGATCTGCTGCAGGACCCGCGATGTCCCGGGCAAGCCAGGGCAGCTCTGCCGGCTCGGGACACACAAAGGCCAGGTGCTGGTGTCCTTGGCGTTTTTTAGCCCTGCCATGGAGCCAGCTCTTTGCCACCAGAACTGCATGCTTCACGCAGACAAGGCTGGACTGTGCCGTCCGCTGCCGCGCAGCACTGTGTCCATCACCGCAGAAGACCCCCTGTGTCCATCACCGTAGAAACGCCACACAGTGGCATTCAGTAAATATCAAGCTCATGAATGAGTGAATAAGAAACCGATGGGACGCCGAGGGCGGTGGCTCACGCCTGTCATCCCTGCACTTTGGGATGCCGAGGCGGGCGGATCACAAGGTCAGGAGATCGAGACCATGCTGGCGAACATGGTGAAACCCCGTCTCTACTAAAAATACAAAAACATTAGCCAGGCGTGGTGGCAGGCGCCTGTAGTCCAGCTACTCGGGCAGCTGAGGCAGGAGAATGCTGTGAACCCGGGAGGCGGAGCTGGCAGTGAGCTGAGGTTACGCCACTGCACTCCAGCCTGGGCAACGGAGCCAGACTCCATCACAAAAACAAAACAAAACAAAACAAAACAAAACAAAACAAACCGATGAACAAATGCGGCAGCACCAGTCTCTGGGCGGGTTAAACACGCACAAGCCCAGGCGTCTGGGCACAGCCAGCACCGGGAAGCAAAGGCCGCCCAGCGGGTGTGAGAGCCCTGACCTGGACCCAGTCCTGCAGGCTCCGGCACAGCTTCTCCTCATGGGGTCTGGCCCAGCCGGTGGCATCTCTGGACCCCGCATCCACTTACAGAGGGATTCTGCCAGGAGCAGACTCAGGGAGGGGCTGGAGGGACTTCCTCGGGGTCATGGGAGGGGAGGCTGGCCGGCACCCATTATATCCCTTGGCTGCCGCAAGGCAAGCAGGACAGGCCCCAGAAAGGCCTGTTGGAACAGGAGAGGCTGCGTTTAGGCCTGCGCGGCTGCATGAAACAGGGAGACACTTGCCTTTCCCTCCCCCAGGGATGCCGAGGAGCAAGAGGCCACATGGGAAGGCACCTGGCACAGCCGAAGGGGGGCAGATGAATGCGGCAGGCGGAAGCCCTGGTCCTGCTCAGTTTTCTCTTGTCCTGAAAGGACGCTGGTGACCACGTGGGGACCCACACAACCTGGGTGGGATGCTGGGCAGGGTTACGGACGTGGCCGGTGTGGCAAGCAGGGAGAAGGACGGGCTCCTCCCCAGGGCTGGGCTGCTCGTGGGGGGTGTGGGAGCGTGTTGGTGCTCAGGGGGTTCACTGTGTTCTCTTCCCGGTGCAAACGTGGCCTCAGGAAGACGGGGTTCACCCAGCGTTGCTCTGCCTCAGCCCTTTCCCTGGCTGTGACTCAGCCCCAACGGAATGAGGGCAAGAGCCAGTCGTGGACCAGAGGACACGGGGGCTGGAGAGGGAGACGGCCCCCAGGCTGCGCGGCCGGCTGCGGTTGCTCATTGTCCAAGTGTGGATGGGGCTCGTCCTGGCCTACCGCGTCACTCAAAGCCCGCGGGGCCCGGTCCCTGTGCTGGAGCCCCATGGCCGTCCTTGCATCCCCGGCTGGGCAGTGGACCCTGCCCTCCCTGCCCTCCCTGCCCTCCCTGCCCTCCCTGCCCTCCCTGCCCTCGCAGGACCAAGGCCGATTGTCGCTTTGTTACTTCGCTGGGTGTGGTTTTGGTTGGATTTTTTTTTTTTTTTTTTTTTTTTTTTGAGATGGAGTCTCGCTCTGTCTCCCAGGCTGGAGTGCAGTGGTGCGATCTCGGCTCACTGCAAGCTCCGCCTCCCGGGTTCACGCCATCCTCCTGCCTCAGCCTCCGGAGTAGCTGGGACCACAGGCGCCCGCCACCGCGCCCGGCTGATTTTTTTTTTTTTTTTTTTGTATTTTTAGTAGAGACGGGGTTTCACCGTGTTAGCCAGGATGGTCTCGATCTCCTGACCTTGTGATCCGCCCTCCTCAGCCTCCCAAAGCGCTGGGATTACAGGCGTGAACCACCGCGCCCGGCCTTGGTTGGATTTTTAGCTGTCGATATGCTGAGCGCTCCGCCTGGGGAAACCTGAATACATTGCGAGGTTAAGAACAGAAGTGTGGGCCAGACACTCGCGGCTCCCACGGCCCGACCCTCTGCGTGGACACAGATGGTGTGAGCGGAGCCGGCATTGACGGTCCAGGCCCGAGGGTGGGGGAAACAGAGACCCAGGTGGCTTCAATATCCTGGCTATCAGGAGCATAAGGCAAACTTTTCACATGAAACTGGAATGTGTGAAAACTCACTGTTTAAAAACACTAGTTGCTAATCCGTTCTTTCTTAACAAATTGTAATCCTCAAAGGGCCAGAGAGGAGAGGGCAGGCCCAGGGGACAGCTCTCCGTGGGTTTCTGGGCGTGTCCGGGAATAGGTGGGGCTGCTGTGGGGGAGCGAAGTGGGGAGAAGAGGGAAGAGAGACAGGAGGGTCAGAGAGAAAGAGGGAGGGACACAGGGAGAGTCCCTCCCTCTTTCTCTCTGACCCTCCTCCGCGGGGCAGGAGAGCCTCCCGCGGCGCACCCCTCACCCGCCCCGGTGCTCGCTCCCACCAGGGACGGGCGTCCCAGCCCCTTCGGATGTCGAGGCAGCACTGAGGAAAGGTCCCCAGCGTGTGTGCCAGGCGGGGGCCGTGGGCAGACAGAGCGCAGTCCTGGCCTGCAGCGGGCGGGCGGCGCGGCAGGGCCCGAGACAGGGGCGGCCCGGAGGTCCCTTGCGCTGGGCCGTGGTCGGGAGCTCCCGGCAGAGATGCGCGCGCGGAGCCTCGCGGTCCGGGGAAGGGGTGCGGGGGTGCGCGGCGGCCCGGCCTCCTTTAGCCGCGGGCTCAGGCGGGGGCTGTCCCTGCGCTGCCTCCTGGGACCCTCGGGGCAGCCAGGCGGGCCCGGACCCCTTGCTCGGACGCAGCCAGCGGCAGGTCGCGCGGCGCTGGTGCGGGGACGCTGGGGGCGCAGGCCCGGGACGCCTCGGGGCTTACCTTGGGGCAGGGACAGAAGGACCGCCTGACGACATACGTTCCGCAAAAAACAAAACAAAACAAAACGTTAACTGGACAATCGCCCACGTCCTGAAATGCCTGATGCAGCCCCAATGCGTGGCCGTCAGGGAGGCTGCCTGGGGTCCTCAGGCAATGTAATATCCCTCCACAAATGGGGGCTTCAAGACAAGGAATTCACTGCGAATTGCTTTCGTGTCTTCATAAAACTTTTTTTTTTCCCTTTTTTGAGGCAGGGACTCACTGTTGCCCAAGCTGGAGTGACGTGACAGGATCTCTGCTCACTGCAACCTCCGCCTCCCCAGCTCAAGCGATCCTCCCACCTCAGCCTTCCCAGTAGCTGGGATTACAGGTGCCTGCCACCACACCCGGCTAATTTTTAAAAAAATTTTCTTCTTATTTTTTTTTTTTTTTTTTAGCAGAGACAGGGTTTCTCCACATTGGATAAGCTGGTCTCAAACTCCTGACCTCAAGTGATGCGCCTGCCTCAGCCTCTCAAAGTGCTGGGATTACAGACGTGAACCACCGCGCGCGGCCTTGTGTTTCTTAATGTAGTATTTGGTTCACCAGTATTTTATTTAGGATTTTTTTGCATCAATATTCATAAACATTATCGGTTGGTCATCTTTTCTGTGCTATCTCTTCCAGGTATAGATATAAACGATATATTTGCTTCATTAAAAGGATGTGGAAATTTTCTCATTTTAAATGCTTTGGAACAATTTATGCAGCATAAGTTATATCTGGTCTCCAAACATTTAGTAGAATTCCTCTGTAACATGTGGGCCTTTCTGCATGCCTAGTTTTTTGATCATTTTATTTTTTTCTGTAGAGATTGACTGGTATGAGCTTTAGATCTCCACAGCAGTTGATACTGATACACTGTTTATCCTAAGAAATTGTCCATATCACATAGGTTTTTAAATTATCTGCAAAAAGATCTACAAAGTAGTCTTTTATTGCTTACAAAATCCCTTTTATGGGCAACGAACTTGAATAGGTGTTTCTCCACAGAAGATAAACAAATGACCCACAAGCATATGAGAAGATGTTCAACCTCACTAACCATTAGGGAAATGTAACTCCAAATCACAATGAGACACCCCCTCACACTCATTAGGGTGGCTATGACACACACAAAAACAAAGAAACATAAAATAGCACATGTTGGTGAAGATGTGGCGAAATGGAAGAAACCCTTGAGCACTGTTGGTGGGGATGTCAAATGTTGTGGCTGCGGTGGAAAAGAGGATGACAGTTTCTCAAAAATTAAACATAGAACTGCCATGCGACCCAGCATTTCCACGCCCCCATACAGACACAGAAGAATTGGAAGCAGGCTCTTAAAAAGACGTGTGCACACTCATGTTCGTAACAGCATTCGTCATCGTCAAGCATCCCGTGTCCACTGATGGATGAATGGGTAACAAATGCACTGTGTGTTTATAATGGAATATGACTCAGCCTTGAAAAGGAAGGGAATCCTGACACAGGCTGTCACATGATGGACCTTGAGGACATCGTGCCAAGTGAACCAGGCCAGTCACAAAAGGATAAGCACCATAGGATCCCAACCACATGAGGCACTTATTGTCGTCAAATTCAGAGGCAGAAAGTGGAGTGGGGGCGGGGGGTGCTGGGGGCTCAGGAAGGGGATGGGAGTTTGTGTTTCATGGGGACAGAGTGTCAGTTCTGTAAGAGGAAAAGGTTCTGGAGATGGATGGTTGGGACAGCTGTACAGCAGTGTGAACATATGTAATAAAACAGAACTGGACACTGACAGTTAAAATCATATATATTGATGTATAATTTTGATGCTACATGTTTTACATAATTTGATGTTACGTTCTACAATTTTAAAAAAGTCCTTTTTATCAATAGCAATTCTTGTGTTTCTTTTTATTTGTACATTCTTTTTTCTTAATTAGCTAGCGGTTTGTCTATTTCACTGATTTTTTTTTCTAAGGACTGGGATTTTAATCTATTAATTTTGTTAAATAAGTGTTTTCCCTTGATTAAAGACTAATGGGAGAGAAAATTTCAGGAAGCTTCACATGACATCATCTGAACGGCTGTCATCAGAGGCTCCCTGGCAAGGCTGGTGCCATCATCTCAGGGGCACGGCCATCCTGGGAAGCTGAGGCGAAGCCTGCCTTTGGTGACTGAGGTGCACATTGGCAATGTAAGGGCCAGGGAAGAAGCCGAAGCCAGGAGCAGCACTGGAAGGCACACGCCTGTCATCCCAGCCCTTTGGGAGGCCAAGGCAGGCGGATCGCTTGAGCTCAGGAGTTCAAGACCAGCCTGGGCAATGTGGTGAAACCCCATCTCTACAAAAAATACAAAAATTAGCCAGGTGTGGTGGTGCACGCCTGTAATCCTAGCTACTCGGGAGGCTGAGAGGGGAGGTTCTCTTGAGCCCAGGAGGTCAAGTCTGCAGTGAGTCAGGAATGCACCACTGCATTCCAGCCTGGGTGACAGAGAAAGAAAGACCCTGTCTCCAAAAAAATAAGGAGAACAAAACATGGTATCATTCTTCAGACACCATCCACAGATGCTCTCCCTTGATGGTGAGAAAAAATTCTCTCCATTGTCAATTTTAGAGAAAAAACACGACTAGCGTCTGAGATTGAAAACATCCAGGCTAGCTTTCGAAGCTGGGTGAAGAGCTTAGGTGCGGTTTTCATTACACCTCCTCAACAGCAGCTGTTGTTACTTGGAATCAGAGAAGTGCTCCTCTCCGTCTGGTCTGAAGGGCATCTGCCCAGTCCTCTAGTCACCTGCAGTGGGTCGGGAGGTAGGGCTTTCTTTCTGGAGGGGTTTCCTCAGTGTCCAGCTCTGCAGCCTGGTGCGACGACATGTCCAGAATGCCCCACTGACTTTCCTGTCTGGATCTACGTCGGACCCTAGAGAAGAGCCGCAAGGACCTCTGCCCTCTCGCTGCGGCCTGCAGGCAACACCAAAGGTCAGCAAGAAAGCTTCCTTTTTGAGCGTGAAGCTTCAAAACTGCCGTGCTTCTCATTTCTTTTAAGCACACAGCAACGAGCTGCACCTCAAGGTGTACAACACATGGCTCTGTGCTTCTGTTCCTAGAGCCACCAATTGTCAGTACTGTGTGTTTCCTACAGAACTCTTTTATCACTTACTTTTCCCTTCAGACGTGACTGTCACTCTTTCAAAACATGCAAATACATGTTCGAATAAGAAAAGGACCTGGCCGCACACGGTGGCTCACACCTGTAATCCAAGCACTTTGGGTGGCGAAGACAGGCAGATCATTTGGGGCCAGGAGTTCAAGACCAAACTGGACAACATGGTGAAACCCTGTCTCTACTAAAAATATTAAAAATTAGCTGAGCATGGTGGTGCACACCTGTGGTCCCAGCCACTGGGGAAGCTGAGGTGGGAGGATCAGCTGAGCGCAGGAAATCAGGGCTACATTGAGCTGTGATTGCACCACTGCACTCCCGGTGACACAGGCAGAAACCAAGGGTGAGATTTCAGGACTCAGCGGCCATGTTTCAACAGGAATGATCAGTGCCACACACCTGAACCACTTCCAAACCTCCTGTGTCTGGGACGGGGACACCCCTGGGCCTGCCACAAATACACTGCCTCACGTAATTGGTTGCACTAAATAAATACACACCAAGACCTCCAGCATGCCAGGCACTGCTCAGGGGGCAACTATGGGAAATAACAATACCTTCTTCAAAGGATCTACCACTCTTGAGTGTACCCTTAATTCAAAGAAAGCCCCATTTTCTCCCTGAAATGTCAAGGCGTTTTTTGCCCATGTTCTGTAGAGATCCCATTACCCAAAGTACAGGTTTTAAAAACAAGGAATGACTTATTCTTGAACTATGGATTAAAGAGGAAGAAAACTGCTTTGGGCTCTAATCACATGGCATTTTCAGATTATGACTTAGGCTTAAAAATTCAATTAAATCGGATTTGAGAAATTCACCCAACACATTTCGCTTTTGTTACCTGTTGCTTCCTCCTCCATTTCAATTTCCCAAATTTGCCTCTTCTCTTGCTTTCTTTCTTCCTTACTTAGGTCCAAACTAAGGCACTTTCCTTTTCATCCTTACGAGAACGGGGAAAACAGGGTGATAAAATGTATCTTTGAAAGCAGCCACCGTCTGCCCACTGCAGGCCACCCTGCTTGTGGAAGGCCCCCCGTTTGCGTTACGGAACCAGAGTGGAAACTGCAAGGTTTTATTAACATGGCTTCCAAATTACATACAATGTAGTTCAGTTTTTGGTATGAAATCACACAAATGAAACACACAACAGTACATTTTCTTGAAATGTACGTAGTTGAAACTACGTCACTAGAATTCACATGTGCATTACACAGAGGTGAAGAGCATGAAGAATGGCTGTGTGGCCCTCCCGCACCTGCCTGGATGGCCTGCTTCCGGCCCTGGGGAGGGACAGCCACCGTGAGGCAGTGAGCCTGTGAAACCCGCTCTCAGGGATGAACACAGCTGGAACCTTGCATGTGCGCTCTTCCCGCATACCTAACAGTGCTTCCACAGCCACTGTGCTCTCCCCCAGGGTCCTGCCGGGTGGCTCTGTCAAGCCCTGCACACCGGCCTGGACCAGGGGGATGACAGAAAGGGTGCCACCATGTCCCAATCTGCTTTGGCTTTCACAGCCGCTGACCCACAGGCTGTCCCACGAAGAATGGGAGAGGCCTGTCAAGGGAGCCACATGTCTTCCATCAAACTCAAGGGACCAAAGGAAATGGCAGTGACTGAGAACAGTGGTCCTGTTTCTATGTAAGAAAGGAGAGGGTGCTGACTGAGAACGGTGATCCCGTTTCTACATAAGAAAAGAGAGGGTGCTGCAGGTGGAGAGTGGGCTGGAGCTGGTCACCAGCGCCTCCCGAACCCCAGCACAGACACCAACACCAGCATCCGGGTGAGAGGGGAAGCCGGCCCATCACAGTACACAGGCAGGCTGGAGCTGGTCACCAGCGACCCCCGAACCCCAGCACAGACACCAACACCAGCATCCGGGTGAGAGGGGAAGCCGGCCCATCACAGGGCACAGCAGGGGGTGTGATGGGGGTTATCTTCTTGAATGTTTTGGACAGTAGTTTCTGGAAACAGAGCTGCCTTCTTTTTAAAGACTTCATTTTCAAAATAGACCATAAATTATGAGCAATTTCTAACAACATGAAAAACACGTGGGATACATGAAATGGAAAATATACATGATGGCATATGCACTGTGATCCCAACCTCCAGCGAGGCCTGCACACGGCAAGAACACGCCACCTTGGAAGAACGGCGTCACTGGAGACTGAGCTTCCCCACCTTCAGTCTCTTATTGCCATGCTGGAATACAAGTCTCTTCTGAAGAAAACTTGTAAAAATTATCTATAATGCTTTAAAAAATTAAAAAGACTAACTCCCCCACCCCCAACCAAAAGGAGCATACTTTGATGCCGTCTGCCTGGTCAGTTCGGAGTCATGCAGCGCCCAGAATGCAGGCAAGGAGGCGGCGGCTGCCCTTGACCTTCGTGGCCCACTAATGAGAGAGCTGCGTGAAAGCCGCGGGCTGCAACCCAGCGGCCAATCTGGGGAGCGTGAGGGCAGCCCCCGACCCCGGCCCCTTACAGAGGTGCGGAAGCACCGTCTCGGACACACAGGTAAGATGAGCTGTGGCCCGACCTGAGCGCCCAGACAAAATGAAGGCTACGGAACCAGAGTGGAAACTGCAGGGTTTTATTAACACGACTTCCAAATTACATACAATATAGTTCAAACACATTTTTTTGGTACGAAATCACACAAATGAAACACACAACAGTACATTTTCCTTTCAACTACGTCATTACCATTCTTCACACAGATCCTGAAAAAGTTACCACAGCAGTTAACGCGAAGTGAACAAAGGGGTGGAACAGGCAACGGCATTCCCCCAAGGTAGGTGTGGTGTGTCTGGGAGAAAACAGGATGGAGATCAAACCCAGAGAAACGCACTCCCGTCATCTCTCCATGTCTCAATTTCCAACGCTCTCCCAGTCAACACAGCTTCGCCCCCAACCAGAGCCACCCGGTGCAGCCCGCAGAGTGTACACGCATCAGGGCCGGGAGGCCCCGTCGGCAAAGCAGTAACACACGGTCAGACGGCCGCCACCTCCAAGTGGAGTGAGCCACGCTACCACTAACACTGAACTCAAGCACAAGAGCTCCTGCGAAAGCAGAGGGGCGGGAAACAAAGAAGCGGGTGGTTAAGGGCACGAACCGCACACTGCGGGACGCCGGCATCTTTGAATCGCCACTCACTCCTACAGAGCCAAACTGCAAAACAACAGAATTAAAAAGTTACTCTCTCCAATCAAAGACCTGGAGGAATAAATCGTGAGTGAAGACCTGTCGAAGCAAAGGTTGAGAGGTGATGGAGTGGTAAACACAGTGTGAAAATCGTCAGCACCTTCCCACCCAGCCCACGTGGAGTTCTCAAGGCTGAGGCGGAGCAGAGTGGCAGGAATACGGCCCTCACCCAGTTGAAGCCAGGAGGTGGAGGGAGAGGAGCATGGAAAGCCAGGGAGATGGGAAGGTCTGAGAGAGTGAGTCTTGGAATGGGACAGGAGCTACCAGTGTTAAGAATGGTAGATGGGTTTAGCCAGGAAAGCAAAACAGAAATGGACAGAGAGGGAGAGCCCAGAGCATGGCATGGTGAGGTGATCCCATTACTAAATGAACAGTAGCAAGAAGCAGGCACGTGGAGCAAACAGAATCAGCTCAGACATGAAAAAGGTCACACTCTGTGCTTTGCTGCTGTGGTACCTGAAAATTAAACAGTGGAATTAAAGCCCCAGAGTTCAAGTCCTCACAGAGGACACCATCCTGGATCCCACGCCTGTGAAAAGCAAAGCTGGATTATAGAAACGAGCGGTGGCTTTTTTTGCTCCTTCGGCTCAGGGCACCCCTGTGTGCTGTGCGCGCGTTATTGAAAATGTTACCCACCTAAGAAAAGACTACAGAACGCATACAGCTAGAACGCATACAGCTTACACAGTCCTTGCAAAACCAGCTTCCGCCACGGGTGCCCTTAAAATGAAAAGCAGTTTAAAAGAAAATCATGCTAAAAGAATGCATGAGGTCTACTTTCTAGAGTATATTAAATTATTAAATACAGAATACATTACAATAGTACCTGTCTGCCTATCCACTCTATGGAACATATTAAAATAAAAAACTACATGCTGTTTCTTTTTAAAGGCCTACATTTTTCTATATACCTTTTAAAATCAGTAAAATAAAACCAAGCAAAATATCAACATGAAGACCTCCTTCTCTTTTAGTTGGTTAGAAGTCAAAGGAAAAAGCAAGTACTCAGAAGTGTCTCACTAAAATACCTGTTCCGTCCGCCAATCTTAAAGATTTCCTACCAAAACATGACACAGAAAAGAGAGAGTTGAGACATTAAAAGCATTTTCTAGCCAAGGCAGGTTACAATGTGTGAGGCAAACGGCCTTTTCCAGCCATATGCTACCAGCAGAAGGTATACCTGGGGATCCAATATGAATCAGTGAGTTCCGCTTTAGTTCCAGTACACAAACCACGGGCTTATGCACCTCAGAAGTTAGGCATTTAAAAAAAATTAAATAGGTTGCAAAAAAACCTTACATAAAATCCTTAGGATTTAATATTAAGTCAAGGCTAAATGCCTTTGGAGAATTCATATTTAAGAATGTCCAAAATAACACTCCATTCACAAACTTTAAAAATAGCTGAAAAAGTTAACTGAAATGCTCTTTAAATACACTAAAGTATCTAAGCCTCTCCCTAGTCGATCTGGACTAGCGGCTTTCCGAGTGGTGGTAGTCGGGTGCCTCCGAACCTTTCCTGCCCTGCACACACTCCTATCAGTCAACTCCCTGGTAGAATCGTCACCTCTAATTTTTTGAAAAACCAATAATACCTTTCGAGCTTTCTCTCGCCCACCCCCCTCCCTCCCACTCCAAATTAAAAAAAAAAAAAATGGGGTGGAGGATCATAGCTTAATGAAGGGAAGCCAACCTGGGTCTAAAAGCGATTACGTCAAGCCATAGCTGAGGCCTACAAGTAGGGAGGGAGGGTAATAAAAAAACGAATCCCAGGAAGAGCACCACGAAAGCGGGAAGCCTGAAGTCACCCACAAAGGGCACTGCAGACACCGCACCAGGAATGTTTCTTAAGAGCTGGCAGTCCTCTCCAGGGAGAGAGCAGAGGAGGGGAACAGCCGCAGGGACTAGAGAGTTTCTAGGACTCCACGATGTGCCGGCACAGCATGCTGCCATCACACACGCTGACCTCCTTGTCCTGTGCAATTACATGACTAGGACCTGCCTTCGACAAGCGTCTGATGGTCTATGAGCACATTCCGCTTACCTTCCCAATAAAATAACAAAGAAATACAAAACAAAACAAACAGAACAAAACAAAAACAACAAAAGCCAAAAGAAAACAAGTGATGAGTGATGAGTTCTTCAAACCCATCCCAGGACAAGGCTCCAGGGCCTCGGGGGTCCCTCACCTGCCCTACCTGAACTGTCCCAGCTGATCACCACCCAGTGAAGACGTTCCCCTCCCCCACTCCTCCAGGCCATCCAGCGGATGCCCCTGTGCCGCCAAACACCCTGGCCCAAGGGCTCTCAACTCCACCGACCGGACTGGATGACCTCCCCTGATAAGCCAGTGTGTTAGAAGCAAGTTGATTATTAACACTGAGATGACAGCTTCCCCAATCCCCAGGCCTCTCCTCACCTGGGTCTGTCCATCCCTTCCTCCTTTTCACCCTAAACTCCTCTTCCACCTCCTTCAGTAACAAAGCCTTCTGTTCACAGAACTGAGCAAGATGCTGTTTGAAAAAAAGACCCCTGGGTGCAGGATCTAAGCTCTGCCACAATTCAGAAATGCCACAGAAGCAAGCTTCAACAACTGTTTGCCTGAGACCTTTACAAATCATGCTAAGAATGACCCATATTAAAAATAGTTATGGTGAAGCCACCTCCCGCCCCATCCCATCTCCTCCAGCAAGGCAGGGTGCGGGTGCCTACGGAGGCTGCTGCCTGTCCACAAAACAGAGAAACCCCTCAAAATTTGTCTGGAAAAATGATGAGATTTACTCTTTAGAAGAATATCAGTATAAGGATTTAACAAACGTGGCCAGACCAGTGGTAATGCAAGGTTATCTAAAGTAGCTAAGTGAACTTCTATTACAGCACAAAACCAAAACAAGATAATGCAAAAAGAAAAGAAGTAACTTGGCTCCACATAATCAGCTATTGGTTTACCTTATGAGATACTGATATTTACGACCTTTAAGCTTCTTGAATTTGTGAACAAATAATACACAGATCAGGATAAATGTATTGACTTACTACCATCTTTATAAAAATCGAATATACACACAAACACATCAACAACTGTGGAACTGTATCCATTAAACTTTGATAAGACAACACAAAGAACTAATAGCTAAGATGTGGCTGAGTTGAAAGCACTTCCAATAGTATTTTAATTTTAAAAGGTCCATATTTACATGGTATGCTAAATGCTCTTGCATCTCATTTTAAATGCATGATGAACTCAAGAACAAAGATAATGGTTGCAGCAGATCTTCCACGAGGGTTTGGCTGGTGTGGGCTGACTTCACGTGAGCAGCATACCAAACACCTAAGTACCATTCCTTTCTCATTCTGCTTCTTTCCTTTTCTGTAGTTTCCTTCAAGGAAACTAAACCTTCATTACTGGGATTGTCTGGTACTAAGAATCCATTTTCGATGGTTGTGGGTATTGAGTGAGGTCGGACTGTGTTGGACTGTTCTAATCAGCGCTTTAAGGCGGGCCTGCATGACTTTGCCAATCACCTTTCAAGAACATTCTATGAGAAAGTCTGCCTATGTGCACGTGTAGACAGTTAGAGAAACACGCACACCCCAGGGCCTGTGTCACACTCAGGTAACACCAAAACAGACCTTCCAGTGGCCATGAAGTCCACCTTAACAATGAAGGCCCAAACAGGATCCGTTTTATTAACACTGACTACAAAAAAGTCTGTTTCAATGCCTACTTTTCAGAGACAACATGCATATTTTTGGTTTTAAACACAGCACACTCTATTTCAAAAAGTGTTTAAAAAAAAAAAAAGTCATGAAACTCATTTCATTGTATCAGTAAGCCCTCAATGATAAAGTAAGTCGGTAGGCCTTCCCACTGCCCAGTGGGTACTGAGTGGTTTGGATCTCTCTTAATTAGAGCTCAAGGGCTACCAAAGTCACCACTCCAACGCAGCTGTGGACTGAGCCAAATAAACTAGACGAAATACATCAACACATCCGTATCTAACTGTGGAAATGAGTGGGCAGTGACAGCCATGGGAACCTGCTGATGGGCACACAGACCTGCTCCCTGGACAGCCTCCTGCAGGCATGGTGAGGCAGGGCTGACTGGCAATCCCATCTTCCGAGGGTTGGCTGGGACACTCTGGAGCAGAGGTGGCGGCAGCACAGCTGCAGGGTCCTAGCAGATCCTACAAGCGCTGTGGCTTCCTGGGACTGACTGCTGCAACAGCCCCTGCAGCGTGCAGTGTTACTCTCAAGCACACAGCAAACGCCACTTTAGAATCACTGCTACAGAAAGGATCGCAGGGTCTGGAAGACCTGCTTCAGCTCTTCAGTTTGTTTTGGTAACTTAATTTGAGAAAGTAATATAAAACGTCAACTGTGGAAACGAGATGACGCAAGTCTGTGCCCGTCTCCTTAGTCCCTTCCTTCTAGGAGGCTGAGAGCCCTAGCGCCATGCTCCCTCCAGGGGCAGTAAGAAAGAACGGGCTTCTATTTCCCTTAATTCTATTAGTAAATGTGACATGAAATCGTAGGTATAAAAGGTAGCTAAAATGTCTGAGTATGCCCTATCATTATTTGCTCAAATAGCTCAGGTCCACTTTAGAATATATCCAAAATAGTGAAACTCTTTCATGAGCAGAAATACTGTAAGGCACTTTTTTCAGTGTTTGCCCAGAATGAATTCTACTACAGTAGCTTTATGGAGAATATGTCTCACCTACAGGAACCTACCCGCAATTACGAAAAGCAGTTTCAATGATGACACAGACTCGTCTCATTTGGGGCTGGAAGAAAGCCACCCTCACCCCGCATGCCACGGGGAACGGCAGGCCAGAGTGAACATCCGCTGATGAACAGGGCAGCCCTGCTGGAACAGCCTTCAGAAAAACAGAGGTGACTGAAGCAGTGGCCACCAAATTCCCAAAGAATGTCATGTATCACAGAGCCAGTGATAAACAGGCCACCTTACTGCATTTAAAAAGGAAAAAAACAGGTCTGTTCCACCTTCAGGCCATTCCACCACCTCATGTGTGGTGGGAACTAGGCCAGAGGGCTGCCAGGTGAGGCCATCACAGACCCTGCTCTAGCCGAGGGCCATGCCGTGTGCCTGTCCAGCACATTGCCTTATCTGGGAAGTGTGTTAAAAATGAATGGGGAGTTCATCGAAACTAGGAACACAGAGTTGACGCTTTTGAAACAGTGACAAGAAGCAGAATCTGCTGTTCAACTGGCACCACTCCCAACCACCCCACTCACACCCTGGCTTTCCAGGGTATGCAAAGGTCAATCAACAATCACCCAAATTTTAATCTACATTTTGTACAAGAGCCTTTTGAGGGCTGAGAAGACAACTCGAGTTAAGCTTGGTTGAGAAGACTCTTCTAACCTGCACTGAAGATAAGTGCAACCATTATCAAATATTCTTTGCTGTGAAAACTACTTAGAACTTGTGACGTTAATGTTCTTTCCTGAATCTAAGTCACTGTGATCGATCATAGAGTCAGACCACAAAGAACAATGTCTACATGCATTGTAAGCACTTTGAAAACAAAACAAAACGAAAAACTTGGAGTTCTTGGTGGTGACAAGAGAATGTGAAGCAATCTAACACCAACTCCAGCCTGCTGTGTCCTGTCAGTTCGGCTCCTCTGGAATCAGGCCCGTGGCTGGCTGGCGCTCTGGAGAACAGTTACGCAGGACAGCGGCCCGGAGAGACCTGTGCTCCTGGGGGTTCTGCGCCGGCCGGCAGCTCCCTTGAAGAAATTCCACAGTGTGTGTACAGCCTAAGGTCAGGCTCTCTTGTTAGGACTCACTCCACGATCAGGGCCACATTTATGTGGGACAAATCTATCATATGCCTGTGAAAATTTAAAGAAACGATCGACACTAACCCTGCACATCGGCAATCAACCTACCAAGGTGGGAGGAAACTAAAAGAGCCCGGTGGGTCCTGTTTAATAAAAACGCATCATATAAAAAGGCAGATTCCCCGGGAAGATCTATTAAAACACAAGGGGCAATTCTCCACCAGACAAAAGGACGCGCGCCTCATGACAGGATCACCGTCTGCGCTTTGTGCCCTAGTGTCCTTCTACAGGAACAGGTGGGGACACACGCTTGCTACCATGATGGATGGGAGGGCACAGGAAGGAGGGCCTTGCTCCCGCCCCCTTATCACCACAAGCACAGAACACACTGGTCACCTGTGGAATTTCTGCTGAAATGCTAATGCGTGGGCTGGCTCCTTGAACTTAGCTATGGCTTTCCGTTGCTGAGGAAGCATCTGTAAACTCTAGAGGAAGAAAACAAACACTTTAAGATCAGTTGTAAATGACAATAAAAAATATGAATATATATATTTAAGCATTATTAGTTTTAACACAAAATGAGTCCAGGCGGACATTTGGAACACACTAATTGATTTTCCTTTCTAGCTCCCTGGCAATTTGTCTTACTTATCTAGATAATCTACTCCAAAACAGTGCTTTACTAAATCATTCCCAACAGCAACAGTTACATCTTCCAAGCCTAGTGTTAAGGCCTCCCATCATCTGGCCCCATCAGCTGCCCCAACCTGCTCTGGGAGACCGGGTAGCAGGTACCCTTGGATAGAGACATCTCCTCTTCTCACGCCTTCTTATCAGGTGATTTTTAATAGGGACCCCCATGAATTTTTTAAGAACAGGACTCATCACACCAGAGGAAACTGTTTAGTATGGGGGCCCCACAGCCCACAGTAGGCAATGGCCCCTAGTCTACCATCTCTGTGCATCTGGCTGGGCCATGGTGAGGGCAGTGGTGCCTGGGGCAGACATCAGCATAACGTGGTCACATTTTGTACTTTAAGAGTTTGTGAACACCAGTCTTAAACAGTGGTATCTGAAATGAAGTCGCCACCCACTGGCCTAAAACAATGCCAGTGAAAAAGAAATGAATTTATGAAGATTGGCCAAAAGAAATGATGAATCCAGTAAAGATTTACAGAGGAAGTGTTTGCAAAGCGAAACTTACATCTAGTCCTCAAATCTGCTGCCTGAGGAAGAGGGGGAGCTGCTTTCTGCTTTCTTAAGCCTTTAGGATCTAGAGCTGGGAGGGGCAGGCAGGAGGAGAGCACAGCCATCTGTGGATCTGTTCAGTGGCGCTCTGTGAACTCTCAAGCAACTCAAAGCTCTAGAGTCTGGTTCTTCTCAATTACCTCAGGACACAGTCAACTTAGTACCTGCTGTCTGGAGCACGCACAGGAGCCCCTGACTCCTTTTTTTTTTTTTTTTTTTTTTTTTTTGGAGATGGAGTCTCGCACTGTTGCCTGGGCTGGTGTGCAATGGCAGGATCTCAGCTCACTGCAACCTCCACCTCCTGGGTTCAAGTGATTCTCCTACCTCAGCCTCCCAAGTAGCTGGGATTATAGGCACCCATCACCACGCCCTAGCTAATTTTTTGTATTTTTAGTAGAGACCGGGTTTCACTATGTTGGCCAGGCTGGTCTCAAACTTCTGACCTCATGATCCGCCTCTGCCTTGGCCTCCCAAAGTGCTGGGATTACAGGCATGAGCCACCGCACCTGGTGCCCGATTCTTCTAAGAACAGGTGTCCCTGGGCAGGTCCTGGCATGGGCACCAGCAAACACTGTCCTGAAGGACTGCATTCAGCAGGCACTTTTGGTGGCCAGAAACTATTTGCTGTGTCTGAGCTTCTGTTCAGTGAAACAGAATAGCTAGAGAAAATAACTAACTACCAGCACATGATCCCTTGAAAATACTGAGGCACATGTGGCCATTTCATTTTAAAGCATGTCAAAGAGCTACAATGGAAGCAAACAGCTAAAAAACATCAGTGACTTGGAAAGTGTTTTAAAAAGTTACACTGTATATGAAATAACTGCTCTCCATTTTAATAACTATAGAATGTCTATCAGTAAACAAGACTAGCAGAGCTCTAAAAGAATACTCAAACACTCCCGAAAAAGGTGTCTTCCAGTGCTTCTACAACAGCGTTTACACAGAAATACAAAGGTTCAAGTCTCCAAATTCAAGGGCATCAAGAAGGCCTGCGCACAGGCTACCCCAGAAGCATCGGCCCTGGTCTAGGGACATCACTGAGACAGGCCAGCAATGAGGCAGCCCACTAGGCAGTAACGGAATTGGTCTGTTTTTTTCTGAAACAAGTTCAGTAAAATATCAGACTTTCTCCCTTCTTTCTGAAATAAAAAATGAATACAAAAGAAATTTGATAGTTTCACTTGTCATTAAGTTAACAGGAAAAGTAAAGCCCCACAACGTGGTCTCCTGGATACATTCTCAGCAATATGGCTTGCAATATGGCTTTCTGGACTTTGAAATTCCGCCTGTATTTCTTGACAGAGACCTGTTTTCTCTCCCAATCTGCCAGACTCATATTTCAGCATGCACCCCTTTTGTGTATTAGCCTGTGAATGATACTCAGTCACTGAAACAATAGAGCAACTTCCAAAGAGAAAATCCTATCTGTTCTGTTCCCAGGTAAGGGGCTGTGTGGAGTGAGTGTCACTTGTCCATCCCAGCCTAACCCTAACCCTAACCTAACCCGAACCTAAACCCTAACCCTAACCTAGGTTAGAGCTGCTGCAGCCGTGCCTCCGGGGTTCTCTCCGTTCTTCCGGCAACAGCACCAGCATGCTCAGTGCTCCAGGATCCTGGGGGGTTTAAACAACACTCAAAAGTGACTGAAACAGTTTCACACAACAGCTGCCAATACTGCAGCAGAGCTTACTGTGAGAACTACAATAATGGACCTTCTCTAAACTTATCTTGTCTAAAAATATAAAAATTCCTTCATTAAGAATGGATAAGGAAAATTTCATATATCATAAAACAATGATCAACATTCTGCAATTCACAGATAGAATCTGGATTTTGGAAGTACTATACTCAAGTGAGGGCCTGTCTCCACAAAAAAAAATCAAAAATTAGCCAGGCCCAGTGGTGTACACCTCTAGTCCTAGGTACTCAGAAGGCTGAGGCGGAAGGATCCCTTGAGCCCAGCAGGTGGAGGTTGCAGTGAATCATGATCACAGGATCATACCACTGCACTCCAGCCTGGGTGACAGAGCGAGACTCTGTCTCCCAAAAATAAAAAATAAAATAAAATAAGAAAAAAGAAAATATCATGCAGTTCTTTTGGGAAATAACATTTCTAGATATATGTGGTGACTTTATTTCCTTTGGGCAATTTCACAATGTGAAATGAGGGTATCAGGCTGCCAATCATACAATATTTGGTATCAGGTTTTACTTGTAATCTACGTAGCTTAAAAACCTCGATTTGATTGAGAAGCTATCCGTGAAGAAAGCATTAACTTCCAGTGAGATTCTTCAATCAGAGGAATGCCTTGGTTTTCAGTCACTCAACATAATGAACAAGCGTGCTGCCCTAAAATTTGCTTCCTGTCTACCCTCTCTCCTTACATTTTTGTACCTTCTTTCAGAAATAAACCCTGTTTTCTAGATACAAAATTGTAGAAATTGTCAATATTCAACCATTTTTGACCTACCAAAATGACAAGTATTCGTGATTTATTAGGAGCAGAGGAAAAGAAACTTTCCAGTGAAAGCTTAAAGACATGGTCGCCAGCTTCCACTGTGAAAATATACACGTCTACACACCTGAGCAACACGCTATCATAGAGTTAAAACTTTTCTTCACCCAGAACAAACCACAAGTTAGAATTTGTCTCAAGTCTACATACTGACCTATGTAAGGACCTCCTTCTTCACCCCCAGCCCCCACATAACGTACTGGCAGGGAGAGGGGAAAGCCTGGCACACCAGCTCTCACCCTGATTGGCTTTTCATTTTTCAGAGACATCTTCAGACAACTTCTGAGGAAATCTCACTGGGCTACTAAATAAGTAGCAAATGCAAGTTAAAAGAATACACTTCAGCTGGCAGCTTCACACATGTGTACCCAGCAATCCCATCCAGAACCGTAAGATCGAATCAACAACCATGCCACCTGGCAGCGAAAAGCTTCCATGTTGTTCAGAACCCGCCTCTTTTCCCCATGAAAAGTTCTTCCTCTTTTGAGGAAGAGTCTGTGCATGTGTGTACATGTCTGTGCATGGCTGTGGTTGTGTGTGTGCATGCATGTATAAAGATAACTAAAATGTTACAGGATTACAACTGATTCTGCAATCCTAAACACCAAGCTCTTTTTCTCCCTCTGGCCAACAATTCTAGCACCTTAAGGAATCACTTAAAGGAAAAAAAAAAAAAAAAAAAGGTATCAGCTGCTTTTAAACACAAGTCAAACTGCTTAAAATAGGCCCAATTTATAAATCATGAGAGATGTAAATTCTTGAGCCCCACCCTAGAGCAGAGTCTGACACTAGAGCGGGTGGGGGAGGCACTCCCTGGCAGGAAGGGCCGAGAGCCCCTGCAGAGCCTCAGTGAGCCTGCTAAGCATTTCTGTATGGAACGGTGTGCAGGACTGGCCCATGGGGCTCCCCTCTACACACAGGTCATTGTGTGACCAACCTCCTGTTGGAAATAGGGCGCCTGAAGCCTGCACACGATTCCAGCGGTGGGCTGAGTGGTAAAGAAAGGTTCACAACAGTGCTCTGGGCAACTCCAGCCCGCACCGAGTTTTCTGCCCCATTTCAAGTTTTCATCTATTATCATAACATGCTGGGTCTTCCTGGACACCAATTCTGGCACTTCCCCTGAATTTCAACGTTTGGGCTCTCCTGCACATCCCGGGCGCGTTGCTCCTTTTGCTCTGGTTTAATTTTAAAACGTCTCCTGACCTCTCCTTTTCCCTTTTCACTCCTGGTTGTCCCATCTTCCCTGTCTTACGCATGCTTCTCCTCTAAAGCACAGACAAGCTCTGTGTTCTCACACAGGTCTCTTCAATCCTCCTCCTCCTTTTGGAATGATTAACAACCGTGTTCTCAGAACCCTGTGGGAGAGCCTCCAGTTAACTAGCTTTTCCGTTGTGGCTTCCCATCATGTGCCCACACACATCTGTTCTTTAAGCCTGTGACGTGGGCTTTTCTGGAATCCGTGTCTGACACTGCTTAGTGTTTTCTTTCTCAATTGTCCAAACTTCAAAACAACTCAGCTGCTCACTCAAGATTCCAACATTTTCTACTTCACCAACCAGGCCTTCCTGCAGTCAGAACCAGACGTAAAGGGGCTGTCTTCTCGGTGATCCACTTTATCTTAGAAGCAGAAGCAGAATCAGTCAGTCAGACGCCGAGATGATCCCACCTTCCACCGAGTTCACAGGGCCTCCATGGTGGGCTGAGATCCGCTCTGCAAAGGGCAGATTCTTCTCTGAGCGGTACTCTCTACATTTCCATGCCTACCCCCAAATCAGCAGCGTCAGGGAGAGGCTTCTGCACTGCATCTCCGAGGGCTCTCCTCAGCAGCCTCTGGGGGACGGCAGCCCCCCTGGCCTTGGGAGCAAAGCTGACTCGGGAGAAGTCGGTCACTAGGGCCCAGCCAGGGAGGCTGTGCGCCCACTCCCCTTCTTCCCGCTGCTTTAATGTGCTTTCCCGCAAGAAACACAGATGACGGTTTCTTGCTTCTTTCAGTTCCTTCCAGATGACACCCAGGAAGAACGAAAGAGTTCCTATGTGGTTTATGAGTAGACAGAAAAAAAAAATATCTAGTCTTCGAAGAATCAAGTTCTTGTCAAGTTACAATTTCTGAAACATGGTTACAGTTCGAAACTTTTTGGAAGACCATCTTCTGGTTATGACATTTCTACGAAATCTTCTCATTCTTCCTCACTGAGTCTATAGATAAATGTCTTTGAAATGGACTTTCTGGAGAGGCTTATTAATGTAGTTTAAGGAAGTAAAACACTAATCTGAGAACAAAACTGGCTACCACATCACTGCTACACTGAGAAAAGTTCTCAAATTCCATGGGTTTAAAAAGTATAGTTAACATGCAGTGACAGCCGGGTGCGGTGGCTCACACCTGTAATCCCAGCACTTTGGGAGGCTGAGGCGGGCGGATCACGAGGTCAGGAGATCAAGACCATCCTGGCTAACACAGTGAAACCTCGTCTCTACTAAAAATACAAAAAATTAGCCAGGCGTGGCACGCGTCTGTAGTCCCAGCTACTCGCGAGGCTGAGGCAGGAGAATCGCTTGAACCCGGGAGGCGGAGGTTGCGGTGAGCCCAGATCGCACCACTGCATTCCAGCCTGGGCGACAGAGCGAGACTCCGTCTCCAAAAACAAAAACAAAAAATAACATGCAGTTACTAGAATCTTCTAAAATTAAAAGGCCCAAAGGAATGAATATAGGTCCTCCTGGTGTAGACACCACCTGGCATTACACCAGTGAACACTAGGTGGTGCCATATCCCAAAGAGACAGAGACTCGACACTATTCCAAAACATTTAGGATAAAAAATATTTGTGGCTCACGCCTGTAATCCCAGCACTCGAAGGAAATGGAAGCAAATGGAAGGAAAAAGAGACCATTTAAGAGGTCTATACAAACCCACGGTACAAAATGCAAAATTCAATTTAAAAGACAAGACAGAAATTAGCTGGTTTGGCAATGACTCCAAGCATATTCTCACAATGTAGGCTCTGAGCCTCACTCAATGCTGTGAGAAGCAAACAGTACTTGCTGTTCAGGTATGGATCTTGACAACTCGATCACACTCAAAAATATTCAAGAAAATGATCAAGACTACACAGGATGAAGCAAAGTCCACAAAAGTAGCAGGTGACATATGAAAACAACAGTGCAACCCTTCTGCCCACAGGGAAGTGCAGATCGCCCCAAAGACAGGAGGACCAGCAGGACACTGGGCCACACACGTGAGGCCTCGCCAAGCGCACCCATCTGTGGCTCACAACAGACTAGGCTCAGGGTTTTTTCATCTGGACTCACTGCTACACAGTTACTGGACCAGAATTCTCCATCACCATTTATTTTGAGAATCTCAGATTAGGATAACCACATTTTAATCCATCTAAAATGCTCTAGTGTCTACCGTGTTCCTGCAAATTAATCCAGATTATGATCAATTGTTTTGAAATATCCTTAAACATACACTGTACGCTTCTAATAGCTGATGAAGTATTCCTAACTGCACCACTAGGGAGCCCGCTCTATCACAAACAGAAGCCAAGGCTTTGGGTTAACTTTCCATTACTACACACCAATAAAAATGAAACCTATCTCCCCAGGAAGCCAGTAATGAAGATGGCAGCAATTAAACCCAAGTAACATGTATGTTTCTGGAAGAGTTTTCATCTATTCATTTTTAGGAACTGTCAACAGCAGATGGAGATCTAAAACATGTACATTAATTACCCGTATCAACCCTAGTGTTAACATGTTTCCAAATCCACCCATGAAGCTAGAGGCTGTAAGAGATTCTTGAAAGAAAGCACTTTGGACTCCTCAGAACTCTGACATGTACTCTGTGCATCCAAAAATGTCTTATTTCCAAAGTGCTCTGCCCCCAGACACACCAGATCCCACCACGGGACGCACGGTGCGTGGCAATGGCAACAATGGGCACCACAGGTGGCACCTGACGGGGAGGCCAGAAATCGGACTGAACAAGCAGGTAGCTTCTTCGCTGGGTCAGCCTACAGAGACCAGGAGTTTCCGTGGAAAACCCTGTTTCCAGTGGACCTGGAACTGTGTTCCTTTTCATGCATCTCATTTGCAGCCAGCTCAGCAGGCATGTTTCAGCATTAGAGTTAGCCAGCTTTAAATTAAGAGATGAAGATACAATCCAAGATACTGTCATATTTGTAAAATCTAAACCAAGTCACAGCTATTTAGCACATGAAGCTATTTCTGGAAAGCAAGGAAAAGAAGGCTAAATACTTTAAAATGTAATGTTATTACAAATAAAACAAGTCATTTGATAGAACAAAAAATTTTGTATGTATGTGTGCAAGTGTGAACCTTCTATGACAATTAAAAGGATCTCAAAGGATAATCTGTTCAGCTGGGGTATTTATTTCTTAAAATTTATAACTAAGAATCTGAAAATTTCAAAATAAACGTTTGAGGCAAATGTTCTGATACTAAGTATGCACAACAGGTTATTTGTCTTACTTCCCAAGTATTATTTTAATATGAAGTAGCCAACACAAAGGGCACTGTGTTTTAAATCAAGAAATGATTTTGTCTTGGGACACAACTACCCGTGGCACAGATGCCACCCCCAGGCGGCTACCTGAATGGGTCCCACTGACATCAGCAGGCTCTTCAGCTGGGCATCCGTGGTGGACGAGGACAGCCCCTCCACAGACACCACGCAGGGCTGGGGCTTGCACTCCACCACCCGCAGGTTCTGCTTGTTTGGCATCAGGCGCCCCCGGCCCATGGGACCGGCCACTCCTCTGCCTCGTCCGTGCATGATGGCCTGGTGACAACAAAGGAAATACATTCAGAGTTTCAAGCCTGAGCTTCTTCGATAGTCACTAAGATATAAAAGTGAACAAATAACTTAGAATCCATTAAAATATACCATGAGCTACAGGATTTTCTGTAGTTTTCTATCCACTATCAGAGAATGTTTTAATAGCTAAATGAGACAACTATATCCAGCAAGTTTAAGTGTAGGCGGAGGAAGAGGAGGGAGCTGACGAAGCCTGCACCTCTCCAGGGGCCACACGCTTGTGCTCGGTGGGCACTCTGTGTCATCATCATTCTGTGTAGATCAGGCACCCGTCAGGGCTGAGAAACTTGCTGCAAATGACAGTTCAGAATTTGGATCCTGTCCTGAGAGTCCCAGAGCCCCCATTTCTCCTAGTGTAGTATAGGCTGGTTTAAGCAGGACCTGCTGTGCACAGTGCTAAGTCCACCTTACAGTCACAACAAGCCACAGCATCATGTACCTGACTCCGCTGGCAGAGACTACATTTGCTACCCTGAAACCCTCCCAGGCAGATTCTGCAACCAGAAATTCAGCCGTGGCTGCACATTTCCATCGTCTGCAAGCTTTTCAAAAGAAACAAAACACAATTGTGACTGAGGACCCAGGCACTCCCCAAGTATGATTCTGCTGGTCTAAGGCGGGCCTAAGCATTATTATTTTTAAAAGCTGCCAAGGGTTCAAAACTACTGCTCAAGGAACTTTTAAAGAAGAGGAAACTGCTGAACTTTCCCACACTTTCTCCAGATTAGAAAGTCAGAGAGAACATATGTGCCCAATGTAGCCTAGGACAGCGGTGAAGCGCAGAAGGCAGGGTGGTGATGGACGGCACTAGGTTTCCAGATGGCCTACCCGAATCCTGTTGGGGAGTTCGGGCAGAATGCAAAAGTGGCCTCCCAGTCCATCACAGAGAAAGGCAGAAAGTTAGGTGGAAACTGGAATAGAACCTCAGGACTTGAGTGTGCACGCACACAAAAGGAAACGAAGAGAAAACCTCCACATTTCTTAGTACTCTGAAGAAGGCAGCAAAACTATGCCTGTGAATTAAGTTTTAAAACAGTTGCAAGGGGTTATTTCAAGAGAAACCACACTGGAAAATGCACATGAGAAGTTGCAAGTTACAGTTACCCTGGCTGGAAATCAGTAGTAACTAACTAGTCTTCTGTTCTAACTAGAGTAAGTTATGATATTAACAATAATATCTCTAACAAATGCCTACTTATATACACCAGGCACCAGGTTTTTTTAAATGCATCTTCTTATAAGATGCTCAGAATTGCTTAAGTAAGATAGGAAACATCATGACCCTCAGTCACAGGAGCATTTACATTTAAGTTGAAGAAACTCAAGTGTGCTGTGCGTGTGCGCGTTATGGAGGGTGTTTCTAAGGCCTTTCTCATCATATATTCAGGGATGGCACCTGAAGGAAGAAAATTCAGACCACAGCGATCTTTAAAGAAATCCATCACTTTAACACTGGCGTTATCACTGAATCTGTCTACACATCTGTTTTCTAGTACAAAATGGAATTTTGTTTGCTCTCATATCATGAAGTGTTTATGAGATAAGACGAAGTAACTTAAGTACTTCAAAAGGAGCCAGAATAGTCTTAATAGTGACACTACTTCTAAAGTGACGAGATGACGAGGGAGAATGAGCGGGCAGACTTGCCGTTCTCCAGAGCGCAAAGCAGGGCTGCGCCCAGGTCTCCCTCTGCATAGCTCCACCCAACAGGTGCTACTGGCTTCTGCACCAAGAGGGCACTTCACTCTCAAGACTCTGGGGAGCCAGAAAGATGCCTCACTAGAAGCTGAGGGGAAGGGCGCTCTGTCACTTGCGTACGTGACAGGATGTGCTCCCAGTGCACAGACGGCCACTCCAACAGAAAGGGGGATGGGGAGCACCCTTGCTTCCTGCCTCACAGCCTGAGCTCAGAGAAGCTCCTTCCAATCCCCAGGGTTAAGGGAAGGATTAAGCAGCTGGGAACTGTGGCCTAGAGCAAGTTACTTCATTTCTAAAGACCTCAGTTTCCCCTGTCTCAACTGGGGCCATGAGCATGCACTTGATTTCACATTTGTAAAATTTCTGGTGAGTCAGTGAACACAGGAAGGAAAGCATGCTGACACGCAGCAGCAGGCGCTGTCCCGAGAGCACAGCAGATGCTGCTGGGTCGACAGTTCAGAGCGGCAGGAAGCAATCGCACTCCTGGCTGGCTGCGGGTGCTCTTCTGGGTTTGCTCTGTGAAATAAGTCAGGAGAGGAAAAGGCTTTGGTGAAAATGTTAACGCGTTTTCAAAGCCAGAACAAAGGAAATGATGGTTCACTTATGAATGTGAGTACTACTGTGTGCCATGCGCTACAAATTAGAGCACGTCTGAACACTGCCTCACACCGGCCTTCGCGTTTCCAGGGCTGCGTGCGAGGCAACAAGCAGTACCTTCTTCGCCGGGTGAATTCCTTGGATGCTTTTGATCCCTGGAGGGACAGGCGAGTGTGCGTGGGGCCCCGCTGGCAGATGTGGGGGCTGCTGGAGGCCCCCCCTGGTCAGCGTCACCTTGCGGGCAGGCTGTGGTCCCACTTCCGGAGGCTGGGGAAGCCGCTGGGGCTGGCCTTCTGGGTGAAAAAAGCCATCGCTCTCTCCTCCCTGCTGAAACCAAGAAGGCAGCACGTTGTTCAGTGTCTGCTCCACCAAAAGCTCCTCCCCAGCATTAGGAAGCCCACCTCAGCCAGTGTTCACCCACAAAGCAAAACCATTTCAAACAAGTGTGACTCGAAACTTGTCATTTCACTAGAGCCAGTAAGGACATTTCTCATTGGAGAGTGGTCAGGTTCTAACAATATGTTTGAAATTTCAAACACTAAGATGCCCTTTAATTACTATATTCATATAAGAGATCTGCGATTAAAATAAATGTTGTCGAATTCCGTGAAATACTGGTTATTTTCAAAATACTTCATATCCAACACGCATTTTCACTTTCAGCATGCATTATTCACTTTCAAGAGCATTCTTGTTAAAATGTACAGTTTGCATGAGCAGTGGTTTTAAACTCTTAACTCCTATTCCAACCTACCCTAAGAAGGCAATGAGCCCAACTCCTGCTGGTTGCGACTGTAAGTCTTCCAAACCCATCACGGCGCCTTCCACCCCCTGTGGATACGTGAACTTCAAATACTCTGACCTCTCCAATGCAGTGCTCTGAAGCGCCGAAGAGCATCACAAAATACTGGCTAGAAACTTCCCTTCCTTCTGCTGAGTTACAAGTGCCATTAGCAACTACAGAGTACGTGGATTTCCAAGAAGCGCATTTACTCTACGAAGAACCTTAGAAATATCAGGAATCTTATCTTTTGTGTTTTATTAACAGTCTGTTCATCGATCAGGAGGCACGTACACCTTGGAACTGCACCACCAATGTTGTTCATACGTCCAGGCAGCATAAACATGTCTTAGGGTGGTGCCTATCAGCTGCTTTCAGTACTGAGTAGTCTTTTTCCCAAAGAACAGCTGAAGGCTGGGAAAGAACAGCAAGGACGGCAGACACCGCCCTGATGAATTATGTCAGGATGGATGCTTGGACTTGAAAAGGAAGACGGAGGCTTTTATTAGCACGAGGCCCACTCTCAACATCGACAGGGAGGGAGTGTCAGTCACGGGATAGTAAACCCTCCCCACAGGGTGCTTAGCTGTGCCAGTGTCTCCAGGGGCAACCTGGTCAACCAGCTCAGAAGCAGCCCACATATCCTTGTGTCCCGCTCTTCCTACCAAACGTTATCTTGTGGAGACCAAACGGAACAAAGGGCTCTGCAAAAAGAAGGAACATGGGATTGGGGCAAGATGGATGTAGCTTGTTTCTGCTAAGACTGTACAAAGAAACAGGGACTCAAGAAAAGATGAGATGAAAAATGTCACACAGGAATACGTGGCATGAAAATGTCTGCAAATCTTCTCTCTCCAAAACAAGTGTAAGCTGGACAAAATTTTCCAAAACAACATTTGAGGACTCTGGAAATCAAAGAAAATGAAAAGAATGGAGAAGCACTTATTCCTGAGCTGTGAGGACAGTGCAGTGTGTGGCAGCTCCATCAGCACAGAGCCGAAACTCAGTAAGGCCTGAAGTTCCCCAGCAGCACTGGCCATACAGCACCCTCAGAGGGAAAGGCACAGGGAAGCCCATGGGTCTGTGGGCCTCTGGTCATGGTTCAGTTTGGAACAGGCAGCACACCAGCCAGAAATCTGAGAAACCTAATGAGGAAATTCCAGAACGGAAAGTGCTAGAGAAGGCCTAGATGGGCTCTCCCCACATGGCTGCCTGGGAAGCCCCAACCCACACACAGATAACTGGCCATGGGGGGCCATGCAGGGTCCAGAGACCTGAGCACAAGCTCATCCCAGGCGCTGGCTGGCCACTAAGCTACGCAGCAGTCGGGTCAACCCCTAGGAAGCTAGGCTGAGAAATAAAAATAATACAAACACTGAACAAAAAATATTTAAACTGAATGGAAACAAAAATACAACACATCAAAATTCAGGGGCTGCAACTTAAGCAATGACATCAAAAAGGAAAAACATCTAAAATCAGTCATTTGAGTTTCTACCTCAAGAAGCTAGTCCCCCGTCCTCAAAAAAGGAAATCAAACCCAAGTAGAAGGAAGGAAAATGATAAAGATGACAGCGAAAAGCAACGGCATGGTAAACAGAAAAAAGACAATCTGTGAAACCAAAAGTTGGTATTTTGAGATCAGCAAAAAATTGATGCTCCTTTAAGGATACTGACCAAGAAAAAAGGAAAGAAGATGAATTACCAAAATAAGGAAACAAAGAGGGATCACCGCAATGGACCCTAAGAAATTTAAAAAACATTACAAGCAACTTTACATCAACACACTAGACAATTTACATGAAATGAGCAAATTCAACGAGACACAAGTACCAAAACTGACCGAAAGAGAAAATACGAATAGAACTCTAAGAAGTAAAGACAATGAATTAAAAACCATTCACAAAGAAAAACAAAGACCCAAATAGCTTCACCAGTAAGTTTTACCAAATATTTAAGGAAGAAAGACTACCAAGCTTACGCAATCTCTTTCAGAAAACAGAAAAGGCAGAAGCACTTCCCCACTCATTCTTTGGGCCTGGTATTACCCTAATACAAGGCCAAAGGCATCAAAAGAGAAGACAACTGCAAAAGAATATTCCTCATAAACATACATGAAAAAAAATCCCCAACAGAATATTAGCAGACTAAATCTAGCAACACGGAAAAGGGATCACACCTCATGACCAGGTAAGATTCATCCCAGAAGCGCAGGGCTGGTTTAACACCCCCCCGGTTAACCAAGGGAACACACTACACAAAGGAAAGGACCGTGTGTATATCTGCTATCGTCCAGCCAGGGCTGCGGGTGACTGAGCCAGATGGGTTCTCCCACCTAACGCTCTATGACTCTACCATTTGAATTATCATCGCCTGAAACGTGCGATCTTACTGGGAGTCGCTCCTGTCTTACAGGGGCTACCCCCAACCCCCACATGAAAATGGAAGCACTGTGAAAAGGCAGACCGCTCGCAAAATCCAAAGTCAGGCTGGTAGTTTGTGCCTCTTAAATCTTCTCCACAAGGTCTTCTACCCAAGGTGTGAGTAGGTATCCCACCAGGCAGGGAGGGCCTATACTGAGTACACAATTTTTCAGTCTGTATCTTAAAAAACTATGTGAATTCTCTCTAGTTTTATACATGCTTGAAATTTTCTATACTAAAAAGTTTTAAAATTTAAAAATATATACCACATACCCTCATCTTTCATGAGAACCAGTGACCATTAATTTATCCAAAATCCTATTGCAATGTTGTTGCCTGACAGTACAATCTTAGTATGAGATTCATAAATTCACTATGCACGTGTTCAGCTGTACTGCCACTGAAAACATTCCTCCTCTTTACAAGCGCGAACACTTCACACCAACCTCCAGGTCCCATGAGGGCCCATGTTAGGTGGAGGGGACATCAGACCACTCAGTTCTCCACACAACTCAGCAACCCAACAGTCTTACTGACTGTGATTCTCCAACTTCTACCCTTTCCACTAACGTGGGCAAATGCATGGACTGTGGAAGGTTTGCTCTCTAAGAAGGACTTCCATCGTATGAACTTAAGCAATCTAAATCAGCTCCCTGGTAGCTTAACCAACTAGGTCTCCAAGGATGCCGACCACAACATTTGCTGTCTTGTAAGTGCTTGAGAGAAGCCAGTGGTTTAGACCCCAGTGAATCTCTTGTTCAGCTTACCAAAATGTCTCATGCACACAGAAGGCACTGAAATATTTAGTGAATAGATCAGTAAATAGTTGCCTGTACTTTTTAAAGTTAAGTAGTTCTGAATGTGCTAAGAGAGATTATAGCATCAGAATACTAGGTTACAGCCACTGTCAATCAGTACACACCTATTTACTACACCACTAAGATAATAAAAGGCCAACTTTCAGCCCAGCAACATGAAGTGTCACGTGGCAGAAAGAGAGGCGACAGTACCTTTGGCCTGGAGGGAACGATGTTCACAGAACATGACGGACAGCAAGACGAATGCTCTGGCCGGTTTCCCTGGCAATCCAAAGCTTGAAACAAGATGGTCTAGAGAGGAAACTTTAACAACAATAGGTGGCACCAAAAGGAGGATGTTATTATTTGCATGTTGTAAGGTATACAATGTGTATGTGTACTTGGGTGATAAACACATAACACTGTAGTAATTTGATAATTTTTAAACTGTGCTTTGGGAGGCCGAGGCGGGTGGATCACGAGGTCAGGAGATCGAGACCATCCTGGCTAACACGGTGAAACCCCGTCTCTACTAAAAATACAAAAAAAATTAGCCGGGCGCGGTGGCGGGCGCCTGTAGTCCCAGCTACTCAGGAGGCTGAGGCAGGAGAATGGCGTGAACCCGGGAGGCGGAGCTTGCAGTGAGCCGAGATCGCACCACTGCACTCCAGCCTGGGAGACAGAGCGAGACTCCATCTCAAAAAAAAAAAAAAAAAAAAGAACATAAACATTGAGTCAATAAATACCCCGAATAAGAAAAAGTTCTCTTCATCATTATTTTGGGTAAGAGACTGGTGAAAATTTATGTCTGGTGACATTAACGTCAGATAAGAACTCTGAAAAATAAATTTCTAAACTTTTATTTTCCATTGAAGGAAAGTTTATTTTTTAAGTAGGCTTGATCTCTATTTAAAGTTCAGAAATACAGGTATTACAAAAAGCCTTTCTCTTCCTCATCTGTTTCAAAAAAACTAAAATTTCCTTATGCAGATCTTGTAACATAAAGAAAGGGTCCTGATGTGATGGTGTCATACCTCGTTGACGACTTTCTAAGAAATGGCCTGAAAAGACAGGAATAAGGCCTGTGATGAGACAGTCCCTGCAGACAGAGACCTCACCTCCTAGTGCCACCTCTGCTCATTCCGTGGGGCCGGGTGGGCCTTCCTGGGCCTGCCGCTGCACCCCTCCCTGCTTGGGAAGCTCTTGGGCCCAGACTGACAGACTCTTCGGTCCCAGTGGCAGGTTGGGATGCAGCTACTTGGTTTTTCTTCCCAGTGGGTCTGGCTCTCGGTGGTCTCTTGCTTCCTGGAGGCATGTGCACCACAGTGTCCTCAGGGCAGGCAGACACCAGAAGACACAGAAAGTGGGGTGCTTCAGAGTCTTGTGATGCCGACTACCCAACTTTCAAGGAAAGACTCTTCCTACAAACCTGCTCAGCAGAAAGAAGCCCTGCCTGGGTAAGCTCTGGAGCTGCTTATATCCAAGACAAGTTTTTGTACCTTATACAGCAGGGGTCCCCAACCCTCACTACCAGTCTGTGGCCTGTTAGGAACTGAGCTGCATGCACCGCAGGAGGTGAGCAGCAGGCAGGCAAGCATTACTGCCTAAGCTCCGCCTCCTGTCGGATCAGCAGCGGCATTCTCACGGGAGCATGAATCCTACTGTGAACTGCCCACGCGAGGGATCTAGGTTGCCAGCTCCTTATAAGACTCTAATGTCTGATGATCTGAGGTGCAACAATTTCATCCTGAAACCATTCCCCACCGCCAACCCCAGTCCACGGAAAAACTGTCTTCCAAGAAACCAGTCCCTGGTGCCAGTAAGGTTGGGGACCCTGTTATATAGCAACAAATGATATCATAAAACTTTATAATGGAAATTTTCAAGGCACTCCTGGGATCTTAATCATCAAGAGTTTTGGTATTATTCAATATATTCACTTAGTACTGGCAGTGAAATAATCCATAGCTCATATCTGTTGAATGTCTACAACAGGACAAGAAAGGTACTAGGGTCCGTACAGACATTGTTTTCCTTCAGTCCTCCTGATGGAGTTTTGGTATTTTGTCCCTCCCCAAATCTTCTGTTGAAATGTATCCCCAGTGCTGGAGGTGGGGCTTAGTGGGAGGTGTTTGGATCATGGGGCGGATGACTGTGAATGGCTTAGGCCATCCCCTTGGTGATAAGCAAGCTCTGAGTTCACAAAAGATCTGGCCATTCAGAGTGCATGGCACATGCCCCGCCCCCCACCCCACACCACCATGCTCCTGCTTTTGCCATGAAATGCGCCTGCTCCCCACTCTGCATTCCACCATGATTGGAAGCTTCCTGAGGCCTCCCTAGAAGCCAAGTAGATGCCGGCACCATGCTTCCTGTAAAGCCTGCAGAACCCTGGGCCAATTAAACCTCTTCTCTTCATAAATTATCCAGTCTCAGGTATTTCTTTATAGCAGTGCAAGAACTGCCTAATACACCTCCCTAAGAGGTAAGTAGTAGTATCCTCATTGTGCCCATTAAACAAACTTCAGTCACACAATAAGCGCTGGAACATCTTTGTGGCTCCAAAACCAGGGGAGGAGTTTACACTAACATATTTTGAAACTATTTTCAGACAGAGTTGAAACAAACGGGATCAACAATTAAATCACTTTAAATGAAGGGCTACTATAATGCTGTGCTTCTGAATTTTTCTGAAGATCATGCTAAGCAATGAAGGCTTGAACATAAGTAAAAGGTTGTTTCATTTTGTAAGAAAAAAATGAATTTTTTTTTCTAATTAAAAGAACAATTATTCCCTTTTGACTTAGCATGAGGAAAAGCTAATTCTACAGAACAGTTTCAAGTTCCCGGGTTTTACTCCAGTTCACACTAGAATGTGAACTAGCATACACATTCCTAGGTTGTGGCCAGGAGCGTAGTTTGGATCAGGTGAACAACTTCTACCCATGGGTCAAATTCTCCCATTGACTCTTCGATTCAACTTGTCCCTTTGGATTCTGTTGATCACATTCAAATTTTACTTTATTAGTGGTTTTGTTTTTGAGAAAATTTTCATTTCACCTTTCCCAATGGACAGACGTTTATTTCAAGGTACACTTCAGCCCATACTGTGGTTGACACTACAATCTCTGTCAAGAAGTAGGCAAGCGTTACTCTGAATGGCATCTAATACAGCTTGGTGGTCCTAATCATTACTTGTAAACTGACAAGTCCTATTTTAGCCACAAAATCAGGTATTACAACAGCCATGCTGGGGAAAGGAAAATATGGGTTTTGATACTACCCAGATACCACAGATGCTACCCACCACCAAGCTACCCGGCTATCTGGAAACTGCTGGTGACGTTTCTGCCCAAATTTTGCTGCCTACTTTGCAACTTGTGCTTTCGCCTGGGGTTTTACCATTCACTCCAACTCACGGGCGGCACACAGTGACATTCGGCCTCTCCTGGGTTTCCAACGTGCTCAGATTAAACATCACGATCCCAGC
This sequence comes from Homo sapiens, assembly GCF_000001405.40. NCBI lineage: Eukaryota > Metazoa > Chordata > Mammalia > Primates > Hominidae > Homo > Homo sapiens. The sequence goes on along the minus strand of NC_000007.14, from coordinate 155,756,644 downwards.
TACCATTTCATGTCATCTCTCAGAACAAATAGCAAGCAGAGTGCACCACGAGAGGAGTGAACTGCAACGCGCTAGACTCACACTTGGCCCAATTTATATGGCAGGATCAATGTGGAAACAACGCTTTCAATTCCCTTTTACTGCATATACCAAAACAACTTCCTGATTTTGACTTTTGATTTTAGTATGTTGTAGTACAAATATCCAGGAACAAATTCTTCAACTGATTACATCTGAGAAACAAATTGATTACATATTTTTATACCTATACTCACACATACAGACAAGATTTGAATAAGAACCAAGCCAAATTAAATCTACCCATTTATTTATAAGTCTTCTATAAGGTTATAGTTATGCATATAATTACAGCATTGAAAGAGATCCTAAAATTACTAGTACTTAGTTAAGTAAATTTTAAAATACTGTTGATTCAAATTGAATTTTAGAAGGCTGTTATCTTAACATCCACATATAAGTGTTGTATGTGGGTGACAGACTATACATTCTATTCATAAAAAGTATGTTTGCTTTGAAACTGAATTTTCCCAGGGTGGTGTTCGCTTTTTAACTCTTCAAACAACACTAGGTTCAGACAGCATTTTAAATATCTTCTACTTCCTCCAAAGCACATGAGAGAGAAAAGAAGTTTTGTCATCTCTGGTCAAACCAGAAACATTTTTTTCCCACAAATGATTATCTTTTAATGCTATAAAAATCGCTTTTTAGACTAGTTTTTTTTGTATATTTATAAAAGGCACTATTTGAATTAAGTAAGCTTAGGGAATACTTTTTATCAGCTTAATCATTACAAAAAAAAAGAGGTCTGTAGCCCCCAACATTAGCAGGACAAATTTATTTATAACAAATCGTTTAAATGCATAGATAAAAACACCTACTGATATTGTCAGGGCTTCCTGCAATTTGACAGATCAAATCTTATTTTCACTCTTAAACCCCATGAAGAAGTGCTATCACTGACTTGCATTCACTAGCAAGCAAATTGATTAACCCCCTCTATAGAAATCTCAACTCTTGATTATACCTATCAGACGCTAAGCAGCATTATTCTAGAGTGACAACACTTGACAAATTCCCCAACCATTTTTCTCAGCCTTTGTGGCCCTGCTAACTTGTATTAACCCTGATGAAAAATTAATTTTCCTTATCTTCTTCTAAACCCCAAAATCCAAATCCGCCAAACTGGCAACTCTTTCTGTAAAGGTATTATGAAAACCTCTAAAAGATTAATTGCATGTCTTCAGGTGACATTAAATTAATTTCTGTACTCATGACAGACATTTGATACTCCATACTGAGAGGACAGATAACATTGTCAGGACACACAGAAGGACAGGGGTGTAGTGTCCCAGGGCAGCCTCTTATGAATTCTCCTTTCGATAAGGCCATACTTCACTGTCACCGCCAATGTTGCTGATCTTACAGTCCAGAGACCTCACTGAACAGGTTTCTATTAACTACAACAATGCTGGGCCTATCCCTGTAATCTTTATAAAGCTCACTCAAAATGTGGACAATAAATGATATGCATGCTGTACGAAGTTTCTAAATATAAATACATTTAGGGCTTCTCATTTTTTTCTCTGAAGACTACTGGATTAAAGAAGAGGGGGTAAAAGAAAATATTAATAAACAGGCTCACATTCTCTTTCTTCTCTGCAATGAATTATCCTCATGAAATAGTAAGCATGCAAAACATGGGGAGCACTTACATCTAAAATACTGCCTATCTGGAACTAGGTCTACACAGGCAGAATTAAAACCAAATCCGTAAGGTTAGAGAGACCAGGTTGGACAGACCTCCTAACTACCAAGCTTCATGAAAGAAAAGGGTTCTCTTAGCACATGCATTTGACTTTCTAGTACGGTATGGTGAGAACGTGGCACAGTTATTCAAGTGCTTGCTCTCTCTCTTAACAGTCTACCTTTCTGACATTAGCTAGGCCTGGGGAGATCTTTAAAAAGCAAGATTAGCTGACCTTTGAAGGAACAAACCAAAGCCTTGAGCCTCTGAGGGGATCTCATACCCCAGGATTCTCCAATTTCGACAGCACAAATCTACCAGTCTAAAAAGTAAAGGATTACTAAAGTAAGCCAGGCACCTCCAGATGCTGTGGCTTATGAGGCAGGGTGTGAAGTCTAGCTCTTCCAGCCACACAGTCCCTCACAGAGGGGTGCAGCCCCAGGCTCTGAAAAGTGGCCCTTCCACCCTGCCCTGGAAGAGTGGCTCCAAAGGACCTGCTCTGTAGCACTGAGCAAGTTCTGCAGAACAGGTGACCAGGATCCTACCTGGGTAGGCTGTTGAAAGTTAGGGGAGGGAAGTTACCTAAGACATTGAAGAAAGCAGATTCCCCTTCTGGCTGGGGTGGGTGAGTGAGCTAATCCTGATTCCTAGCTGAAGGTGAATTATTTCTGACTCACCTGCTAATTTTACTCCCTAACATCATACCCCTAAAAAAATCATAAATTAATGAGTATGGAAATTCTTATGTGTTCAAAATGATTTATGTCCTCTAATGACCAATGGTCTATCTTGCCATGTTTAGAGGCCACATGATTAAGAATGCTTAAAAAGTAGTCTCCTTGGAAATTATCAATTCTGCCCACACTAAGACATTTCAAAGCTCTTAAAAACAAGTATTCATGCACAACTGTTTCTCCTCCAAAAGGAAGATGCTAGACTGTACGTCTTATCAAATAAGTGATTAATCAGGATTCTGTATGCCCTATTTTTCTTTCACTCTTTTGCTATTTGCCTGTTGGCCATTTTACCACTCATTAGCACCTTTAAACAAATGAGGTCAAACTCCACCCAGCCAACTTGGCAGGCATGAGGTGCCTGCCCCGCGCCTCCACGCTCCTCCCCTGCCCCAAGCACCTGAATGTGCATCTCTCGTGGCCCCCACCTCTGTGTCAAAAGCCATTTACACTCAGTCTCCCTTCCTGCCTAGTCTTCCCAGAACTGGCCTGTTGGAAATCCACCTGCAGCTCTGCCCTTCTCATGGGCAAGTTCAGACTGGGAACCCTACTTCTGAGTCGCTTCTATCTGGCCCCTCTCAGCTCCTCCTTAGCTCTGCTACTCATCCACTCCCAGGCGCTGCCAGAGATCATCCTAGGAAGTCACCTTCTGCCAGAAATCAAGCGACCAGAACAGCGGCATCCTCCTGTCCGGGACCTTAGAGGCTAAAAAACGTGGGTTCCCCTGAATGACACTCACAAGGTGGAGGCTCTGCCTTTGCATGGGTCTTCACCACAAACAAGTTACCACTGCAGATTTGCCACTTAACACAATTCAAACAGCAGCAAAACAGGATGTGAAATATCCCATTTTGCAAATCTAGAAAGGAGGACTTTCAGGAGGCAATAATAAATTTTTGCAGGAAATAATGCCCAGAAGAATTAGTAATGATTCATGCTTTTTGTCTTTTTCCAAATTTTGCTTACTTACTGGTATCATCTAAATGTCAACAGAAACAACTACTACTTTTATCATCAGAAGTACTGGGGAAAGGGGTAAGAACACTGCTAATTCCTCCTTTGCTATGCTTCAGTAAGAGAGTGCAAGCCATGTTGCCATTTTTAACACAGTATTTAAATATCTTAAACATTTATAATGTACCTGAAACTGCCTTACATCCTGGACACACAAAAAAAGACCAAAACCCCACTCAGGTAAGTAGCAGTAACATCAGGAGCCGGCTCTGAAAACACACGGTCAGATGAGAAGATCGGGCTGCAGAAGAGGAACAAAGAAAGGACGAACCAGTGTGCGTGGGAGCGGCCATCCAGGGAGGCGTCCCAGAAGACGACCCACTTGAGCTGCATCCAAAGTAATAAGTGGGCCAGAGGCATGAAACATGGCACCTCCAGAGAAGGAGCAGGAGTGACAGTAGCAAATTCTAACCCCAACCGAAGTGCTGAGGAATTTCCATGGGTTCTTAGACCAGTGGTTCTCACAGGGCGATGGGCGGCCTCAGAAGCATGTGATGCACGTTTCTGCCCAGCTCTCAACTCAGTGCTCAGCTGTGTCTCATGCCTTTCCATGTATCAACACTTAGGTTAGAACCTCAACAAAATTTGCAAATAATGACTGTCAATCTTTTGTTTGGGTTTATAGAGGATGAGGGACTCACTTTAAATATCTAAATAGTAATGTTTAATTCTTAGAACTATCAACTACAATAATTCAAAAAATGAAATCAAAATAGCAAAAATTACTTCCTAATTCCCACCAATGACCTATTTCAAAAAATACAGTACAAAAGCAGTATCTGTATGAGCCATTTTCCTTTCTTTGCAACTCACTGTAGAAGAATCAAAAATGTGCTGAGCGGGCCCAGAAGACAGGACAGACAAAAGCAGTGGGCACAACTGGCTCCCAGATCTCCACTCTAAGGACCTGGAGCTTCCAAGAAGCAGGACCAATTCCAGAGCCCATACAGAGAAAGAACAAGGTGAGCTCGAACATCTTCTTGCACCAGAAAGTGAGGACATGTTCCAAGAGTAATGGCAACAAATCAAAGGACACAGAAACCAGTTTAAAGGGGCTCTCACTGGTCAATCTGGTACAATTCTAAAATCAACATAAATAATGACAGTGACAGTTCATTGCATAAAGTAACAATTCATACACCCACACTGACATAAATAAATGAACAAATAGATGAAGGAGAAGTGTAAATTATCACAGCAGGAGCATGACAGCTAACAAATACAGGAGTGTTGGCATTAGAAAAACTTCAGTGCCTGCTAACAATAGTGAAAATTTGATCAGAAATGGGATATTTACATAGTCCCAATCGTCTCAAAGTATCTTCCTATAAATTACTTTACTAATTACAAAGGGTAAAACTGTAACATTACAGAGGAGAGACTTGGCAAACATCACTTTTACCCACCCGCCGCCCCATCAAAGTTAATCTTGTCAATATTGGACAAACCTCCCAACTGAATGCACTAAGAAGGACCCGATATCCCCTCTGGGGTGTTCCTGCCAAATATGGACAACCTGAAACCGATCAGGATGAATCATAAAATAACCCAAATTGAAGGGCATTCCCTCTGCTCTTTCAAAAGGTCAAGGGCAAGAAACAGCAGATTTAGGGGACACTATGAATATAATGCATGATCCTGGCTGGACCCTGAAAGGTGGGGGTTAGCTACAGAGGACATAATTGGTCCAGTGAATAAAATCTGAATATGTACTATGGATAAGATGATAGTATCAGTGCACAACAATTTTTATTTTTGATAATGTACAAATATGGTTTTGTAAGAGAGTATCTGTGTGCTGAATCATAACACACCATGTCTCCAACCTACTCTCAAAGGTTTGGGAAAGAAGGTTTTTGTGCATGCAAATGAACAAAAAGACAGACCAGGATAAAGCAAACTTGACAAAATGTAAACAACTGGTGAATCTGATAAAGAACGTATGAGAGTTTCTCCTACTGTTCTTAAAACTAAAATTATATTAAAACATTCCCTTTCCCACCTCCCCAAGCTCCACAAAACGGATCAGGTATATACATATCATTCCAAAAGTGGGAGTAACTTTTGAGAAGGTAGGAAGGGAAGAAATTTACAAATGCAGTCCAAAGCCATAAATGCATGATCCCACAAATAAACTGGGACCTTCGGCATGCAGCATTTTGACAGCCTTTTAAAAATAAAATACAAGAGCATCACAATTGGACAGCTGGCTTTCCTGCGGGGGCATTCTGTGCTGCTCCCATTTCTCTGTGTGGCCAACAGAATAAAGGACTGTTTACTTAATTTGCTGCCAAATTCTTAAAATTTTCATTAACTTGATTAGAATAAAGCAGCTGAATTGGTATTTGCTTTCATTTTCTTAAAGATCAATATAAACAGCCACTCCAAAAAAAAAAAAAACCATTTTCTTTTTCCTTCAACTAAAAGGGTGGTAACATTTATTGAGTTATTATCACATACTCAAGCACTGTACCACTAACTTTACATGATTATGACGTTTAATCCTTACAAGGATCCTGGGAGGAGAGTTGGTTCTCATTGTACTGATGAGGAAACTGGGATTCATTGAGGCCAGGCAACCAAGGTTACAGAGATGCAAAATGAAAACCAAGATGCAAACACTTCAAAGACTATACCATTCTCCCTAAATAGGAAGACAGAAACTGACCGCCTAAGGCAAAGAATTTCCCCTGGCACTTGTTTGTTCTAATTCCTTTTTCCTGTGTTTAATCACACAGACTGGTTTTAGATGACTATATAAGTTTACACTAAGTAAATATTTTATACTTTTTATATTTGCTGTTATTACTTGAATTGTTTTTCTGGGAATTATGTATAGGTTATGAACAAAATTATAATGTAACAAGGTTGTTCTTTTGGTTTCTTAAACACTGAAAAATAGCTTTCTGAGAAATGGGCAAATGGAGAATATTTCTATATTCTAAGTAATTAAAAGAGAACCATTCCATGAAATATAATTCTACAGATGAACTATTTACTTAATAGTCAGGAAGGCACATAAAATTTTAGCAGTATTTGCTGCTAACACTACTTATAAGCAGCATTAATTTGTTCCTTTTGTAATCTCACCTAGCAAATCCAGACAGTAAAATGAGTGGGAAAAAAATGGAAATTCACGTACACAGAAATTGATTAGCCTCATAACAAAAGATCTCTTTCCATTTCAAATTCCCCTAATATTTCCCTTCAAAGTTTTAAATGCAAAATGTGACTTAATTTGATTCACACAGAAATGTTCAAGGATAGACTCACACAGCACATAGCAAGTGATGGCTATTCTTAACCAGGACACAATATGCACTCCCTTTCCTGGGCCAGCAGCCCAGGTTCTGGAACCGGGATGATGGAACCCCAGCCACTCGCCAGGCCTATATTCAAAGCTGAGGCTACTTACCATCCAGGCTGCGTTTTCATGTATCAAATCCTTCTCAGCCTATTGTTCCAGGCAGTCACTATCAGTCTGTTGCACTGGCAACCAAAATGAAACCTAACCATCATCATCATCATCATCATTATCCTAGGAGCCCCCATTAAGCATTTTCCGAATCAATCTAGACTGCTAATAGTAGAATATTATCCCCAATCAAGAAACAAATAACACCATGAAAAACACAGCAGATAAAATAGACAACTATCATAGACAAGGGTGAAGAGCGTAAGATTCAGCACTAACCCACAGGTGGAAGCCCAGCTTTACCACCTAGTAGGTGTGCGGCGGCCCTAGGCTGGTTACGTAGCCTCTTTGAGATTCAACGCACTCGCCTCAGAAGGATGTTGTGAGTACATGCTAAACACTCAATAAATAATAGCCACTACTATTATCTGGCATAAAAATCACATAATTTATTTCTAAAAGGGGCCTTAGAAGCATTCTACAAAGAAAATGGGAAGTTATGAAATGCCTTCTGTGTACCAGAAGCTTTCATTTACTGATGCCTCACAGCAGACTTACTAACCCCACTTGCAGATTGGAAATTAAAGTTCAGAAAAATGAAATGATTGTTCGGGGTCCCAAAGAACAGACAACTATTCAAACAGGAGTCTTTCTGCACCCAAAGCCACACTGTTTTACCCCATCACATGACTGCGTGCACAGGTGAGCTCTCAGTCCTAGAGAAAGGCTCCAATCTCTATACAGCAAGAAATTTCAGAGCAGCCAACGGCAAAACGCAATGCCAACAATAGCCCTTGAATCTGCATAGTCACTTTTCAAGCTTTAAACCAAGACGTTGACCCTAGTCAACACAATCGTGTAAGAAACAATACCAGGAATCATGCTGCTCATCTCTTTTCGAAAATGTTCCCTATGCACACGCATACTGCAGCAGCAGCCACAAAGGGGACCACCAAGAAAGGACTAGACATTCTCTTACAATGACAAGGACCAAGGAAAATCACCTGAAAGGCGATATAATTAACCACAGGGCAGACTACAAAAACCTATGGTCTTAAGACTCAGCCTCTCTCACCTTTCAAAAAACCCAGTTTAATAAAACCCAACGATAAATTATTTCATTATAAGTAATGACATATGGAAAATATAGAAGAAAACTCCATTTGATTCACAATTGCCTCACAGACATGAGTACACTCACAGAAACCTAATTAAATTGTATATCATAGTAAGAATGGCAAGAAAACTGTGCTTTCATAAACATGTGAACAATCCTGTGGACACATATTTCAACTGCAATCACCCACCAGAGCACAAGTTCTTGAATGGCACTATGCAAAGATAGTTTGCTATCCTGTCTAGAGACGTGAAGAATAGGAGACTGCTGAATGCAAAGAATAATTGAATTAAATGCATTAGATTTAGTTACACTAGTTAAATTAGAAAAAAGGGAAGGAGGTAATTTAGGTTAGGATATAGTATAGGTTAGAAAAAATGGGAAACGCGAACCAACAATAAAATGTTTTCATTAAGTAAGTAATCGTAAAACTAAGATGTAGATAATAATATCCTGTATGGGTGCCATGCACAAGTCAATCCTCCCCAGATGCCAAGCTCCTGTCAGCCAAGGTCTGCTCAGCCCTCGGCTCCTGAAGATTTTCATAGGCAGGAAACATCCCTGAGCATTAAGACCACAGCCCCCATATGCAGAGAATGCCTCTCCAGCAGCCAGGAACAGAAACACAAGCCAAAATAAATGCTTCCTTTTTGCATTGTCTGAAATAAGCACAATTTGCAATTAACCACCATTAGGAATATGTTCTCTCAAAAATAGTCCTCACCCACAAAAAAACAAAAAACAATGCCATTAGGCAAATCCTATTTGTTCTGGTTCAGAGAAATACGAACAAGACATCTTCCCTGCTAGGTCAAAAGTGCCAATGTGCTATTGGAGGGGACTGAGTAAACCCTAAGATACGAACATGTGGGCTAGTTGACACTTAAGAAGTAAAAGATAAAGAGCTGTTCCAAAGTACTGGTTTGACAGCTATTTTCATGAAAAATTCCTTTGTTTTTCCTATTTATTGTAAAATTAGCATGATTTTGGAATTAGGTCTGATATAAATTTTTTCCATTGGAGAAAAAGAGTAAAAATTCATGTAGATAAAATTCTTTTAAAGGAAAGCTGTTTATGAGTGTAAAAGCTGCTCTTTGATGGTAGAAACTGGACCCTTCACTTCCCAGCCTGCCAGTGCAGAGTACATGCAGCCCTCTACATCGGCCATTGTAACAAACAGCACCAGTTCTGGTTGCTATGGGAAAAGGCCTAATTCCCAACAATGGCCAACATCTCATCTTAAAAAAAGTCTGTAACACAAGTAAAAGAATGAGACACTGATTAACACAGTACACTTAAAAACAAGGTCAAAAGCAAAAGGGCCATAAACACTGAAGAAACTGAGTGCTTGAGTTCTCACCTAAAGGTAACAAATTCATATAATATGAAAACAATTTTATGTAACACCATTCTTCTCAACATTTCTAATTACAACGAATAGATGTGAGAAAACAGATTCAGATAAAGACTATCCTACTGGATAGTCTACATATGGAACTTCTAATCACAGTATTTTATAAAGATTTTCTTATAGCACATGAAAAAGTCAAAGTTTTGTTCTACAAACCTAGAAATAAAAGCACTAAATCTCAGCTAATTAACCAACTAACAAAATGAGTTATTCTTAAGCACAAGCAAGGAGACGAAGTAACGTTCTCCTTCACATGATCACATGTCCTACCATCCTGAAATGGACTAAAAGAGATAAGTTATTTTCTTTTTTTACTGTATACATTTTTTGTGTCTTTTAAAGCAATCGTTGCTAGCTGGTTTACTCTAGAAGCCTATGTTTACAACTTTCCTACTTTCTTCCTCAGTTTATAATATAAATTGCATACAATGAATAGCACTGTTATAGGGCAGAGCAATTACAGAGACCATAGTATTTGTTATAGAATTCATTTTCATGAAAACAACAGATGAGAGCTACTTACCACAACTAATAAGACTATATGGTGGGATAAAGAAGCAAGTGTTCTACAGATCACTTCTTTATGGAAGAATCTTCTGCAATGGAAATCTATCTGCAGTGACTGGTTTTATTTTAGAGTACTGAACCTATCCAAACTACAGTGGAAAACTGCACTTCCTGTGCCTGACTGAAAATGACCTGATATGGACAATGATGAAAAGCAAGAGAAAGAAATGAGGCATGCTCCACTTCTGAAAGCATGTGGGAAGAGCATACAGGACTTCAATTCTCAATTCTATGACGCTTTTTTTTTTTTAAATGGGGCAAACTGAAAACAGAAAACAAGCAGTAGTCCAGTAGTCTGGGACAAAGCTGATTCAAATTAGACACACACCTGCACTGCCCACCACTCCCACTGTCCCACAGCTGCTCACTGAGTCTAAAGCTATACACCACAAATGATTTGTGTAAAGGAAAATTTATTTCCAAAACAAACGTAATGATTTTATCACAAATTATCTACAATAAGAAGCTAAAACTGAGTGATATCTAATTTAGGGATTGTCACACTGGCCTTTCATTAAGACTCAAAAGAGAAAACTGAAGCATGTGCCGCATAACAACATTCTGCTCAGATGGGCGACACCTGCAAAGGCGGTCCCATGAGGTTATGACACTGTATTTTTACTGTACCTTCACTAAGATACATTTCGACACACAACTACTCATCATTGTGTGACAACTGCCTATAGTATTCAGCACAGTAACATGCTGCACAGGCTTGTGGCCAGGGAGCAACAGGCTGTACCATATAGCCTAGGTGTGCAGCAGGCTGTACCGTCTGTGTATGGAAGTACATTCTAGCACGTTCAGACAATGACAAAATCGCCTAACAACACATTTCTGAGAATGTATGCCTGTCGTCAAGCGGCAATTCTTATACCAACTTCAAGTAGGTAGAGATTGGTTACAAGACTATAACAGAGGTAACTTTTAATTCTTTCTTCAAAAACATTCTCTGCAAATGAGGACATTCTATGTGATACACAGACTCAAAGAGGCTCTCATAAAACTTGTCAACTTACCCCACCTGACAGCTTAATCACCCTGACCTTGGAGCTGATGTGGGGCCCGTCTCCACCACCACTGTTTGTCCTGTGCGTGACAGTCCTTTTCACGCCAGGCTTTGTGTCCTGGGGCCGGCCCTGGATGGACGCCACTCGAGGAGTCTGGGGGACAGCTGGCTCCTCCACATCTGCAGGTTTGATCGGGAGCACTTTATGCAGCGGCTGAGTCTGACTTTGAGGAACTGTTCTGGTCTGTCTCAAATGTTTCAGTGCTTTCATCTGTTGTCCTTGATACTGCATGTTGGCACTGGATGGTACAAAATTGGATGTTTTGGGCTGAACGTTTGAAATACTGACATCCTGGTTTTTAACAAGAAGTCTGTTCTTCACATTTTGTCTGACCTGTGCACCTGGAAAGGGCAACAGTGGGTTACCGTTGGTGGGTGATGGTGACAGTGCCTGCTCTTCCTGCTCTGCTGGGGGTGGGGGAGCGTACAGCTGCTGCTGTTGCTGCGCGAGTCTCTCCAGCAGCTCCTTCTTCCTGGCACCAGCCTGCTGCTGCCGCCGTAACTCCTTCTGTTTCAGGATTTCTTCTCTTAGGCGTTTCTGTTCTTCTATCTTTAAGCGATATAACCTTGTTTCCTCATCTTCATCAGGAAACTAAAATGGAAAACATACACGGTTTACTTTGCTATACAGGCAAGGTGCCCATAGTCTATTTCAACAAATTACAAGAACACATTTACCACAAGTCCTTTAATTCAGTATCTGAAAGAAGTCACTCAAAATCTGTTTGAAGACTTTAAGTATAACTCCTTCCTCTGGGGAGGGGGAAAAAAACCACACAGCTAAAGCTAATTTGGAAAATCTTATCAGAATATTAAAAATGAAATAATGTAAATTTCCACTCATTTACAAGTTTGAAACCAATTAAACTATTCATTTAAGATATCAAAATATGTTTCAAACAGGAATGGCAGCAGTAGGGAGGCCTGCTGTCACACAGGTTTTATCTGGCTCTTCTCTGACAAACCAACAAAAGGTGGGGTGTAAATGACCTGAAAGGCTCTGATTAGAACTATTGATTTTTCGTGCAGAATTTTCAGCCTGATCTCAAACTCATTTGTCACAGAATAATTGGTTATAATGAACAGCACAAGTCAATCTCTCTGACCTTGAACTCATGCACTCTCCTCAGAATCAAAATGTTGCCGATTGCAGTATTGGAATATTAATGGTATATAAGGAACGCCTTTAATATTCCAAGTTCCAAACCATTCTTCAAGTCGATACAAAAAAATCTTTGAAAAACTCCAGTAACTTTCAATAAAAAGCATCCAATAGGGAAAATGTATAAAAAGTTAAGCATTTTTAAAGAATTGTAATAATATTCTTTAAAAATCATCCATATCCACAGACTCCGTGTAAAATAATGTAACAGGATTTAATCTATCTAGAATTCAGCTATTTCACCATCTTACTTTCCCTAAATAAACCTTAAGAATTAGGAACTTAAGACAAAAGCACAGCTGAGGAGTCGGCTGGTGCCCTGGAGCTTGAGTGCCCGGTGCCAGCCCTCACTCAGGGATTACTTGTCGTCCTGGAAGCAATTCCGACCACCTCTGTTCTCTAATATCACATCTAGGGCAGATTTCAAACTGCAAAAATGAAGGTGGGTGAGAGGCTGTTTACAAGGGTAGGCATACAGAGCAAGACATGGCGTCCAGGGGGATAGTGGGCACAAGGGACATGGGCATCGGGGAAGCAGACGGCTGGGGACATATTCACAGGACCCAAGGGGCCACTGCCTCAAAACACAGGAATAATTACTAGTCATCGGAATTTCCCATGCAGTCAAGGAAGAGTTAAAGCATGTTCAGAACAGCAGCTGAAATACTTGAAAAGACCTCCAAATAAGCAGATTCACCCTTTATTATATCATCATCAAGAGGGGTGAACATACGAAAATAAGTCACATTTAGCTAAGCAAAACAAATAGAAGATCTTTCTTCTAAAAAGTAAAAAAATATATATAATCCTGGTCCCCTTTATATAGAGAGAGAAAATTAAAAGAAAATAAATCAAGACATTCCATTTATACTACGGTGACCTACAGGTTCCATTTCACTCAAGGCATCTTTTTGAAATAACTCCATGGAAGAATCCTTTAGAAGTTCGCCTAAATCAACTATCATGGAAGGAAGTGATCGCCAGATGTGCCAGCAGGATGCCTGAAAGGCAACTTCCCCTATTAGGTAGCCCTGTTATTATGAATGTGTGACTTCATTTTTCTGAACCAAATCAGTTACACATACTGAGTTAGGAGCTGGCTATATACACTAGAAGTATGATAAAACTTTTACCAAAGACTTCTTTCTAAACTATTCCGATCCAGTTTGTAAATCTACATTATTTTTTCACATATTGATTTTAAAACCAAAAGTCACTCGTGTTCTAATAAGAGTTCATTGTATGTTAATATTTCAACTTTGTACTTCCAATTTGGTAAACAATACATTACAACTGCTACAATAATATATCAGAAGAAAATCTAACTGAAAAAAATGAACTGATTAAAAGGTAAAACCAGTGTTGACTGGTTTTTATGAAACTAAGAAAGCATGACTTGCCTAAATTCTTCTCTAAAGCCATTCTTCATGACATTGCTATTGGACAAGTTAACTCGCTGCACTGCTTCAGAGCACTCCACATGCATTTCACTAAGGCTGACACGCCCTCCAGGTGCCAGCCTTCTGCACAGGCCGCCCTGGCCGACCCTCCTTTACCAGATGAGGAGACTGAGGCTTGTGGGAGAAGACGGCCTCAACTAAAGCCAGGTAAAGACTGAGCTGCATTGATTGTTCACACTCACTACATTCTGTGCCTACTGAAAAATTAGGAACAACAGCAACAACATATATCATCATACTTCAACACAAAGCAAACCCCCAGAAATCTTAAAAGACCAACAAGAAAATTGGTCCTATCTTCTAGAGGTTAATAGTGTAAATCAAGAAAAGTCACAGAAACCTACGGGATTCACCAGGTGTCAGCACATGACACCCCACAGGCTGAGTCCGGTCCACCACCTGGTTTTATAAAGTAAAGTTTTACCGGAACGCAGTCACATCTATTCATGGAAGAACTATATTTAAATTGCCTTTGTGCTAAAATGGCGGAGAAGGGTAATTATGACAGTCTGGACTATAAAGTCTAAAATATTTATAAAATATTTGGGCCCTTTACAGAAAAAGTTTGTTAAGCCCCGGTATATATCAATTCTGTATAACAGAACAGTAACTGTACAAATATATAAACTCTAATCTTGTAAACTAGTGAGAATACAAGTGTTTTTTTAATAAACATGGCTGTTAGGTTAAAAAAAAAAAAAGACCCAGGTGAAAAAAGTGGGAAGATTTTGTGAATAACTTAGTGAGAGTGAACTAAGACATCCAAGTTGATTCTAAGGCTTCTTGTTTGAGACCAACATTTGTTAATAAGAGCAGTGTCCTACCTCTGTTTCTGTTTTTGCCTCTTCTTTAGGTTGAGCCACAGGGCTAGCTGGCTTGACTTTCACTTCCGTCTTTCCCTGTGAGCTTCTGGAACCCGCCACGGCCCGCGAGGGTGGTGACGCGCTGACGATAGGTTTCACTTGTGCTGAGGGCGTGGCAGAGCAGCGGCTGCTGCTCATTTCTATCACGTGTGACGGCGCTATGGGTAATTCACGCAAATTGCTGTTCCTTGGCGCAGTGGGCTGCATTTGCTGCATGGGCCGCTTGCTTACATTCTGAGAAGTTGTATTCTTTTCACAAAAAGAAAGAGATTCTAATTGTAAGTGGAAACTTGGCAGAAGGAACATTAAAAGGCACATTATTAAATAAAAACACAATAAATCATTCTAATTAGTAAATGACTTCTTTTGGGGAGCAGATACTTTTTTCTCATACTTTTTTTCTCATACATAAATGTCACCTGATCCATGTGGCAGCATGCCTCATCCTAATGTTAACAATTTCCATTGGTAAAGTTGTCATACTTGCCTACAGAGAGGCTCCTCTTCATAGAAATTACACCAGGCTGATCTTTAGCAGGTGCTTCAGTAAAGGGACTGACAGTTTTAAAAGAATTAAGACAGCCAAAAAACCACTCTATCTGCCACCAGAGATCAACGGGATTCACATGCTACTATTTTACCTAGTCACTTAAATTTAAGCTGGAACAAGGAAAGAATCAAGCATCAGGTCAATGTCCTAAGAAACATGACCCCCGGGAGAAGAAAGGTGCCAGAACGTTTTACTCGAGAGGAAATGCTTAGTCATATTCATCCTGGGGATTCTTAAGAGAGAACCAACACCTGGAGGAGGCAAAGAGAACACGAGAGAGCTGGAAGGGGGGAGGGGGGAAGCAGGGGGATCTCCGAGGTCCCGCAGGTCAAATATCCCAGTGCACGAGGGTCATGAGACTAGCCTACCATTATTCTAACAAATGAAACCCAGGTTATAAAGCACCCTCTTCTCAGATTTAGAAATCTTTTCTTACTGTTCACAGCACTTTAGTTGCAATGTTTACTTTAAGAAAGAAAGAGGCAAATATCAGGAAAACTGAGATTCCAAGCAGCTAAGTGACATGACTGAAGCTCAAGGGTGAAAAGAAGACAATACCAAAAGAAAACTGACAGGCGAGAACCCTGACCACTGACCACACTGTGTCTCTTTTTCTAAAAACCAAATTACAAAGTCTCATATATATTTAATGGAGGCAAGAGCCCTGACCACTGACCACTAGCCACATTGTGTCTCTCTTTCCTAAAAGCCAAATTACAAAAGCCTCTTATATATATTTAATGGAGGCAAAAACCCTGACCACTAGCCACACTGTGTCTCCCTTTCCTAAAAACAAAATTACAAAAGCTTCTTATATGTATTTAATGGAGGACAAGGGCAATGACTGTGGCCTTTTATTTTCAGAGCAATACATTGTTTCCCAGTTTCTTTTAATGCACGACAAGTCACACATTTGCTGATGGTGCTTGAGAACACAACCCCACAAATAAATGTATGCTAATCTCCCTCGACTGAGTATAAGCTCCTTGAAGGAAAAGAATTTGTCTCTTCTGTTCACTGCTGTATTTCCAGGACTAGAGTAGCACCTGGCAACAGAACAGTCAACGTATTTTTCCTGAATTCATTTATGTATTTATTCAGGGACCAAAAAGACAGAGATAATCTATACATCAAAAAATAAGCCACTGGTAAAGGGAAAGTGACTACCACCCAAAAGTATTTTCTAAAGTTACGTGTCTATTAATTCCTGTCTATTGCTATAGAAATATCTAGATACAAGAAAGATGCTTAAGTAAATATTAACACAGTCTTTGAGACACAAAAGGAGTATCTTATCAATTCTTGTAGTCAAGAAAACAAATCACCTGAGTGTTTTTTAAAACATGGATTCACTTCAGAACTATGTACTACACATTTTATAAACAGAAATCAGAACTGGAAAATATTCTAACCTACATATTATGCCCCTCAAGTCCTGTAAGTTAAAAGGCCTCCCAGGAAGACACAGGGAAGACACCCCTTGACACTTACATGCCGGAGCCCCTGGCGCTGGGGGCACTGCATCCGGCTGCTGCTGGCCTGAGGCTGAGCGGTCTGTACGTGAGGCCGGAACTGTGGCTGAGACATCGGCATCAAAGGAGGGGGCGGGACGGACAGGTGGTGGTGGTGGTGGTGGTGCTGGTGCTGCGGCGGGTGCTGTGGTGGGTGCTGGGGTGGGGGCTGGTGCTGGGGCGGGGGCTGGTGCGGGGGCTGGTGCGGAGGCTGGTGCTGTGGCGGGGGCTGTTGCTGAGGTTGCTGAGGCTGAGGCTGATGCGGAGGGGGCAATGGAGGATGCAACGGCCCCTTCCATTTCCAAAGAAAGAGAAACAACAGTTCATAAATGGTTACACCGGGCATAATCACTTCAATCATTTCCTAAAAAACCTCAACACAAGAAAGGAACTTTCAGCGATACCAAAACTTCATTTTAGACTTGCTGATGAAGGTAATACTATCTAAAATGCAGTAATAAGCCAGAAGCTATTACCTTAAATTTTATATTTAATCCAGTAATTCTAGGATTGAATTGTCCTAAGGAAAACTAGGTATGCAGACAAACTCATAACTCTAAAGCATGTTCCCTGTAGCACTATGATACTAAAGTACTGAAACCAGTATACACACATGCAACCACACAGACAGCATGAAAGGGAACCGCATACAGCACTCTCAAACGATGGCATCAAAACCAACTCGCTGACATGAAAAGATCAAATGATATGTGACACTGGAGGGAAAAAGCAGGTGGCGAGAAGATGTGCATTTAAAAAAAGACAAAAAAAAAAGCTCCTGAATTGTTTCTAGGTAACGAGAGTATTTAATTTCCTTTCTTATATATACTTGAAAATTTCTGCAATGGGGATGTATTAATTGCATTTTTTTAATAAAAAGAAAAATTCTTAAAAACATTTTATCTTCCTTTAACACCCTAGATAATATTCATTTTCCGTTTTTGGCTTAGATACGTATTCCACGTATTTTTAAATAGTTGATTCAAGTTTACCATCGCTATGTATTTTAATAGTAACCCTACAATACAAGAAGAAATATACACTTGGTAAGAAAGATGTTACAGACGCATGTCAACCCATGAAGCAGAAGCCGATGGGCAGAGGGCACTCAAGGCCTTCAAATAACCAGTGAAAACCCATGAAGCAGAAGCCGGTCGGCAGAGGGCACTCAAGGCCTTCAAATAACCAGTGAACAGCAACATCTTCTTCCCTCCATGCAAAGACTCTTTTCAAAACTGTCTACTGCAGGAATATAATTTGACAAAGTATTTCCACTGGTAAACCTCTCATGAAATTTTATACAGATGAGCAAATGTATTATCAAAACATGTCCTAATTTTATTAGTAGTATACCCTTTAAACAATTATAATAAGTAGCATTTTTCAATTCCCAAAAAATGACATTTTCCCATTTTTTTCTTGTATTGAGATAAGTAACATTGTTGAAAAAAGTTGTCTTTAACAAACAGTACATTTGAGACTAATACTCTATTCTTTAAATAACCACAAATTAGTAGGCTCAAATAAAAATCTGAAACTTTATGGAACACAAAGCCTTGAAGCTACACATTTTTTCCCTGGAGGTTCACTCAGGATGCATTACCTGCAGGTTGGGCTGTGTGTGTGTGGGCAGAAACGGCTGTCCTGGGCCTGGCAGGAACGGCTGTCTAGGAGGAATGAAGGGCCGTGTGGTTGCCGACCCAGGCTGGCTAAAGTGCAGAATCCCCACCGGACCTGGAGGCTGCAAGGCTGGTCGTACGGGCCGCTCTCTTGGGAACACTGGCTGCTGTCCTTGCTGATTAAATGCTGGTCCTGGCTGAGTGAATGGTAGAGGACTCTGAGTAGGAACAGGATGGCTACTGTTAAGAAGGGTAGGAGGCGGTGGTGGTGGAGGGGGACTTCGCTGTTCCAGAAAAAGATGGCTCGGGAATCTTGGTTCACCTGAAACTGAAAGGTAACACAACATCATTAACTTCAGGTTAAAAAGACCATGTGCTTCTCAGAAAAGCAGTCTGAAGCACTATCCTACTGTGGACAGAAGTCACAAGTGTTGACAGGTTATGAATGTTGGAAACAATTCCAGATTTTGCCTCTTATTTCTAGATTGCTTCATTTGTCATTTTCTATACATAAATTCCCTTTTATATGAGATGTTCCGATTTCAGATACCAACAATGTCCAATTTTAGCACCTGAAATGACAGGCAGAACTGCTATGGTACAAAAACCTGGCATTCCTAACATCTCCAACTGGGAGTTCAATTCAGTTTACAAAATAAATGTGTTTGGGCACATCACCCAATGCAGCTTCTGTTGTTACTCCACACCACTCACTCTTTCTGTACCTCCTAAGAAGAAAGGGTCTCGATCCTGAGGCGGGGGTGGGGCTCTCCACTGGTCCTGGAGAGGGAGTCGTGGGGGCTGGCTGAAACTGTTGGGAACAGGTCCAGGTGTATGCTGTGGAAATTCTGGAGGGCCCTAAAGAACAACAACAACAACAGAGAAACAGGGTGAAGGACAGAAAAATGGTATGTAATTTTTAGAAATATAGACCTGGTTCCAAGTTTTCCTCAAAAATGTCAAGTAACGTGTCTCCTAACAGTCACTGTCTTTCTCTTTCTACACACACACACACACACACACACACACACACAGAGTCATGCATCCTTAATGACAGGATACATTCTGACACGCATCCTTAGGTGATTCCATCATGCGAACACCACAGAGTGTATTGTAATCACACACACACACACACACACGCGCACCTAGATGGTAGCGCTTTCTACACACCTAGCCTGTATAGTACACACTAGTAGCTCCAAGGCTACATACCAGCGCAGCATGTTACTGTACTGAATACTGTAGGCAACTGTCACACAATGCTAAGTATCTGTGGATGTAAACATATCCAACCCTAGAAAAGGTTACAATAAAATACACTATTATAATCTCATGGAAACACTGCTGTCTATGCAGTCCACCATTAACCAAAATATCCTTACACAAGACATGACCACACATATTAACATAAAAACTGTTACACAACAGGTGATTCTGCAATATTAAATGATCAAAAATCAAAACGCAGCAACTAGAAATTAAGTCAATGTTTTAATGTCATTATAACGCAAGAATATTATTTTTAAGCTTATTGAAATCCATGCAATTATTGGCCTATTTCCCATTAATCCAAAACACTAAATGTCATGACATTTATCTTTTTAAAGATGCTCATCTTTGCTATTTAACAGGACTGTAAGCTGCAGCTATGAAGCTGCTTCACTTTAAAAGAAAAAGAAATTCAATCAGCAATTCCTGACTTAACAGAAAAATGTGAAATGTTTTAAGAAACCAAATTACTACAGAAAAAATAGTACACAGAGTCCTCTGGATAAAAAAATTTTAAGCAAATTCTTACAGATTAACATTTTTCAAAAACTACATGTTACTAGAACTCTTTAGAGACAAATTAAAATTACTTCCTTTTTCAGTTGGTCTTTCAGGTATTCATGGAGATTTTTTTAAACCACCGTATTGACCTAGGCAGCAGCATAAAGGTAAAGAAATGTTCACCACTTTTTCACTGCTCCAAAAAGAAGTAATTAACTATTAACTATCATCAAAATAATTTTCATTTAATAGCACCTTGTTCTTTGAAACTGAGTCAATATTTCACAACTTTTAAGTATCATTCTTCTTTCTCACACACTTGCAACCCCAATGCCTTGGCCTATCATTTTATCACTAACTCACTGTTCCCTCTAAACACAACAACATTTTCTAACACTGAAAATGCTCTTCCGCAGTGCATTTCCCTTCCTTCTCCCTACAAAAGTCTGTTCTACCCATGGCATTGACAGAATAGACAAAATGAACACTAGTATAAACACCACAAACCCTTAAGATTGTTGGCTACAAAATAATAAAGAAATGTTTAACACACAAATATTGTATCTTTATAAAAACATAAACTTTAGGCACTTATTGAAACATGTACAACAGAAAGTCCAAAGCTGAAAATCTCGTAGCTTTTGACTTTAGGTGAAACAAGGAAATCCACAGCATACTATTGCCTGACATTAGGGAGTGTCACTTCTCTAGATAAAGACATCAATTAAGACACAATGAACCCAATAAATGTCAGTAACTGAGGAATATATTTGTAAGTGAGAATACATATCATATACATGGTCTTTTACCCCTAATTAATTTGAAAATTCACTGATATAATGCTTTGATATGGATCTCTTTTCCTGAGAGAGGGAGAGAGAGAGAGAGAGAGAGACAGAGAGAGAGAGAGAGAGAGAGAGAGACAGGGTCTTGCTCTGTTACCCAGGCTGGAGTGCAGTGGCGCAATCAGCTCATTGTAGCCTCAAACTCCTTGGCTCAAGGGATCCTTCCACCTCAGCCTCCTGAGTAGCTAGGACTTACAGAGCATGACACCACATCCAGCTAGTTTTTTTGTAGAGGCAGGGTCTTGCTATGTTGCCCAAGTTGGTCTTGAACGCCTGGGCTCAAATGATTCTTCCACCTCAGCCTCCTAAAGTACTTGGATTACAGACATGAGCCACAACACCTGGCCAATATTCTTGAATATTTAATATCTTTACTTTGCTAATAATATGCTAGAAAAATTACTTCTAATAGCACACGCCGTTACATACTGTTACTTACTACATCTGCATGAGGAGTTTCAATGAGCTTGCCTGCTTTCTCCCACTGCCAAAGTTTTTTCCTCTTGTTTTAAAAATATTTTCATCTCTTGTTTGAAGTCAATGAAACACATGGTGTGAACATGAATATATCTCCTCCAAAATAATATTGTATTCCTCCAGGTAACTTAAATGTTCTATTTATAAAGTATAGCATTAGCATTCCATCTTTAGTTTTGTATATCAATATGATTCTGACATATACAGACAGTTCCTGACTTACAATGGTCCAACTTACGATGTTTGCAACTTACAGCGGCCTCATCCTAATGTAACCCCATCGTAAGTTGCAGAGTAGCTGTGCAAGCATTTCAAAACGTTTTAAAATAATCTTCAAAACTTTCTGAATGACAATAAATTAGCAATCAAGGTTCTGCATTATTTCAAAAAAATGTTTAAATGATGCTTCTCAGAATGACACGGAATAAAAGAAACAACTGCCTGCCTCTGCTTGCAGAGAGGTTTGACTGATCACACTGTTTCCAACCCACGCAAATTGGCAATGGTGGTTCTGAATAAAAATCCTTTTCCAATTAATCAGCCTGTTTCCTTAAGCTGTTTCAATGCACACTTGACTACACTTATTTCGGGGGAGGAGGCACACGGGAGGGGTTTCAAACAGATACATACAAAAGGAACCAGTAAGATTCATTAGAAGAATTTGCATTGAGAAATGAAAAACATAGGGATCAAAATGATGTCACTGAGACACCAAAAAGAGACAATATCACAGCCTGAAACAAGATAATAGTTGTGAAAAGTAAAAATCACTCAAATGCAAACTCTTCAAATGAAAAATGGGTATGACATTTTAGCTTACAAATACAAAATTAATAACACCTCTGGAAACTATGAAAAACCATTTCCAACGTTAAGTGTGGTTATGATAGCTCTCTTCATGTAACTGAGTCAAGATCAACCACAAGCAGGTTTGATGATGGTTTGCCCAACCACCTAGGTAAGAGTTTGGATGGGGCTGATTTCAATTCAACAGAGGGAGGAGGTTTCTAACACTCTCCCAGCAATGAACACATCCTCAACCCACAGAAGCACGCACTCAGGAGGAGGAGCACCGCCTGCCGGGGATGATCTCAAAAGTGAACTGGACTAGCGCATCCTCAAGGTCCAAGCCAACTCACAAAGAGTGGGTCTGTCGATGTTCTTGAAATTACAGACCAGTTGAAAGACAAACTGGTAAATCTGGCTGGCACTAGTGCAGCCAGGCACGCACTGGGCGTGAGGTGACAGCAGGACTGGGTCACGGAGAAGGAGCCCCGAGGAACAGCTGGCATGAGGTGTGGGCCTGTCTGCCAAGTCTGGAACCTGGGAGGTGCTCACAAAGAGACTGACAGAATTAAATGTTCATTTTCTCACTTTTCTGGTAGGTCTTGATGCCTAGTGGGAACCAGATTAGAAGACTTAAGAACAAAGTCTCAGCATGGGTTAGAGTTGGGGAAGTGGGTTCTAAATCAAGGCTCACGGTCTAGGTGACAAAACAGGAAGGTACTAGCAATGTGAACGGCCATTCTTTCTACTTGCCAGGACTCACAGACTTTTATAGCTGAGCAAGCGCTCCTTCACACTCCCTACCGTACAGTGACTGACAACTGCAGGGATTCTTGCAGAACTTAAGGGCCAGTCAAGAACCAATGCTTTCTAAGCAGCCACCTTAAAATGAGGACCAAAGGGAACTCAGGCCCCTGGTCCACTGGCAGAGTCCAGGAATTCCTGGGTATGACACTGTCACCACTGTCGATACCAGGGCCCCATGAACTCATCAACACACAGTGAGGAAGCTAAAACTTATGACATTAAATCACTGGTCCAAGGTCACAACCCTATTTTAGTATTTTTATTTTTCTGTAAGTTCACTCAACCACATCAGGGATTTCAATATTCAAGAAAACCAAGTTAAAGCTTCTGCAAGGGTTCATTTTATTCACGACATAATAAAAACGCAGTGGGGGGAGTTTCAACCCATATAATAAGAAATCTTATCAAAATTACTAAATTTGGGTTACAACTTTTCCCTGACTTAGACATAAAAATGGTAGTGTACCCCCAAGTCAGAATGTGGAACCTGGACACTTGTCACATTACATACACACTTTCCCTTTCCATCTCCGGTATTTCCTTGAAAAATTTTCACTCTTACATTTCTGTCTCAGCCAAAATGCAAAATCACTACAGAAAACGGCTTCTCTTGTAACCCTTGGTACAGAACCTTTACCTCCTCCTGACCCTGCTTCACTCTCTGGCCACCTCCCTGTATCAGGAGACGCCTGACACAGGGCCCAGACATACCCAAGCCTCTGACTCCTCTACCCCTGTGGCCAGGCTCCTGAAGGCTGGAACACGAAGAATCCCATGAACTGGAATCACTAAAAGCTTTTGTTTTATTTTAACTGGCTCATCAGTGTCAATCAGCAGTTTTTCACCTGTCCCTGGGCAGCTCCTTCTCTCACTGCCCAGGATAACTTCACACCTCTGAGCACCTTCTAGTGATTCCACCACACAGCTGTCCCCTCTGCCTGCAAGGCCCTCGGCATCCTTGCCGCACTTCCTTCCCCCTCTTCTCTGCTTCCACCTGCATCTAAACATCACTTTCTACCACGAGTAATGGACTTGCTGCTAATTTTTACCAACAGTCTATTTGTTAAAAATATATATAAATTCTCACTATTATACATTTGGTCAGATTTTTCATTTAAATATAGGAACAGTATGCTGAAGTAGGACAGAAGGTGAAAGTCGGCTACGGATGGGCTGACAAGCCGTCAGCCCCAACCATAGTCAGCACACTTCAGGGCTCGCAACTCATCAGCTCTATCAGTCACTACTATGCTAATGAGCTGGCTTAAAAAAGCAGATATTGGGAGGTGCCAGAGAGAAAAGGAAGAGTAAAATGTACTTTTAGAGAAAGGGGGAGAGTCCTCTGAGGCTATTTCCACTTAACCCTTAAACTTTTTTATTGTATTAACAGCCGGAAATCAGCATCACTGGGTGTGAAAATTTTTTTATCAATTTACAATTATTTTGCCAATTTTAACAAAGAGTAAAGCAAAGCTTAATGTATCAGTTATTCAGAATGACAGGTAATTACACACTGCCACTCTCTCCTATCCCGGCTCAGTTTCCCCTTCACCCCTTTCCAGTGTGCCAGTTTCAAGTGTGCAGTTGCAGGGTACACTGTTCCCACAGGACCAACCAGCAGTAGGCAGGCTCCTCCCCAGGTGCAGAAAGAAGGGCTGCTTCTGTAGCTGGCCTTTTGTCACTCAGTTCTCATGCCAGGGAAGTGCCAGTTCTCTTTAAATTTTGCCTATAATTAGAACAAGCTAAAAGAGGTCCTGATCTTTCCATCTTCATTATTTAATAGGTGAAGCCCTAATATTTATTACTCCTTTTCTTACTGGGCTTAGAACTGAAAAACTCCATTTCTTAGAAAATTCTGTAGTTCTTCTAAGTTCCATGATTGTATCTTACTGCCATGAATCTCATCCTCAATAGTACAGAGGTCCTCACTTATCCACAGTTTCACTTTCTGGGGTTGAGTTACCCACCATCAATTGAAATCTGAAAATATTAAATGGAAAATTCCAGAAATAAACAATTCATAAGTTTTACACCATACACCTTTCTGAGTAGCATGATGAAATCTCTTGGCATCCTGCTCCGTCCAGCCCGGGGAATGAAATCATACCTTTGTCCAGAGGATCCATGCTGAAGACACTCCCTGCCTGCTAGCCCATTAGTCACTTGGTCAACGTCTTGGTTATTAGATTGACTGTCACAGTACTGCAGAGCTTGCATTCAAGTAACTCATATTTTACTTAATAATGGCCCCAAAATGCAAGAGTAATAACTGTTTTATTGTATGATTAGCTATTGCTGTTCATCTCTTATTGTGCCTAATTTGTAAATTAAACTTTATCCTAGGTATATATGTACAGGAAAAACCATGGTCTCTACTGGGGGTCTTCCAGTACACGCCCCTCGGATAAGGTGGGCACCACAGCACTGGCCATGCGGCTGCTGCAGCAGGACTCTTTATAAACCTTCTTTCCTACCTTCCATCAGGCAGCTAATTTCAAGTCCTCAAAAAGATTTTTCTCATTATAGATAAGGCAAAATGTAACTGGGAAAGTAGACTGGCCTCCACTCCACTCTGAGCGGAGAGTCAACCAAGGTTCGATTTTTTACTTTGCCACAGGTTGTGATCAGGGAAAAGGACTCTGTCTTTAGCTCTTTCATCCTTTTCTAAAAGGAAAGAGTTACTGAATTAGAAGAAACTCAAAGACTTTAGTCCACAAACTTAGTTTTCCATAAAATTCCAAGCTACCTGAGAACTAGGTACATCACCTCTTAGGTCTCTAAGCACTATCAGATTCCCTGGAAGATTTCCCTGGAACTTTAATATTGTGATTTTCATCTCTTCCCAAAACTTTCTTTCCTTTAACTGACTATTTACATGCTGTCTAAATGCACAGTCACTGGCATCTGAATGTTACTGGTACGTAACAAAGCCCCGAAAATTCTCTCATGATAGTTTTTCCACACTCAGTGGAAAATAAAAGCCTTTAAAATCCATCACTAATGTTTAAGCAGAACTTTATTCTAACTTACAGTGATCCTGTAGGTGCTCAGGCTGAGAAGCAGCACCCATCATCTAACCTGACAGCTCTCCCAGCCCTGTCTCCATCCCAGCCACTTACCAGCTACAGCCTTGAGCTCATGACTGAATCTGTCTGGGCCTCAGTTTGCTCATCTACAAAACAGCAATTAGTACCTACCTCACAGGGGCAGGAAAGTCCTTAGGACAGTACCTAGCAAATAACAAAAGTTCACCATACATGTCGTTATCATTTTTACACCTTTTTGTAGACAGCAGCCCAGACTGTAAATACGATATATAGCTTCTGACATATTTCCATATCTTCTGTCATATTTCCATGTTTCCATATATGGTAAAAACCAAATCAGTATAGATTCCCTGCTTGCATTCTTATTTCTGAGTTCAAATCAGAAATCCCTCATAAAGTACCAGCAAGTCCTAGAAACTCTGTCTCTTGAATGTCTCCAATCCACTTCCACTTCTCTCTGCCCTTCAACTGCCGGGTCCGTGAGAGCTGAGACCAGGCCTGTCTTACACATCAATGTGTTTCCATACTTGGCCCAGTGCCTGGCACACAGGCGGTCATAAATATTTAATGGATGAATGAAATGCCTGTTTGTAATAGCAAGGTATTCCCCGAGCCTCACATTCTCAACCTGGAAGTACTGCGGCATGCTGTAAAACCAGCTGCCCACAAAGCACAGGGAGAGGTGCTGAATGGCTGAATGAAGGAAGGAAGTAACAAAGGTTAGGATGTACTAACCTAGACCTCGGGCAGTGAACTGCCTGAGGCTCTTAAGCTGAGCAGATGTGAAACACATACAGTGCACAAGGACCAAACAGAAGCCAAGATCTGGGGTGATCACTGGTTTAGAGACAGAAAAATTAACAGAACTGAGTTCTTACATGTATGACAGAATTTTTTTTTTTTTTTTTTTGTTAAAGAGACAGGGTCTTGCTTTGTCACACAGACTGGAGTATAGCGGTGCGATCACAGCTCACTGCATCCTCAAACTCCTGGGCTCAAGTGATCCTCTTGCCTCAGCCTCCAGAGAACCCGGGACTACAGGCATGAGCCACCATATCTGGCTAATTTTTAAATTTTTTGTAGAGATGGGGTCTCACTATGTTACCCAGGCTAGTCTGAAACTCCTGGCCTCAAGGGATCCTCCCACCTTGGCCTCCCAAATCACTGGGTTTACAGGTGTGAGTCACTGCATCTGGCCAAGAGAAATTATTTTAACTTGTATTCTAACTATATAATATCATTAGAGAAGGACCATGCTGACTGGCTTCTTCACCCTGCAGCTGGGAGAAGAGTGAGGATCACTGGTGGGAGGCCAGAACTTCCATGCTGATAGGGTTTGGCTCTGCATCCCCACCCAAATCTCATCTCGAACTGTAATCCCCACGAGTGGAGGGAGGGACCTGGTGGGTGGTGACTGGATCATGGGGGCAGTTTCCCCCACGCTGTTCTCATAATGGTATGTGAGTTTTCACAAGATCTGATGGTTTAAAAGTGGCACTTGCCCCACTTTGCTCTCTCTCCTGCCACCACGTGAAGAAGGTGCTTGCTCCCCCTTTGCCTCCTGTCATGATTGTAAGTTTCCTGAGGCCTCTCCAGCCATGCGGAACTGTGAGTCAATTAAACCTTTTTTCTTTATAAATTACCCAGTCTTGGGTATTCTTTATAGCAGTATGAAAACAGACTAATACACATGCTGTCTCATTTAATCCTTATCACAACCCTACAAGGTAGGTATTATGCTCACAGAAATCTTCTGACCATTTAAATAACCTTCACTTAGTATACGGTTAGAAAGTGGCAGAACTTGAATTCAAACCCAGGCTGCCTACCTGCAGAGCACACTGTGAATTCCTTGGTATGAACAGCAAATGGGGAGGGATTTTTCTCACATTCCCTAATCAGTCCCTAATCATATGTTTTATCATCACATATGTAAGTGTAATTGTGCAAGTCTACGTGTGTTTCAGAGTCAAGAAAACCAGTAAGTACTACATCAAGTCAAAAGTCAGACAGTCATGGAAATTTCATGGCAGGCTTTAATAAGTAAAAGAAATTATCAGTACTCACCTGATCAATCTACAAGAGCTGCATTAAAGAGGTAAGACCAAAGAGCTATCTAAGATTTAGAAAGAAACCGTTTACTCAGGGTGAGTAAACAAGGCAATTTCTGACCTTGGAATTTAGTTAAATAGAGTAAGAACGGAGAAAGAAGGATTTGCAAGTGTAGCCTGGAGTATGTACACGCTACAGGCAAGGTGCTGTCTCCTCAAGCAGCTGGGTGAAGGGCAGTGAGGAGGGAGGTAACATTATGTCATCGAGTGTACAGGACCCAAAGAACCTGAAGTACCCACTGACCTTTACAGGTGGAGAGGCTGGCCCAGGGAAAGAGAGCAACTGAATGGTAGATAAATCCAGTCCAATCAGGAAGAAGTCATGACGGCGCATTTTCCAAAATGACAAATGCCCGCATATCAGCCAAGTGGTAGCAGGATAAGAAAAGAGGGCAGATAATGCAAGACACCACTCAGAAAAAACATTCAATGACTGATCCGTGAAATATACCAGAGTGAAAAGGGTTGCCTCAGCTGGGGACAGTGCCTCACACCTCTAATCTTAGCACTTTGGGACCCCAAGGTGGGCTGACTGCTTGAGCCCAGGAGTTCGAGACCAGCCTAGGCAACACGATGAAACCCTATCTCTACAAAAAAAGTACAAAAAAAAATTAGCCAGGCATGGTGGGACACACCTGTAGTCCCAGCTACTTGAGGCTGCGGTGAGAGGATCACCTGAGCCCGGGAAGCCGGGCCTGCAGCGAGCTGCGATCACACCACTGCACTCCAGCCTGGGCTACAAAGTGAACCCTGTCTCAGAAAAAAAGCGGGGATGGGCGGTTACCTTTTTGGCAATGTCAGATGCTATTGGACAGAAGGGAGAGCTCACCTGGGCAGATATGTGGCTTGCCACTGCTCTAATAGAACTTGAGAGTTTAAATATTTAAATAATTTTTTTAACGTTTAAGCTTTAAGATCCCAAAAGCTGCTCACTGACTGTTAACAATATTGCTTTTTTGAAACAGAGGTTTGACAAATAGCAGGTCTCATGAAGCGCACAGTGTCACTTTTCCTGTTTTGTTTTGCACACAAGTGGCACTTTTCTCTTTCCCTCTAATTACACAACTTAAATTCTGACAAACATGTCAGCCACATGGGAAAGACTGCTAACTGCTTACCTAGCACAAATTCTCACTTATTCCTTAGTAACAGAGCCCTAATTTTATTCAGGACAACACCGCCCAGCTAAAAACTACATATTCCAACTTATAAGGAGGGTGACATTTGGCTAGACTCTGGCCAACAGGAGCAGTTGTCAGCTGGGGGATGGGTGGGGGGAGCTCCCTGGGGGATACCTCAGCTGGCCTGCACCTTCTGCCCTTGCCCCTCCTCCTTTCGGCCTGGAATACAGACAAATGCATTAGGTGATGGGTAGATGGAAAAACATAGGAGTCCCTATCAGAGCTGATACACACTAAAAAGAAGCTTTTTCATTTTTATGCAAAAAATACAACAGTCACTGTTAACTAAGTTTTCTGTTAAACGCAGCCTGGTTCACAGCCTGACTCAGCCAAATGTCACAGCTGATATTCTATTGTAGCTGACAGAAATACTGCTCCAATAAACTGGCACACAAGTCACTTTTCCTCTATGAGACAAAGAAACTCAGGTTTTACAGAGTTAAAAGTGAATTAACTAAAGTTACATCACCAATGAATGACAACTAAGATGACAAGAACCCACATTCTCACACTCTTGGTTTATTAAGTGCTTTATCCATCATAGTGCATTGCTTCTGCAAGACAAATCTATCTCCAAGAAATGCCATATAAATCATGGTTCCAAAATCTGACATTCATAAGAAGTTCTACTGATGTGATCATTTCTTTATTAACTTCTATCATTTCATGGGAATAAGGGTACTACATTACCAATTCCCTCTAGCAAATATAGATTTTAAAACTGTTATGAGTTGTGAATACCTCACTTAACAGAACTTTTAGTACTAACGTAATTCTACCTTTTGAAAGAAAAGATGACTTTAATCCTCTCAAATAAGTGCTCTGTTTTGCTTTTCTTTATATTCTTTTAAAAATCCAAGGTAAGAAATTATTATTCTCTCATATAATTCTCATACAAATTATACTTTCACTTTTCTGCATCTCTTGTTAATTACATGATTTTTATCTATATTAATCCTATTCAAGAAGAACTGATAACTCAGGTTACAAAAAAAAAAACGATGAAAAACTTTGCATAAATTGCTTAGCACAAAGTTAATCGTATAAAGCCAAGAATAAAAAGGCACTAACAGCTATTATGTGACTTATCAGCTTCCCTAAAAGGGTCAGTCCGTATATTTTAATAAGACTAATTAAATACCTTAACAATGTCATTGAAACTTCATGAATCTTTCAATACATTACAACCAATCTCTACAAGATGTTTTCCTTTATTAATCCCACTTGAAATACAAAGAACGATATAAGAAACCAATTGACACTTAAGAACACCTCTCAGTTAATTCTGATTAAATGGGTTGAATGCAAAGAATAAAGGTCACTAGTGACCCCTGACGTAATTAAAATTACAGCCCTCTATCACAATATGTTAATCCTCTTATTTCAGTATTCTCCATAGATTTCTTTTTCTTTCAGGTTATGCCTTGTTTAAATACCTATATTCACCTTCCTAGAGGGTACTTTGATATTTATAGATGCATTCTAAACATTTTGAAGAAGGATACACCTAGTGCCAAGTACTAGGTTTCATGCAGGGGTAAAAAAACACCACATGAATTTAAATACATTAGGATAATGTTAATGGTTCAAGCAGTGAAACAAGAGCACCCACTACAAACTACAAAACTTTTCTTTGGTACAAAATGGTGTTTTGATGAACCTCCTAAAGACTACTTACATTATTTCCTGAAATGAAAAACTCTTTATTTCTGCACCCTCACCCCTGCCATGGCCCCTCCTGAAACAACTCCTCCTAATGACTGGCCCTGCTATAGCAAACTTCCTCACTTTAGTACTTAATGAGGGTCACAATTTTATGTAGTTACAATTCAACTTACCAGATTCTATGTTTTTTTCTCAGTTTATGGAAGTTCAATTTCATATTTAAGGAGAAAGCACAGCATAAAAACTAAGAGAACTGGCCTCCAGTCCTCCCTCCTGCGCCCAGTTGTGTGAACTTAAGCAATTTGATCTTTCCAAAAGTCAGCTTGCCAATCTCTAAAACAAAAAATAATAATTTTTTACTTTTGCTCCACAGGCTGAACACACTGTGGAATATAGTGATCACTCAATTTTTTTTTATTCATTACTGATTTTCAACCATATATGCTCTATGAATACCGTACTTCCTCATTCAAAAAAAAAAAAAAAAAAAAACAACTAAAAAAGGAAAGAACCAACTAAAAAAGGAAAGCAGTAGTATCAGCAGCTACGTCAACTGAAAAGCATACAGTCTGTCTTAAATCTCATCTGTGAATGCACTATCATCCACAATCCACTCCTAGGCATTTACTGACAACTTATGTTCACAAAAAAAATCTGTACACACACACACACACACACACACACACACACACACACACACACACAAACCTGTACACAAATGTTTACAGCAACTCTAATCACAACATCCGAAGACTTGAAATAACCCAACTGCCTATCAGGTGAATGGATACACAAACTGCTATATCCATATACTGGAATACTACTGAGCAATAGAAAAGACAAACTACTGACTGGTGCAGCAAATGGATGAATCTCAAACGCGTTATACTACAGGAAAGCAGCCAGGCTCCAAATGAAACAAGCTCTATGATTCCATTTACATAACACAATTATAGGAACAGACACATTCAGTGGTTGCCAGGGGCCGGTAGGGAGAGGGGCTAACCACAAGGGGCAGGAGAGTCCCTGGATGATTATATAACTGTAGGCACTAGGCGAAACTCACACACCTGTACGCTCAAAGCACTCAATTTTTAAAGTGAAAAATTCTCATCTTTTGGAAGAATTACTTTTTTGTTTTTGGTTTTGTTTTGTTTCGTTCTTACTTGACACGGAGTCTCGCTCCATCGCCCAGGCTGGAGAGCAGTGGCACGATCTCAGCTCACTGCAACCTCCGCCTCCTGGGTTCAAGCGATTCTCCTGCCTCAGCTTCCCAAATAGCTGGGTCTACAGGCACCCGCCACCATGCCCAACTAATTTTGTATGTTTAGTAGAGATGAGGTTTCACCATGTTGCCCAGGCTGGTCTCGAACTCCTGACTTCAAGTGAGCCACCCACCTCAGCCTCCCAAAGTGCTGGGAGCGCTGGCCAGAAGAATTGCTTTTGATACTTTATAATAAAACAGGACTTCTCTCCAAGTGTGCCTTAAAAATGCACCTAAACAGAACCACAGGTCTTCAACAACTCCTGGGAAATTAAATATTAAAAGAAAAAAAAAAGCAGTGTGTTTTGTAGGACACATCACTAAAAACAGGTAACTAAGATTTCCCTGCACAGAGGAGTTCCAAGACTTTAAACTGTGTCCAACATTTCACAGGCTAAATTATTCAGTTGCAGATGGGCAAACTACACTGAGGTTTAAGTCTCTATATATAGCACTCTATATCCGAAGAGAATTTAAAAGGTGTCCCAGTCAATGTAACAGATTTACTTAGCCAATAAACGAAAAACAGCCCTCCCTTGGTATGCATAGGAGATTGCTTCCAGGCCCCCGCATATACACATGTTGTACAAGGGACAACTATAGTTTATCACATACTTTATAAAGCAGTTTTTACAAAGTAGCTCAACAGCTCCAACAGAAGAAACAAGAAACCAATTTTATGTGATTTCAAGGAGTACCCCTGGCCTTTGACTAATTAGCATGGACTTGAACCCAGCCCTATCTCTATCCAACACATGCAACGCATGCTGACCAAGCAGCAAGTTAAAGGGTTACTGAATTTGATAAACCACCTTCTTTAATAGCTGTTACCATAGTGTTTAGCTGCTCGTTACTGCCGCAGATGGGAATTCATTGATATGATTAAATTTGATGGTATGATAATGTATGGTAATCACGATTAATCAGAAACCCACTAGCAAGTGGAGGATGTTGGGTATTATGTCACGTGCATTTTAAACTGCATTCTCTCCTTGCAAGCCTGACAATGTTTGACAGCTGGAAGGGTCTCCTACTATATTCGCCTGCTACTACTTATAGATCTGATCAGAGAAAATGCCCATCATTCCTTCCATAGCTTAAGTGCTGGTAATTATAAGGCATTGCAAGCATGTTGTAAAAACAGTAGGTGTTCAAAAGCAAGACGTTCTTTCCTGGATGGAATAAAGTCTGGATTCTCATCTGCAAGGGCTGTAATAGAAAGAAATGTGATTTGATGCAGCAGTCTCATCAAACATGATTTGCATGAAATGGCCTATAAGACACATCCAGGAAACATCATTCACTGCCACCTGATACCATGTGCCCAAATGTGGCCCAAACTATAAGATGTGTGATGTTCTGTAACTACAGAGTAAACACAAATACGAACCTCGTTTGCCAGGTCTAAGTAAGTAAGAACACGATTGTTAAGAAGATGCATTCAAACTTAAAAGTATAGTTTATTTTAAATTTAAACAAAAGGCACTAAGAAATTATTCAGCAGCCCAACTACCTGGTATTTAACGGCTAACTGAAATATCACTATTTGCCCGAAACACCAATGTAAAATCAAAGGACTGAATAGTTTTTAAAATTTTTAAACTTATTTTAAAATACTCTAGGTCAGGAATCTTTAAAATGATTTTTTCATAAGCTTAAAATTTAGCTCAGCACTTTTTCACAAGCTTAAAAACAGCAATTGCACAGAAAAACTAGATTCACAAAAGTCTCAAAACAACATGTTAAAATATTCCAACAGTTGACATTTTATGTTACTTTTTTTAAGTGGGCAAACTTTAAAAACAAAAAACTCTCTGAGGACAAATACATGACTAGAAAATATACTTTATGGATAAGATAAGGACTTACAGCTTTATATTAGTGACAAAAACACCAGGTATAGCCTTTGCAGAAAGAGAAACCAATTAGATTAATTTAATTGTAAAACAGAGAACATCTGAAATGGAAAACAGAATTTAAAGTGTAGAAACTTACTTTCAGAAAGGTAACTAGCCTTCCACACCACTACTTCCTTATTTAAAAGACAAAACAAAACACAACACAGTGTTTCGTGAAATAGCATTCAGCATTCCTGACATGAACAAAAATGTGTTCATTAAATGGACTAGTAGATGGTTAAGAGGCCAGACCAGAAGACTGGACAGAGCAAAGTGCCCAAATGTAACAGGGTCATCAGTCACACAGGACATGTTAAGCTCTGAGGGTATGTTACTTCCTGTGCTCATCAGCCCATGTAAGTATTCATAACTTATGTAACGGAAATATGTTTTACAATCAGAAGAAAAAAAGTTTCAGAGTTCAGAACTAACGTGCATATCTGTAACTAAAATTAAGTACATAAATCTAATTTTTAAATGGAAGCCTAAATTACAAAGCACTTTACAGAATTCCTTAAATGAGGGACTAGGGAAGGACATGCATCCTAGTGCAAAGACTAACATAACCAAGAGCAAAAGCAATTTTCTCCAAAATGATCAAAAACAAGGATCCTTTTCTTAAGACACTTATTTTGACATTCAGTTATTTGTTTTAAAAATCATTTCTTAAATTCTCCAAATAATGCTAATTAACAAGAAATAAAAATATTAGTCTAACTACAAGCAAAGCCCAGAATACCAAATTTTGGCCTCAGATTTGGATTTTTAAGAATAATTTTAAAGAATAATTTTAAATAATTTTACACACTATGAAAAATGGTATTTCACATTTGGGTGCCTCAATTTCTGTAATTTTTAATTAAAAAAACTAGAGGTATTATAACTCAGCAAAATTTCTGGACATACTAGTTCTAAACTAAGCATAAATAGCAAATGTATCATACAGCCTTTAAAATTTGGAAATCTAGTGGTACTTTTGCGTATTGTCTGCCTTTTTTTTAACTCTTTTAGTCAATTGGGTATGAAGCTGCATTCTTGTATAGTTAAATGCATGTGATATAATTCTACTATACAAATTCACATACGTTCTTGAATACAACAAGTAAAAAATATAAAAATTAAAAAGCACACCCCCCCTTTACATTACTTATTCTATGTAGGGCTCCTAATAAGCAGTAAGGTCACTCTATATTAAGTTTCTGGGTATGTCTATTTGACAACTATGTGCTCCCTCCCGCCTCTCTGCACAGGGCCTGTGGCTAAGTGCACCACCGAGCACAGGATGACCGGGACTCTGGCACGGGTGTTTAGCCACAGACATTCACCAGATATCACACAAATAGGAGTAAACACACAACTATGACTGATGTGAGGAAGCTACATATGCACTACTACGAGCACAGCTTTGGATAGAATGTTACCTATCCTAGGAGCAATGAGAATTCCTTTAAAGGTACTTAAGCTGGGGAAAGGAGAGATTACAATGAACCTTGATTTGCTCAATTGCAAATTTCATAACAACTGGCACACAGATTTCTGAATTCAAATCTATTTTTGCGTACTAAGAAGCACACTGACTCAAACAGACCACCTGCTACATTTGAAGTTCAATGTTCCATCACTTTGTGTGTGCGTGTGTGTAGTCAGTTTTTAAAGCAAAATTAGGTTTGACAAATATTGATTGAACCCCAAATACAGAAAACCACCAGGATAGAAACTGAGGGGCATACGGCCATCCATAAGAACCAAGACAGAGCCTGCAGCACCTCCAGCCACCAATAAGAAATCTCCAGACGGCTTTGCTAAGCCACAACAATGTTGTCTTCACTATTCTTAAATTTTACTCAAATGAAAATTAGCTTCAAGGACATAAGTTAGGTTTCATTTAATGATGCTTGGTTCATTTTATAGCTTAGAGACAGCACTATGCAGAGCACTTGACATAAAGTAGATCCTCATTAAATGTTCACAAAATTACATTTACATTCACAGGAACCAAGTTTAATCTAGTAGTAGAAAAAAGAAAAAAATAACTTTACTCAACGAAGATCTGGCTTACAAGTAAAACAACGAGAGGTAGCCTAGAGTTTATTTTCCTTCCCAACAAGACTGGTGGGCTTTTTAAAAACACAATACCGCTACTGTATTTTAAAAAATACACATTTCATGATTTTCTCTAAGGGAAAATGATTTGAGAAATAAGTAGTGCACTGCACGCGCTATACCCCAAGTTCACTGTAACATCAGCACTTGGGACTTAAAGGAAGATACGTGTTAAATCGTGGTAAATACCTGGGCTGAAGAGAACACTTCTTAAGCTATATGCACATACACAGCTCATTTCTAGCCCAACTATTTCTGATCACCCACACATACTTCCCATCTCAAAAACAAAAATTGAACATTACACCTCGCAGAAACTGTTCAAAACTGCCTTGAAACATATTTACCATGCTTAGAGTACTATATAACTGAAACGCAAGTTCAATTTCTCACAAAAATGTTCTTTTATTATCCTCTTCTAATAGCGGCAAAGTATTCTAAGGTTTTATTCCTAGCATCAGATACAATTATACTTGCACAACTGAAAAATGAAATAAAAATTGCAATTGACTATTCTAAGTTTATATTAGTAAACATTTTTACAAAAATATAAATTACATTGCTTTAGGTTTATATCTTAACTGCAAATGCTTTTCACATCAAATTTTATCCTTGTAGTACAAAATGTGAAAACACATCCAAAAATGATTTTAACACAGATATAATCACAGTCCTGAAAAAGCAAAAAGTATTTGTCAGTGCTTTATAATAACTAGCAGATAAACTACTCCACAGAAGAAATGTATTCAATGACTAAAATCATACATGTCAGCCTTGGGTAATGGATCTAATAAAACTTGACTTTTTAGACAACTGCTTCAAATAGATACCCAATAAATATCATCTAATGTTTTAAAAACAACTAATTTTTAGAACTTGGTAAATAACTTATAGAAACACATTAGCTAAACATAAAGAAATCAGGAAGAACCAGCTTTAGAAACCATGTCATAATTCATAACTACAAGTCAAAGAAATTTCTATAAAATACTCTGAACCTTAAATCCAATAATGTTATTTTTGAATAATCACCTGATTATACATTCACATCCTTCATTTAACCTTTCTGCTAAATGCCATATATAAATGTTATCTACTGAAGTACCAAAGATAAACAGTTAAATAAGCCATTTAGATACTCCCTGAAAATCAGACTATTTAACCTAAATAAGACTACCTCTGTTTTACATATAAATGACATTAAAATTTTATGGTCAGTACATTTTTTCCCCTACACTGTTTAAAAAAAAAAATGTACTCTCTAGTTTAGTAAAACCATGAACAAACTACACACTGAACCAAAAATTCAAATAAAATAAAGTGTATATATTTAAACAAATATAACTAGTTAATGGGCTTTTTCTTCTACCTAAAACATGTTAGAAGAATGGATAAAATTACTGAAGATACAGCAAAGTGTGCATTTCTGTGTGTGTATAAGTGAATGACAGTGTGTGTGTGTGAGAGAGAGAGAGAGAGAATATATGCTTTCTTTTAAAGGTATTTTCAAGTGAAAACCTTCATTTTAAAATATAAAATGAGTGGCTCATTAAGACCCTAGAGGTTCTTTTAAAATACAAGAGATCTCTCATTTTCATTTCCTAGAATTTCACACACAATACACATGCACAAACACACGTGCCTGTGCGTGCATGCACACATACACCCCCCACCTCTCTAATAAAGCAAGGCCCTTTCTCACTAACATAAGGCAATAATAAAATCAATATTCATATTCTTTAAGACGAACGGCATTCCACTGATGATCCTGATTCAACAATTTTACAGTTAAACAAAATTAATTCTACTCTCAAAAATCCACTGACCTTAAGCTTTTAACAAACATTTTCTATTGCAGAGATTATTGTCAATATTTGCAAATCCTTAAAATTATATTTGGCTGGAACCTCTTGCACTTGCTATATTAATATTTCTTAGTAAATGTATGCTCATCCCTATCAAAGGAGAAGGAGCAGCTGCTACTCACTGGGAATCTCTGGGGTCCCACGGCAGGTCTCGGCTGGCTCGGAACTGGTAGCAAGGGCACTGCAAGAAAAACCCCTTGTGTTAGAGACACACTTTACTCAACACTCAAACCCCTGTAAGACAACATATGAAGTTTAATATAAAATATATACTATGCGTACCAGACATATAATACATTGTGCTTACGCTTAAGCTAAGCATTTAGTATTTTTAACAATTCCATAACAGAAAAGGGGAAAGCAGAAGTTTCCTTTTCGGTACACAGCAGTGCAAGCAGAAGTTTAAATCTCAATAGTTGACTATTATTTGGAATTAAAATATTTTGCAACAAAAGAAGATAGTATTCCTCTAAAATAAAAAACCTAGTTTGTTTCTCCTATCCCTATACAGATAATCCAGGTTATCAAATCCCAGTTATATTTTCCTATGCCACTCATATACACATTTAAATCTCAATCCTCATGAATCATGAAAGAGAGAAGGGAGGAAGGGAAGTGAGGCAGGCAGAGAAAGGAAAACAGCACATCCCAGGAATTGGAGAAAATGCTCACAAACTGTTAAAAATTTTCCACTAAACAATCCCCTATGCCAAGGCTTTTAGTTTACTTTAGTTTATAAACAAGCAGGATTTCCATCAATCCACCAGAACAAGGAATCAAATCATTTTTAAAAAGGTATCTCATAATAGAGAAGAAGCTAGATGTAAGTTTCACACCTTGAGGCTAAATCAGATGTGTTTAAGCTCTTTGAAACTCATTATGCACTATACTGATCTTGATTTTCAAAGAAACTCACAATCTAAGTGCAGCTACGTCTTACAGCAAAATGTGCTGGCAGATACACCTAGGAAGCTCTCAGATTGTCAGGTACTGTGGGGCTGAACTGTTTGCAACTCCCTCCCCCCGCCCCCACACCCAACCCCAAATGTATACGTTGAAGCCCCAACCCCCCGTACCTCAGAATGTAACTGGATTCCACTGATTAGGTCTTTAAAAGAGGTAATTGAGGTCAAATGAGGTCTAGGCCCTAACCCAACCCTGGTGTCCTTCTAAGAAAGGGAAATTTAGACATAGACAGTACACACAGAGGGAGGACCACGTGAGGACACAAGGAGAAGGTGGCCAACGACAAGGCAAGGAGAGAGGCCTCAGAAGGAAGCTGCCCTGCCCACACCTCGAACTTGGACTTCCAGCCTCCGGAACTGCGAGAAAATAAGTTTCTGTTGTTTAACTCACCCTATTTGCGGTGCTTGTTACAGCAGCCCCAGCAAACTCGTACACATCAGGTGGAATTGACAACGAAGCATATTTTTTAATTTAAGAAGTTTCTGCTAAATGTGAAATACAGGTGATACCTCTTAAAAGTCCATCAGAATCACTATAAAAACAGGGTGCTATGATAAACTTTTTTTTTACTATGATTACTCAAGGAATTCCATACATTAAGCCTTATAATTGACATCGCACTTCCCACACTTCAATTTCAAGTGATAGCATACATGGCCTGTGTCACTGCTTGATCAAATGCAAAGTGTGACTGAAACAAAACTTACTTTTATAAAATGTAAAAATGGCAGAAGTTCATCCCTTCCTTGACAGACTAATCTAATGAGTCCAAATTTCAAAATTAGAGTGGGTCAGTTTGCAAGACTTTATATAAAATAGAATCCAACTCTCCCCTCAATTCTACACAGCTGATGTTACATCAATTCCATATCTAAAGTGAAACACTAGACTGGAGAAAGTGGAGAAAGAAAAAAACAAGAATATCTCTGACCTCAGAAGATTATAATGAAGGTGACAAAGAAAAACACTACATATTAAATGTAAAGACGTGATTTTTATAATCAAGTTAACAAATATAAGACACCCAGATCTTCACTAACTCGATCATAGGTACCACTTAGAAACTTGGAATTTAAATGCCAATATCTACCAAAACATTCCAACACGATAAAAGGATAAAACATTAAGCCTCTTTAACCAGGAGAATGAGAGCAAGAAGGTGAGGTGGGATTTCTAGAAAGCAATCTGATTATAATAAATGGATTTCTTACACAGAAGCCTCTGATGAGCTGGTAATTTGCACAAAGTACCAGCCTTTTCCCTATTTAAAAAAAAAAAAAAAACAGCAGAAAAGGAAAAACAGCTGACAAAAAGGGTTGCTGCGTGCGGACAGTCCAGTCCCCATGGGAACAGTGCAGACACCTGGCCCACCCAAGAGATGCCACCTCAGTGGGAATACCCAGGCATGTGTCTGCGGGCTCTCCCTGCCAGGCCCTGGCTGCCCGACTACTGCAGCGAAGAATTTAACAGGTGTGATGTTAGAGACCAGTCTAGCTGAAGCTTCAACTTGAATATTTGAAGTTTAATATTTATAACTTGTCCCATGTATTTAATGGACTGTTTTCAATTCATTATAATTATAATACTAAAAACCTGGAAACAAGTTAAATTTCCATCAAAATTGTTTTTAAATAAATTATAACGGAACACTCTTCATCCTCAGAAAGTCTGTGCCATCAGAAGAAGATGTATATATATTGCTAGCTTTTTTAAAAAGCACCTTTCATCTGTGTAAGGCTCTGAGAATCAAAGGTTTAATCTGTGTATCTTTTACCTACAGGAGACATCTTGATATTCAGTCTCTCTCAAGAGGAACTGTGCATTTCTATTTAAGCTCATTCATCTATTAGAGAATAAACAACTGCTTCGAAAGTGTTGCCTATCTACCTAGCAAGAACACTTTGTCCTTCTCTCCTGTGTCAGTGTACCTCTGAAGGTCAAAGGTAAATGACAGATAAGGGACATGCGGCACTAAAGCTCCTAGTTTCATGGTGAGAAAAAGCTAGCTGGTTCTGAGTTTAAAAACTTTTGTCAGAAAGCTGACCTTGGAGTAGTTGCTAAATCACACGTGCGCTTTGGGGTGCAAGGCCTGCATTCTACACTTGCCAGGCTGTTGACTTTTGCAGGGGACACCATTTTCATACATAGAGGATATCTTGGGGCTTCCTGACAGCTTTACCACCCTATATTTCTAAGACTATTTTAGTGAAGCTAAAGAAAATCTGTACGTATTACCAGCTGCCAGCTTTCCACGGCATTTTACAAGGAAATGCACAAGAATAACAGATGCTAGCATAAGCAAAATTATTCCAACAAATTAGACTGACAGCAGTTCCAAGTTCAGGACAACCACTATGGGGAAGATGCAAAGGATTACTTGAAAGAAAGCCACCCTTCCCCATTCAAGTATGCGTGTGTTCATGTCTCCATTCATTCAACGGCTACTGCAGGAGACGTAGGCACCACACCAATCAGCGACGCTCAGGGCCACCTAAGAGGATGTGTGGATGAGCGATGCTAACCAGGGTGGGAAAAACTTTGGGGGAACACAGGGACATGCGATGGGGTCAGGAGGGGTTAGGAGTTAATTGTACTTTAAAACCTTATGCTTCTCTGCCATGCCCAGTGGCCTGGTGGTGACCCGCAGACACTGTCAAGAGGCGCCCCCCTCCCTTACACTCTGGGCCAGCCCGTCACCATCACAGTCCCCTGCTCCATGGCCACAGGACAACTTCATAATACTTCTCACCCACGTATGGGAGGGTCCCAGGATCTAGGCCACTGGCCAATCCCCTGCACTTGAACTACTACCTTAGGCTACTCTCCACTTCTGAAACTTCTCTCCCACACCCTTAGGAATCCCAAATTCCCCACCCATCAGCAGCATCCACCACACCCTTGAGTTCCTTCACCTTCTCGCTCTAATGGCCCCTCTGAGTGGCAGCTGTTCTCCCACAGCTTCTTGCCAAAGGTCTGGAGGTAGAAGGGCTCCTTCTTGATCTAACTGCTGCTTCCAGACCCAGCTTTCATCTCATGCCACCAGCTGACATGCCCCAGCACCACACTGGCCCTCTCATTTCTCAGGGAGTTCAGCTCCAGTCTGAATAAACACAAAGACGGCCCTTGCCGTGCCCTGCCTCAGATCCGTGCCACCTCTGCCTCCAGTCCTGGTGACCATTCCACCCTTCCATCTCACTCCCTCTAGGATCCTGATTCAAACAATCGTTCAACTCTACAAAGATCTCCAATGATCTCCTTTTCACCATCTCAGCCTCCTCCCTGGTGTCTTCTCCTCCCTGGCATCTACCTTATGATCCACAGCCCATCGTTATCAGCACTGCCTTCCCTTTACTACTTTGTGAAAACTATGACCCTCATAAACCCAACTGCCTGCCTATTCCACACCTAGTGTGCGCAGATGAGCGCAGCTGGACAGAGACACACAACCATGCTGACTGCCCTCACCTCAAATCCACACCCCTCAAGGGCTCAGCAGCCCCATCCATCCCTGCGCACATCCACTCTTCGAAAGCACGAACGGATGCTCCAAAGCGCCTCTCCTCAGACCTTCAACACGCCCTCCTACCTCCCCACTCTAGCTCCCTGCTACCCACCGAGGAAACTGAGGCCACCAAGGAAGAACTGACACAAGACTCCTCCACCTGCCCATCCATCTGCCCCAGCTGTGGAGGACTCCCTGCTCCTCCCCCTCAGCAAGCCCACCTCTGGCACGTGGTCCTGGACAAGACAAGTTTTTCCTCTCATCTGCATCAATGATGTTTTTCCTTCTTAACTAGCTCTTTTCTGTAAGTGCAATGAATAAAAAACTTAGAATAAAAAACTTTCTCTCAAGCCCACTTGGCTCCCATCAATTATCATCCAACTTCTGTTTTAGCAAAACACAGTCAAAGTCTGTCAATACAGTGGCCTCAAGTCCGTGCCCCATCTCAGCCAGGCCTGTGCCTCCTCCTCACCAGCCCCGCCCCAAGTGCAGGCCACACCCACTGACCCATTGGCAGCAGCCCTGCCAGCCCGTGGCCACCTGCTTCCTTCCCCATCGACCGTCATCCTCCTTCCTCCCTCTCGGCTCCTTTGCCAGGCTCTCCTCCTGCCCCCATTCCCACGTCGAGTGCCGGGGTCCCAGTCCTTGGCCTCCCTGACGGGTTCTCCTCCTGCCCCTCCCCCTCCTGTGTCAAGTGCCCTAGGTCCCAGTCCTTGGTCTCCCCACACACAGACTCCCTCCTCCAGGGCTCTCATTTGAGGGCAGGGTCTAAATCCACCTATTCACCAACAAC
The DNA here is from genome assembly GCF_000001405.40 of Homo sapiens. Taxonomy (NCBI): domain Eukaryota; kingdom Metazoa; phylum Chordata; class Mammalia; order Primates; family Hominidae; genus Homo; species Homo sapiens. Next base: position 155,713,304 of record NC_000007.14, on the reverse strand, counting down.
CTCCTGACCTGTACTTTGAGCCCAAACCCCTATACTGAATTCTCATCCAACTGCCTACTAGACCCCTCCACTCACATGGCTAGTTGGCATCTCAAATTTAATGCACCCAAAACAGAACTTTTGATCTCCCCACCTCAGGTGATGGCAACCAGACCAGCCCTCTAAATGCTCTGGTCACCTGGGCATCACTCTTACCTCCTCTCTCCCTCTCACACTCATCCAATCCATCAGCAAATCCCATCGGCCCCATCTTCCTACTTCATCCAGCTCTGAGCTCTCTGCACTCTCCCTGCTACCACACTGGTTTGCACCAGGATCATCTGTCACCTCCTAGCTAGACACCAGCTTCCACCCTTGCCACCCGACAGTCTCCTCTCAACACGGCAGCAAGAGGAATCTTCTAAAACATACACAAGGTCACGTCATTCCTCTGCTCAAACCCCTCTAATCCCTGCCCATTTCACTCCCTGCCAAAGTCCTGAGAATGGCTGGATGGCCCCACGGCCCCACGGTACCCAGGTTCTGCATTTCTTCTCTGCTTTGATCACTCCACAAAAGTCACGCTGGTCTCCTTTTGGCTACTCAAACACACAAGGCAGGGTCTCTCCTGGAGGAAGCCCCCTTATACTTGCTGATCACTCTGCCTGCAATCTTCTTCCCTGAACAGCCACATTGCTAACTTACAGATATCCCTCAACTCTTTCCTGCTCAGTGAAGTTCACCCTGATCACCCCATTTAAGATACAACCCATCCCTTCCCCGCATCCTGCTCAATTTCTCACTGCATTTTCATCTTCTAACATGCCACATAAAATACTTATGTTTACTGCTAATAAACAATAATAAGACTGTCTGATAGAAAGTAATATCATGGTTGAAGAAAGCTTTGTCTGGTTTGTTCGTCAATATAACTCAAATGCCAAAAATAGAGTAGTAGCTCAATAAATGTGTGTGTTCACAGGTACATGAAGTTAAAGCTTCGTATAAACTGCTCAAAAACCGTTTCCTAGCTTAAGGAACATGTTTCAGTAATAATCAGATCTGTATTTATTTGATTACAACAACTAAAAGATGGTGTGTCCCCTCTCCACCAGCTGACACTGGAATTGAAGGGGGGCATGCTGCCTGGAACCAAAGAGGGACACTCACCACTGCAAACATCCTCACCGGGAGACTTACAAAGTGTCACAGTTCAGGCATTCCAATAGCGGTCTCTAGTGTATTCTTTGCATTCAGACTGTACTCTCAGCACTTTCCACTCAATTATACAATAAGAGATACACATTTTTAAAGAAATATACTTGACCCATCAAACTAAAATCTAAATGAATGGGGAAGAGCCAAGGAAAACTCAATCTTACAAATTTGAATGTGAAAACTATTTTGCCGCAGAGACGGCTTCAGTGCAATAAACTAATAAATGCCTTCAGATGCACAGTAATCTATAACATAACAGATGCTCCTCAACATAGGATGGGGTTACATCCCAATAAGGCTATCGTTAGTGGAAAAGACCCTTAGTCAAAATGCATTTAATATGCCCAACCAATGAAACATCATAGCTTAGCCTCACCTACCTTCAGCTCAGAACACTCACATCATTGCACAGTTGGCAAAATCATCGGGGCTGGGAACCGCAGCTCCCCCTGCCCAGCTTCGAGGGAGTTTTGGGATGCATGTTGCTACCCCAGGAGAGATCAAATCTCAACATTCGAACGATGATTTCTTCTGAACGCATACTGCTTTCACACACTCATGAAGTCAAAAACGCGTCAGTGGAAAAATCCTAAGTCAAACCATTGGAAGCTGGGGCCATCTATGCTTTACAATAGTAAAAGGAAACACAGACCTTGAACAGGCGTGACCACCGTCCCTTTGAAGTGCGGGTTGATGTGTATGTTCTTGGGCTGCTGTGGAGTCACGGGTGGCGGGGTCATCATCATCCTTGGGGTCTCTAGCTGGGGAGGCATGTGCATTCCCTGAGGCGGGGATGGGTGGTGCGGGTGCTGCACCGGAAGCAGCGGCTGCAGCGGCTGCGGCTGGAACAGGCTTCTGATCGGCTGCTGCTGAGGCGGCGGTGGCGGTGGAGGGGGAGCCTGGGGCTGTGGAGGAATTAACCTTGGAGAATGAGTCTACAAATCACAAAAAAAAAAACAAAAGTTCACCGAAATCAACATTTAAAAGAATGCTGATGTGTTACAAATTTACACTGATTGCATTTTTTAAGTTACAATGTAAGAAGTCTGTAGTAACAACTTGTATCAAAACAGCAGGATAAAGAAGCTTCTCTACTTCTTCACAATGAGGGCTACAGTCTCACAATTGAGTCAATCCCCACGCAAGAGGGAAAACAGCCCCAAAGCACCCAGTGTGAATTTTGAAAAAAAAAAAAAAAATTCAGTTCAGGGAATTGAACTGCCCACACTGAGCAAAGCCCTGTGCCAGGGACAGAAGAGCAGCTGCCACAGCCCTCCCTGTAGCAGCCTTGCATCCCCCTCCAGGAACTCTGGTAAGCAAGGCAGGAGATGTGCACCAGTTACCCTGCTCCAGAACTGAGGCCTGAGAACAGGACAGGGCCACAAAGAGCCTCCAGGAGAGGCTGGGAGGGAGCTTCTCTGAGAGGGTGACACCTGAACTCGGTGATGAAGAAGAGAGAGGTGCAAGGCAGAGTGAGGGACAGATACCCAGAAAAAAGCAGAAGCAGCACAGACCCACCTGCTTAGTAAAATCAGGAGACCAGGGAAGAAGGCAGGAAAGAAGGTAAGAAAATTACACACTCAAAGTGATCAGAGATCTCAATTCGAGGGTGGTTATTTTATCAAACAGTCACTAGAGAGGAAGAAATCAACAACTGCAACAGCTGCCGTGGACTAAATCTTCCCCACATTTTAAGTTCCTACTATACGGTCAGTAGAGAAAGTCAGCTGACCTAGCTCCCCACAATCCTATAAACTAGGTCCTATTTACTGACCTCCTTTTACAAGATCAAGTAGCTGGAAAGGAGAAAAGCCGGAACTGGAATTCAGGCCATCTGATTCCACAGGTTTTGCTTTTAATCACTAACCAAACTGACGACACAGCTAATTAGCAGTAGACCACTACTTATTCAGTTGTCTAATTTAACAAGCATTTTCCCTGAGATGATGCCAAATTACGGAGGGCTTCTAAATTCCAAGTAAATGATCCATTACTATGCCACAGAGACAACACGTATAATAAGGGATCACGAATGATCTCTTTGGTAGGAAAATGATCATTCACAGCAGTGTGAGATGAACGAGGGTAAAGAAGACGGAAGGAGACCATCTAATAGGGAATGGTGAGAGATGAATCAATGGAAAAGCCATAGTCTGACAAAGAGCAAGAAGACATCTCAGAGGAACAATGAGTAGAATTCTAAAACTAATCTGTGAATGGCTTTGGCCCACCTATCCTTCCTCACAGAAGACGTTTCAAAAGATTCTGGTACCAGCTCACATCCACTAGCACACATGCTCCCAGAATGCAGTATGTTTCCCCCTCCTTAACTCATCACATCTGTGCACATTTGCCCATGAGAGTAGGGATCTTGTCTATCTTACTCACCATTGTATCCCACAGACAGCACACTAACAGACACAGGGACACCCAAGTTAAATTTTAATTGAACTGAGAGTGACCACAATGCATGGTCATTAATTCAAGACCACAGAGTTCTGAGGGAAAGATCATGTTTGTTTGATTAAACAAGTGACATTCAGGGCCTGTGAAACATGTGTCTGGAGAGGTACAGGGACAGTTGGGAGATGGAGAAAATGGAGCTGGAAAGAGGTTAGGCTAGAGACTAAGACTCACTGAGAAACAGTAGGTGACAGCAAGAGGAACAGTGCTGGGGAGACCACTGAGGAAAAGGAGGACGAGAACAAAACCTGAAGAAAAATGCAGTTAAAGAAAAGGCATTTCAAAACTGTTCAAAGAGATTTTCAATGCTCAATACCAAAAACCAGGAAGTATTTAAGGGGATGCCAATGTTAATTAGCTTTTTATAATCCATCCACAACATATACATACTGTAACAGTGCACTGTACCTCATAAACATATGCAATATATTTATGCATATATTATGTTTAATTTGGAAATAAAAAGGAAGTTTAATAAAAGTTTAATTTGAAAATAAAAAGGAAGGTCAAAAGGGAGAAAGAAGAAATCATTCTAGAAGATAAGAGAGTACATCCAAAATCTCGTAAGCCCAAAAAAGAGCTGCTCAAGACAAAGAGACCGTGTGATGCCCAAGGCCCCAGAGTGCGGTCCAACAGGACAAGGGGTCAGGTGGCATCTCTTGAGGGCACCATTCAGGACAGGGAACAGAACGGAATCCAGGCAGGAAAGAGCCAACCAAGGAGAAAATGGGTACAAGCAGAGACATGAGCCAAAAATATTCTTTCCAAAACTTTGGGGGTCAAGACTCAAAGAGACAAAATAGCTCTGGGATGGGGAGTGAATAGGATGGAGAAAGCTTATGATGTAACAGAACGCAGTTGGAGCGGAGGATACCACAGTCCTGATCTCATCACTGATTAGCAAAGACGAGACTATTGCTTACAAAGCTGTGTCAGTCTTAGGGCAGCTGTCTAGTTTACTCCTAGTACACAGTAGGCTCTAACAGTCCAAATCAGTCACATTACAATCCAGAGATACAACGTCACCATCAGGATTGAGGACAACTGAATATCCATGACATTTCTAAAAGCATTCACGCCATCTCAGTTCAGCCTCTCTAAGGAGGCAGGTGAGAGATACGTGCTCTTCCCTTCTTTGTGGGTAAGAAAACAGAGCTCAACAACTTTTCCAGGATCAGAGACACAATTACGTAAACACTGGCCTCGTATGAGAGTTGTTTGGCCCCGAAAGAGGCCAAAATAATCAAAATGGCTATTCAACATATGGCCAGTGGAGGTTTGCGGCGGAGACAGGGAGCAACGAAGGGAAAAAAGACAAACTGTAAATCCAGCCTTTCTGCTGTTAGAGATGCTCAAAAACAAAACAGCTGTATAAGCAAACAGCAGTTCCTCGTATCATCAAATTGTGTATGCCTACCTACTCCTCTCCCTTTACATATCAGAGTTGGAATTCTCATGCTAAAACAAAAATTATCTCTTCTACTTTGTTATTTCACAAATGAATGGCTCCTGAAATATAATATTTCAACAGAAGTGAAATGTCGTTTTCTCTAAATTCAGATAAAAATGTAAAAACGGCATGTGGTAGACACAGTGGACACATATTTGTATTAAGTAAATTTTTCCTTGAAGACTGACTTCTAAGTAAAAAGCCATACAATCCCTAAAACTTAAATGAAAGAATAGGTTGGGCCCAGTGGCTCACGCCCGTAATCCCAGCACTCTGGGAGGCTGAGGCAGATGGATCACTTGAGGTCAGGAGTTCGAGACCACCCTGGCCAACATGGTGAAACCCAGTCTCTACTAAAAATATTTTTAAAATTAACTGGGTGTGGTGGTAAGTGCCTGTAATCCCAGCTACTAAAGAGATTGAGGCAGGAGAATCGCTTGAACCCAGGAGGTGTAGGTTGCAGTAAGCCAAGATCATGCCACTGCACTCCAGCCTGGGCAACAGAGGGGAGACTCTGTATCAAAAACAAAAAAAGAACAAAAAAATCAATAATTTCTGTCTTTGTTTCTGAGATGTGCCATCTCTGAAATACAAACGAAATTCTAATTGAAATTACAGGTACATGATTTATTCCTAAACTACAGACTATGAAAGCTTTGTATGGAGGACATGTTAATAATTCTGAGAAACTGCCATTTAAGGAAAAAATCTATGGTAAACAGTAAAAAGGTAAAGATATTTTTATAAAATAAACAACTTCTGCCTAAATTCTATCTGTAATAACATCTCTCAAATGTAATGCACTCAGAAATACCTCTCTAGAGGCTTTAGGTAGCAAGGTCCAACAGCTTATGTCATCTTAGGGCATCAGGTCGCTCATTAATTCCTCCTCTGGAAGTATCTGTGGTACAGGATGATTTCTTACTACCAGATGACTGGAGTGCTGAATTTCTAAGACTATATGCAACATCACATGAGACTATAAAGCAGAAACTTCAGCCATTACCCCTGCTACTAACCTTTCATTTCAGACTAAGAAGAGAGAAATGTATACTAGGATACCCACAAAAGCTTACTGCCATTTGTTCTGAAGTTCTAGGGCTACTACAAGAAAATCTGAAGTTACCACGACAGGAGGCTGTGTAGGAAGCAGCGCAGGTCTGTGGTCCTTCATCCTGCCCCTCTCGGTGCTCTCTCTCCTCTGGTCCCCCACACCACGACACATCAGCGGACCTCCTCGCCGTCCTCCCCGCCTGGAGCTGTAGCGTCCTTGTTTATGCTGTCGCTCCCTTTCTTCAAATTCAAGCAATGCTGCCTTGGCCTCTGCTGAAAGCTCTATGTGAAAAAATGTGTATGTGTTAGTTACTTTCCGAGAGCCCAAACTGGAGGTCTAGGGAGAGAACAGGAAAGAATGATGTGACAATGAAACTCTGCCACAGCATGTGCTTCACCCGCAGGAAACACCCAACTAGCAGCGGCAAGTACGATACAACCAGCAACACACACAACCCACTAGTGAGATCTGATAAATAAGAACAGGCTTTCCGTTATGACACAATGCAAGTGTTAACAGTAAATTTTAAATTATTTTCATCGGAGACCACTGATATGTGCTGACTGAGGCTAAAAAGCAGCTGAAGTGAAACGTAGCCACTGCCCTCACACGACAAGGCATTTTGCAGTCCCATCCTTTTTCCCCCCGAGACAGAGTCTCACTTTGTTGCCCTGGCTAGAGCACAGTGGCGTGATCTCTGCTCGCTGCAACCTCCACCTCCCAGGTTCAAGCAATTCTCCTGCCTCAGCCTCCCAAGTAGCTGGGACTACACAGGTGCACACCGCCACGCCGGCTGATTTTTTTGCATTTTAATAGAGACGGGGTTTCACCATGTTGCCCAGGCTGGTCCCGAACTCCCGAGTTCAGGCAATCCATCCGCCTCAGCCTCCCAAAGTGCTAGGATTACAGGCGTGAGCCACCGCGCCCAGCCTGCAGTCACACCTTTTACTGATGGTGCATGACATCAGTCAGAAGTTCTACCAGTCCTACAGCAGTATGATTTTCTTACTGAAGCCAGTAGAGCTATTAATAGCATACGATGGCACATAGACGCAAGAACACAAATTCCCGATCATTCTCACTTAAAAACAAAACTATTAATGAACTCATTCCGAAGTCAAGGTGATTTCATAAAGAATAAAAAGCTCAATTTAATACATATCATTTCAATTTTTTGTATTTATTTTCTTAAAACTTTACTGTGAAGCCTTCTCATATGCATGCAGACTGACAGAGAAGCCAAATCAAATGAGAGCAAAGTCACATGAGAAAACACTCATGCAAACACGTGTGGAGTGTCCAGCAGCTGCTCACTGCTCTGCCCAATGCTTTAGGGATACAGAAAACATGGGCACTGGCCCTAAGAAACTTCAGATGCCACATTCTTCTAGGTTCCTAAAGGGAAACGAAAATGATTTAGCCACATATGGTCCTTTTACAACACTAGCTAAATTGGGACAACAGATCTTACACCACATTTTCTAAAAATGTCACTGAGTACATTATACCAAGACACCTTCTCCTGCCTTCTTCCCCAGCCAAGGGTACGCTTTCAATATTACCAGAGTCTACCTTCTACCTTGGATCCCATCATCATCTCCAAACTCCTCCAAAATCTCTAAGTCACATTTTTCTTGAAATTGTTTATATGGTACCCCTCTCTCCTTCAAATAAAACTAGACCCCATTTGAAAGAAAATTTAATCTCTTCTTAACCAGCATAGACTTTTATTCTAATCTTGACTACATGATTAGTTCACACACACATTTTACGCAGTGAATCAGCAATTATTTTTCTAGTGGTTCTGAGTGTCAAGATTAATTTCACTATCCTCAGTAATAAAATGGTTTCAAATGACATCTTTAATCAGCAAGTAAAAATGCTTTCCTCCAATTGAGACAAGCTGTCACAAAAGGTCACCAAAATATGACAGGATGGAAATTACATTTGTAACTTCAACTGAAATGTTAATTTCCCTTTAAGTGTTTTCTGAACTATGTCCAGATTCTAAAGAGATACATACCTCAATGTAACAAAGTTTACACTGCACTGTCCCTTTCTAAAATGTTAAGAAAAATATATTTGCATGCAAATAATTTTATAATAGTTGAAATACATATAGAATACACAATTTGTTTGGCAAAATAAAAATAACAAATGACAGTCTGACTTTTTTTTAAAAGACAACTGAATCAAGAAAATTTTAAAGGCCCTGCAAATATAAGGACCATTAAGTATAAACCCTTGAACAGTGAGCTATTGCTGGCATTAGCAATTCTGAATTGTTTGTTACTACCGAGAAATCTCTTTCCCACAGATCCTCTGAAATTAATGATATTATTTCAAGAGAATATTCTGTGGGTGTACAAGCAGGTTCTTTAGGCTACAGCAATAAAAAAGAACATGTAACACGTGCCAATGAAACTCGGAATAAAATAATCTGGAAGCCTACTCACAGATAATGAATTAAAAATAAATGCAGTCTTTCTAACTAAAATAAATGCAGTCTTTCATTTATGGCTTACATTGCTTTCTAAGGCAATCCAAGGGCCACCTCCTAGACGAAAAGAGAGCTCTCAACTTGCAGGACTGGCAATTGGGGGACACTGGTCAGTGACACCATCTTCAGAAATGGCGACTGGCATTTTCACAGTGAACCATTCCTTACACATGCCTACTCTGTAGCCCGGCTCAACTGAGCTCCAGGAGGGAGTTCAGCACTTACACCCTACAACATCCTCTGTATGTAATGAATTAATTTATTTCCTAGGTATGTAGTTCTGTATCGTCCTTGGGAAAACCGAGAACACTGTCACTCAAATCTTTTTCTGTAAGGTTTAATTTCCACAATCCTGATAGAGCAAAAAAAGCTAGTCAATTAAGATCTTAACCTAGATGAAAGCCCAGAATTCTACTTCTAATCCAACCTGCATTCAAAATACCAATCAACAACTGTGCATAAAACTGTTCCTTAACTGCTGAGGCTGTCATATATATGAATGTTTTTCACAGAGATGTGAATGTGAAAAAAGACTAAAAGTAACCAAAACTCCCTCCTAGATTGGAAGAGAACTCGTTTCACATGTAAACTTTTAGAGTCAGAAATTGGGGATACCAGTGCATCATTTGATTCTCCCTCTTAAAGAATGAAGTGTTCTCAACACTAACAATATCAGCGAAAACAAAAAAAAAAGTACACCTCATATAAGACAACAGGTACTCTGGTGGCAAGATATTTTAATCCCATTACAGAGTAGGCAAACAGCTTTACACAATCAAATAATTATTTCTACACAGAACCTGAGACTGTTCAGGTTTTTTTATTTTGATCTCTAGGAGCACACAAATAAACTGATGTGTAAAAATGTATTCAAATGTCTAGTTTACCAAATACTGAGGCATTATCTCTTTTTCAATATATATTTCCTCAGATGTAAAATTCATCTTTTGTTTGGGGGGAGGTACTGAAGGTAACAAGAGAATTCACTGTTTTAGGAAACCAATCTTTTGACGGACAGAAAAATCCTCCTTTGTGTTGGGAAAAATCCTAACTTTACAGTTATCTGAAACTCATGTTTCCAAGCACCAAGCTTTCTTAAGTAATACGGAACAGAAAAAGGTACTTTTAACTATGGTTTCACCTGCCCTATCATCTTGCCAAACAACCACATTCTACAAAAATCCAGTTAAGTGCTTTTTTATTGTTTCTGAGAATGGTCACTAGTCAAGCTGTATATGTTTATAGCTACTCTGCCTCTAAGGGTCTCATACTCTTCCCCCATAATTCCAAGGAGAGGACTTGCCCACCACAAACCAACCTTTCCAGCTTCTTGTCCCAGAATTACATGAACACAAAGTTTCCAGATGCCTTAAAAAGCAAAACAGATTTAATACAAGTTATTTAAATACACGAAATTGTCAATGACCTTGGAAAGAAAAAAATGAGGGAAAAGTCCTGAGAAGAAGGAGATGCAGGACTGAAACAGACACTAAGCACACATGCAAGCTGGCCATCACTGCAGAACAAGGATGTTACTAGTGGTTGGGTGGAGGGACAATGAACAGGGATGAGATAACGCAGCTGGAAACCAGGGAGGTGGGAAAGGCAGAGAGGCACCACAAATCAGGGCAGGGTGGTACAGAAGAGGAAAGACGAGCCATGAAATCCACAGCCAGCCCACAGGGAGCAGACTACAGAGTTGGGGAAAGCCCCCATTTGTAATGTTGTCTAGCAAGTGAATTAATAGTCTTAGAACTTGTAGCTACCTGGGGAGTTCTCAGTGACTATGCTTTTATACATCATGTTTTAAATGTATGTAATCAAAGCCACAGCCCAGATAACAAGACCCAACAAAAGAAGCAGTAGTGATGACTAATCCTTCTCTTCCTCCATCCCTCCCCAGTTCAGGAAGCTTTATGCCTTCCAGGTGGTGGCTGTGGGTTGCCCTTAGAATTCCTTAGTATTCTGCCAGGTATGGAGAGCTTTCCTTTGTCCATCTCATCTCAAGCCAAGACTGACATGTCTCTGCTCAAGTAGACTGTTCTGTGATATTACCAATTCCTCCTGTTGATGTATTTTGTTTATTTTCATCCTTCTGTTTTAAGACCTTCGCTCCATCTTTCACCTAAGGCCAATGCCAGACTCTATTTCTTAGAAATTAAAGATGCTTCTAAGAAATCTGCTTCAGCTCAACTGGCAACTTCATATCATAACTTGAAAAAAGTCTAGGGAAATCTTGGGCCACAAGATGGAGTAGTAGTAAACTAGACCACAAAGAAAAAGAGAACAAAGATTCTAGAAGAATCTCTCTGAACAATCTTGCCTAGTAAATTAAGATAATATTGGTTGACTACTGCTATCTTGTGCATCTTTGAAGCTTAGTGTCCTCCCACAGAATTCGTATCTGCTACTTAAAGATACAGGCTCATGTTTTGGACAAAAAAAAGACTATGAATAATGGTTTTAAAAAGTAATTAATCATGAAAGGTAAGTCTTGATTCTTATCTAGACCAAGACCAGATGGCAGGCAGAGCCCCTGTGTCCTCCTGCCCTCCTGCCTGCCCTCCTCCTTGGAAGGACAATATCCCAGTGGTTCTGGAAGCACCAGTGCAGGAGCAGCATTGCATGGGAACTCATTAGAAATACAACTTTCTAGGCCAAGAGCGGTGGCTCACGCCTGTAATCCCAGCACTTACGGAGGCTGAGCCGGGTGGATCACTTGGTCAGGAGTTCAAGACCAGCCTGGACAATATGGTGAAACCCCGTCTCTACTAAAAACACAAAAACTAGCCGGGTGTGGTGGCACGCACCTGTAGACCCAGCTACTCGGGAGGCTGAAGCAGAAGACTCAGTTGAACCTGGGAGGCGGTGGTTGCTGTGAGCCAAGATTGTGCCACTGTACTCCAGCTTAGGCAACAAAGCGAGACTCTGTCTCAAAAACAAAACAAAAAAAATACAACTTTTTTGGGCTCTACCCTATATCTAATCAATCAGAGAAGCTGGGAGCAGGTCCCAAAATCTGTGTTTTAACAAGTCCTCTGAGATTCTAACGCTCACTCAAATTTGGAATCACTGCTTTATTCCTTGCAGTGGACATTGAAAAACACTGTATAATGAGGGGTAGGGTCGCTATTAAAAGTCTCCGTGAATCAGCAGCAGTCTGTAGTAGACCTTTCACACAGCAAGCTTTGCTCAGAGTGATTATTTCTATAAACGAGTCAACTTGTCTCATTAAAGTCAGAGGAACTGCAGAAAACACAAAAAAAGATATAGCTATGAAGACACTAAAAGGTACAAAATATAAACCGGTCTTGTCCAGAATTCGCCCTGACAACCTCAGGGTCTTGGGAAGGGTCAACCTGGCCCCATAGCTACCATCCCCATGCCACCTTTTCAAGACCAGCCAGGAACCACAGCATGTACAAGAGCAGCTGTAGGCCACAGACTCAAAAAAAAATTTTTTTTAATTATCTTAAACATTTTATTCAAGCATTTTAAATCCATAAACAGCAATGATTTTAAAGAATGAGTTTTACAGTACCATAAACAGCACTCACTCCAAAGTCCGGCCACTCTCCGGACGGCAGCCGCAATTACCTAGTCAACCTTCTTTGCCTACTTTGATTAATTACAGCAATACTATGGAGGAAGTTGAAATGAGAGTAAAGGAGGATGGGAGACAGGCAAAAAAGTTACCCAAAGTTTCTGGAATGTTCCTTCTCTCTCTAGTTACATCTGAGAGCCTAATAATTGTTCCTTCTTTCCTTTCAGTTTTGAAACGTAATCGTCCAGATTCTTCATCATCTTCTTCTTCTTCATCTGATTCTTCTTTGATGTCCTTTTGAAGTTCCAATGTTTCCATACCTCCCTATATTGCAGATACACAAGGCAAAAAAAGGACAGTAAGTTCATATTCTTTTGAATTAAATATTAAAGAATGCTAAAATATTTAATTGTTTATATTTCAGATGTAAAAAATACTGCAAAATGTCCTGTTAAAAGGCCACATGAAACCCTAAGCTGACTCCAGGAGAAAATAACCTTAAACATTAACAGTTAATGTTCAAAAAAAAAAAAAAAAAAAAAAAAAAAAAGGTCAAATTCTTGCTTGCAATTAATAGACAAAGTCCTACACATCATTGCTGCTTACACGTCTGAAAATAAACAAATTCCAAAAATTCCTGCTGGACTTATTGCTTTGAGTTTAATACAGATCATAGTGAAATTCAATGTATTAATTAAACTAACACTAAAGTTCTATGAGTTTATTGTAACTTAAAGGCTCAACATTTTATAACTCTGACCCCACCTACCTTCCCCTTCACTGCCAGACAAGCAGTCCAAATGTGCCGTTCTACTGATGTAGCCTCCAAAATCCTTTCATCATTTCTCACTCCTTTTTACTTCAATCTCACTGTCTAGAGTTAATTTATCACTATCTTTGACTGAGACTATTGAAAAGGAGAAACTTTTTTTCTTCAGTCATGTCGTCACACTAAAACCAGCTTTTATCTGAAATTTTATTATATCAGTATTCCCTACAAAAATTTTCCCTAACCCCAGCCCAAATTAAAAGTAATTTCTTTGTGGACAATTCTTACTGCCAAGTATCACTCATGTTCCTAGTGAAAGAATCACCTCTCACCTCAGATCAGTCTCTGTGACCCACTCTTAGACATAAAATAAGTACCTACAGAGAGCAAGGTTAATTTAGATACTTTTTATCAATGTAAGGAGAATATATTTGCTCCTTTAGTCTCATGATTTGTAATATGTAAATGTTATTTACTCTTAATAGAAGTAACAGTGAACTTTATTAGAAAATGCACAAGAAAAAAATGAAAACAAACCAATGACACAATCATTTTATATTCTTGCCTTTTTCAGTATTTTCTGTGTAAAAAGACCAACTACAAATGCACACTCTACTATAAATCCTCCCAGTGGAAAAAGATCTTTCGGAGAGCAAATGCCTGAACAGCAGGAGATGACAGTAAACTACAACTTTCACCTTAAGCCTGACAATTACAATACCCCCACTCAGTATGCTGACGTCCAGCATACCGTAGAATTTTAAAGTACCAAAATCTCAGGATTTTTGCTGGTTTGATACCGTTATTTCTGTACTACTGAGTGTTTGAAATCAGAATGGATGCCTGCAAGGTACGTGCTGCACCACACTTCCCAACAGAACCAAAGCCAGCTTCCTTAGGACGTCTATTCTCCGCTCCCATGATGCTCTAGAGCAGCACTTCTCCAATTCAATGCCCAGTCATCAGTGGGAATCATGTTGAAAAGCAGATTCTGACTCAGCCGATTCAGGATGGGGCCTGGGGTTCTGCATTTCTAACAAGCTCCCAGGTGACGCCAACATTTCAGGTCCACAGACTACACTGAGTAGAGTAGCAAGTCCAAAAGGGAGGAAAAGAAATCACTACCAACAAAGCAAAGATTCTACAAAGTCATCTTCAATTCAACTATTAACAACTGTAAGCACAGTTCAAAGACTTTCCAAACAAGTTTAATGTAAAACAAGACAGCACGGAAATTAATATAGCTTATTCTGCATCCAAATCTCCATCTAAGAAATCTAAAGAGGATAAAGATGAGTTGAAAATTGTTTCTTCCTAGATATTTACCCTAGAGAAATGATACCTTATGTTCAAATAGACCTATAGGAAAATGTTTATTCTATTCAGGATCACTACAACTGGAAACACTTAAATGTCCTTCAATGAATGAATGGATAAACTCTTGTACATCCAAACCACAGAATGCTACTTCGCAATAGGTCTATTGACATAACAGGGATAAAACCATAAAGGCATCATTATACTGAGTAAAACAAGTCAATCTCAAAGGGTTATACACTGCAATGATTCCATTTATATGATATTCTCCAAGGAACAAAATTACACTGGTAACCAGTGGTTAGGAAAGAAGGAAAGGTATGGCCACAAAAGGATAGCACAAGGAATATTTTTGAGTGATGGAACCATCCTAGAATGCAAACTTCTGGTCCAAATCTTGGGGCTCAGTTAATCCTTGAACTACATCAAAGATTAGGGAAACTAACCTGACAAACCACCAAACACGGCTGATAGCACTTGCTTAACTGCAGCCCATTTGACAACATCCACTAAGCTAGACTTAATTCTTCAGCCTCTTATTCTAAATATGGGGCTTAAAAAATCCATCCCCCTTCACCATATGGTTTAGAAAACTAACCTGTCTACCAAAACGTTGACCTCCTGTATAATTTTTTTTTTTCCCTGAGATGGAGTCTTGCTCTGTTGCCCAGGCTGGAGTGCAGTGGTGCGATCTCAGCTCACGACAACCTCTGCCTCCCAGGTTCAAGCAATTCTCCTGCTTCAGCCTCCCGAGTAGCTGAGATCACAGGCGTCCACCACCACGCCAGGCTAATTTTTGTATTTTTAGTAGAGACGGGGTATCACCATGTTGGTCAGGCTGGTCTCAAAATCCTGACCTCGTGATCTACCGACCTCGGCCTCCCAGAGTGCTGGGATTACAGGCCTGAGCCACCACGCCTGGCCTTCTGTATAATTTTTAACAAATATTACCTAGCATGCCATTGACAAGCTACATTCCACTGATGGGTAGTGTGCTGCTACAACATAAAAATCAAACTATCCTAAGATTATGTTGTGTAAACATTTAAATGTGCATGTAAATCTTTCATTTCACTATAGACATTGACAAAAATAGTCAAAGGTTTGATTTTTAGTTACTGATTTATTGTGAAAACCTGAAAGATTTATTTTTAATCCTTAATACAGACTGCATATGAAAATCACCATCAAAGTACTTAAAAAAACAGAGAGGTCCACTTAGGCTTTATTTCGTAAATGTAGAAAGAACTGGAAAAGCAAAGAGGGAAAAATACTCAGACTTGTATATATTTTGAAGTTCTCCAGCTAATTCTGAAATGAAAGTATGATCTCAGTGTTCTGAAAGAAAATTCAATATTCTATCCCAAAATCTAAACAGAAACAATGGGTAGTTCTCTGAAACACATACACCACACACACACACACACAAATCTATATATATAGAGAGAGAGAGAGTGCAAAAGAGAAAACATTGCTTACAAAAAGCTCACTAAGTTTTTAATGCTTATTGATAGAATTATTGATACATCATCAAATAAAAATGAAAGTCATTCTACCAACAGTGAAAATTTATGGGTTGGAAAGACTAAGCAAACTGTGCAAAAATTAGAAGAAAAAGAATTACAGACCAGTGTCCTTCATTAATACAGAAACAAAATCTTTTTTAAAAGTAAAAGTACACGGAATCTCACCAAATATAAAAAGGATAATACATCACAACCAAGTGGGGTTTATCCAGAAACATGACGTTAACACTCAAAAATCAGTCAAATCTTACCTGAAGAATTCCAAATCTATGGAGATACTCCTCCTCCTCCTCCTCCAGGAGGTGGGGCTTAAGTTGCTTTCCTCCCCTCTCCCCAGAACCCCATCCCTTAAGGTAGCCTACACTTAGTGACTTGTTTCCAAAGAACTGAATAAGGAAAGAGAAAGCAACATTACAATGAAGAAAACTGGCAGACACTGCTTGACCCAAATGACCAAGGTGGGCATTGCCAGGGGCGTTGTGGATGTCATGCGCCCAGTGGCACAAGGGTTCCATAGTGTTCTTTCCAAAATCCACAACCTCAAGCTAATCATGAAAAAAGCGTCAAACAAACTGAGATTGGGAGACATCATACAGCATACTCGGCCAGCACTTCCTAAAGCTGTCAAGGTCATGAAATACAGGGAAACACTAAGAAACTGTCACACAACAAAGGGGAATGGAGAGACAACGATGGGTTATGTGGCTTGGGTCCTAGACCAGTGAGAGGTCATGAAGAGAAAAACCAGTCAAATGGAAATAAAATCTGGAACATGGTTCATCATTTTTTTAAGTTAATTTAATTCACAATAAGGAATAAAAGCCATATAATTATCTCAATAGATGCAAAAAAGAAGCATCAACAAAATTCAATACCCATTTCTGATTTTTAAGAAAATCCCAGCAAACTCAAAATAGAAAAGACCTTCTTCAATCTGATATAAAAACGTACAGCTAGCATACTTAATGATGAAATAAACATTTTCCCCCTAACATCAGGAATAGGTAAGAATGTCTGTCCTGAATGTTTCTAGTCACAGAGTACCGGAGGTCAATGATACAAAAGAAAGAAAGAAATGGATATAGATTGAAAAGGAAGAATTTTAAAACTGTCATTATTAACAGGCAATATGATTATTAAGATGTTAGTGTCTCCCAATATGATTTAAAAACACTATCCATTCTCTATCAAAATCCTAACCAGACTTTTAAGTAGTTATTCACAAGTCCGTTCCACAATTTATACAGAAATTCAAAGGACCATGAATAGCCAAAATAATTAAAGGAAGAATAAAATTAGTGGATTTACACAACATGCTTTCATGTTACAGTAATCAAGACTGTATAGTACTGATATAGGGATACAAAAACAACAGAAACAACAGAAACAACAGAAAAGAGAACCAGAAAGAGACTAAAACCTAATTTTATTGTCAGGACAAGCACTGTGGCACTCCAAAGGGAAAGGAAAGTCATTACAACAAATAGTGGTGAACAATTAGAAAAACGTATGGAAAAAACGGAATCTCATACCACACACACACACACACGTGCGCACATATTGAGATAGATCATAATCTTAACTAAAATTAATACTGTAAAGTGTCCAGAAGAAAACAAGATAACAACTTTGGAGTAAACAAAGATTTCTTAGGTCACAAAATTCTTCATACTTCAACAAAATTAAAATTTTCTGCTCATGAAAAGACATATTTAAGAAAATGAGGCCAGGCATGGTAGCTCACGCCTATAATCCCGGCACTTTGGGAGGCCAAGGCGGGCAGATCACTTGAGGTCAGGAGTTCAAGACCAGCTTGGCCAACGTGGTGAAACCCTGTCTCTACCAAAAATATAAAAAATTAGCCAGGTGTGGTGGTACGTGCCTGTAATCCCAGCTACTCAGGAGGCTGAGGCAGGAGAATCACATGAACCCAGGAGGCAGAGGGTGCAGTGAGCCGAGATCATGCCACTGCACTCCAGCCTGGGCGCCAGAGTGAGACTCTGTCTCAAAGAAAAAAAGAAAATGAAAACACAAGCCACAAACTCAGAGAAAATATTTATAATACGAATATGTAATATGTAATTATCTGCCAATGGAATGATACCCAGAATATACAGACAACTATCTCTACCTAGAATATATGCAGTATGTATGCATACATATTCTCCATAGAGATGATACATGTAGAAAATACATGTATAGACAGCATATCCTATGAAAAATATATAGGATATATATAGCATATATAGAAACAAATAAAAAGACAACCCACTTTTTTTTGAGTGAGAGACTAAAACTAGAAGCAAAGAAGATATACGGAAGTCCAATCGCACATGGAATGGTGCTCAACATCACTAGAGGTCAGACAAATGGAAACTAAAACCACGATGACACACTCACTAGAAGGATTAAATCAAGAGATTGGCAACATTAAATGATGAGGAACAATGAGGTACTCCCCCACAGTACCGGTGGGAGTGCCAAATGGTACAGCCACTTTGGAAAACCAATAGTGGTTTGTTATAAAAGTAAACATACCTCTAGACCGTCTCAGCAATTCCACTACTTGTTAATAACCAAGAGAAACAAAAACATACATCCACAAAAAGATGGGTAATATGATCCTTTTAGTAGCTTTATTCATAATAACAAAAAAACTGGAAACAACCCAAATGTCTATCATTGGGAGAATGAACAAATGGGGTACATCCATAAAATGGAATAAATTATTAATACACACAACTACTTGGATGAATCTCAAAAACGTGCCGAGCAACAGAAGCAAGACACAGGAGCGCACACACACTATATGACTACATTTAGGTGATGTTCCAGACTAGGAAATGCCAATCTAGGTATAGAAATAAGAACGCTTTACTCTGAGGAGTCAGGACTGAACAGACAAAAACATTCTGTGTAATGGAACTGTTCCTTATCAACCAAGGGATGGTAACTTGGATGTATACATGTATCAAAACTTACTGTACACTTTACATCTATGCTTATCTCTAAGTGTAAACATTATCACCATTTCACAAGTATTTTAAGTGGTGCAAATATGTTTTTAAAGCTTCTCTCATTTCTTCCTCTACACATGCCAAAACTATGTGAAAATGGCAAGTCTTTTTAAATAACTATGTTAGAAGACAATAGCATAACTAGCACTAATGTGGCCGCATTAACTATAAAAGACTGATATTTAGTCTTTATAATTAGATCTAACTTGTTTCAAATATAATGATTTCTCTATATGAACCAAGGAAGAACATTAGTTAAATAAAAGGAGTCACCTAAAATAGGCTTTTCAATTAAAATTAATTAATTGCTTTTAAGTTCTATAATTAAGATTCTAATATAGACCTTAACAGAGCTCCTAGAATGAAGTCATCTGGAAAACCGCAACACCCTTTCTGCCAGTCTTAAGCAATGCAGACCAAAGCGTGCGGCAACACAGATGGGGCACAACAGGATGCTCGGCAACAATGCAGATATTTAGGAAAGGGAGTCCAGGAACTAGGAAGACACCAAAACAGACGGATATGTGGCACATTAAAAATGGTACTCCTCCCTGAGGACTACACAGTTTATTTAGACTTCTAAAAAAGATGGATCACAAGCCCTCCAAAACCAAATCCTACAAAAGTTGAAATACTAGCAACTTCTACTTCTCAGCACTTAAAACAGTATTATGCGCATGAGTTCCCAATAATTATCTCATTGACTAATATTCTACAATGCAGCCGGGAAAAAAAAAAGCCCCAAATATTTATTGCTAGTGGAAAAGACCAGCACATCACCAGCCTCCAGGAAGGACAACTGAAAGTCCTAAGATCAAGAGCATCACAAAGAACCTGCCATCATCACAAAAGCAAGCAACATAAACAAAGTAAACTAAAACCATCAAGGAAAGGATAAAAAAAGTAAATATACGAATACCTTTTAAAAATATTTTTCAACAGTAAATTTAAAATTAAATTATGAGATACACAGTTTAAAAGTAAAAAGTAAATAATACATCTAGCAGATGGTATAAAAAAGACAAAATACTTAATATGGATGAGCTCTTACTTTCTGCTAGAAAGATTCATACTGAAAACAACCCTTAGGAAGTTTCATGTGAGAGTGTTAACAGCAAAAAAAGAAAAAAAAAAAGAAAAAAAAATCACAAGAGTGAAACAGATGCAACTTCTAGCTCTTTGCCTTCCAAATTCAAGGGTCGGCGTTTAACCACCTTATGTTTCCCTGTCTTTTCATATTTAAAAAGGAAAAAGAATATTTCTCGCTTACAGTAAAAAAATTTTTAAATCAGAAAATATTGGAATACAAAGACTAAATAATTCCACCATTTAGTAGTAATCATTATTACCATTTCCATCTGTAACTACATAGACTTTTTGTTTTTTTTGAGAATTACACACACATATTTAGATTTGCAGTTACAGGGGGAGCTGAAGGGAAGAATTCTATCATCTTGCTCTTTACACTTAATGCATCACGAGCACCTTTCCAAGTCAAACAGAACTAAGACAACACTTGGTATACTGCATTACACTTTAAGGTTAGGCCATGATTTACTCTTTTATACATTGGTTCCATTTATTTTCAATGCTGCAAACAAATACTTGATACATATACCTTTGAACACAGATTAATTCTTTTGGATAAATTTGTTAAAGTGGAATTGTTGAGTCCAAGGACAGGAGCTTTAAAGCTTTTAATACTGTCAAGAACAGTGAAGAGTATAAGATTTTACTCTACTTGCAAGCTAACAAGTTAGTTGGCCACCATTTCACGGAAGCTGTAAGAAAGCTAAGACTCTTCGTCAGAAATAAGGAGACTAGGACAATGTTATCTGTATCACTAGCAGTAGCATTCTGCACCAGCTCCAAGAAGCCCCACTCCCAACTGGGCCGTGTGAAGAGAGCCAGGTGACCCTGCACACATAGGAGGTTGTGTTACAGGAAGGACTTCTCTGCACAGGAAACCCTGAATGTGTCACAATGGGGAGTAAGCAAACCTGTCCTTGACTCCAGAGGAAGACACTGCATCTGTAGCTGTCTGCTACACCAGAATCCTCTAAAAGATATTCCGGAACAAAGGACAGGCAGTGATTTGCTCGCTTTGCTCACAAAACCTGCAGCTAAATGAAGGACCCTCAGAAAACTGTCTCCTGACAATGTTACCAAAACGCTCCCTCAAGTGAATCAGACTACATCTGATCAATAATTCTGAGGTCTGTTAATATTAAAGTAGGTTAAAATTCTCCATTTTCTTTTAATTTTTACTGAATATATTTTCATACACCTATTGTTCATTTGCTTAATCAAGTCCTGAATTACTGTCCCACATTATTTGTCCTTCTTTTTCTCCCTCCTCCCCCACACAAGAGACACTGAAAATCAAAGAAAAAAAAAATTTTCTTTTTTTTTTTTTGGACAGAGGGTCTCACTCTGTCACCCAAACTGGAGGGCAGTGGCGCAATCACAGCTCACTGCAACCTCCACCTCCTGGGCTCAAGTGATCCTCCAACCTCAGCCTCCTGAGTAGCTGGGACCACAGGTGTGTGCCACCACACCTAGCTAATTTTTTGTATTTTTGGTAGAGATGGGGCTTTGCCATGTTGCCCATGTTGGTCTCCTGAGCTCAAGTGACCCGTCCACCTAGGCCTCCCAAAGTGCTGGGATTACAGGCATAAGACACAGCACCCAGCCAGGTCACCATTTTTTATAGTAGCTCTCTTTTGTTTTAATGTATTAATTAGGACTGTCCAGGAACTGAAGTTAAAAACGTCTAGAACTAGAAGGCACTTCCAGAAGGCACCCAGGCAATGATAATACTTGTTAACATTCTTTAACTGCCTTGCAATAAAAGTTTACGTAACCATCATTTGAAAACTGAAATCTACAAAACCTTTCCCTATTTTAAGATATGCTACAAATATTATAGAGTATCAGGGAAGAATAAAGAAAATATTGTTATCTAAAAACTAAAATAAATTACAAGGAAAAACAAACAATAAAATTAGTTTTCCAACTTCAAAATACCACAAACATCCAAGCTAAATGAGGAAGTTCGAACCCATCGCAAAGAAGCTAAAAACCTTGAAAAAAGATTAGACGAATGGCTAACTAGAATAACCAGTGTAGAGAAGTCCTTAAATGACCTGATGGAGCTGAAAACCATGGCACGAGAACTACGTGATGACTGCACAAGCTTCAGTAGCCGATTCGATCAACTGGAAGAAAGGGTATCAGTGACTGGAGATCAAATGAATGAAATGAAGCCAGAAGAGAAGTTTAGAGAAAAAAGAGTAAAAAGAAACGAACAAAGCCTCCAAGAAATATGGGACTATGTGAAAAGACCAAATCTACGTCTGATTGGTGTACCTGAAAGTGACTGGGAGAATGGAACCAAGTTGGAAAACACTCTGCAGGGTATTATCCAGGAGAGCTTCCCCAATCTAGCAAGGCAGGCCAACATTCACATTCAGGAAATACAGAGAATGCCACAAAGATACACCTCGAGAAGAGCCACTCCAAGACACATAATTGTCAGATTCACCAAAGTTGAAATGAAGGAAAAAATATTAAGGGTAGCCAGAGAGAAAGGTCGGGTTACCCACAAAGGGAAGTCCATCAGACTAACAGCGGATATCTCAGCAGAAACTCTACAAGCCAGAAGAGAGTGGGGTCCAATATTCAACATTCTTAAAAAAAAGAATTTTCAACTCAGAATTTCATATCCAGCCAAACTAAGCTTCATAAGTGAAGGAGAAATAAAATTCTTTACAGACAAGCAAATGCTCAGAGATTTTGTCACCACCAGGCCTGCCCTACAAGAGTTCCTGAAGAAAGCAGTAAACGTGGAAAGGAACAACCGGTACCAGCCACTGCAAAAACATGCCAAATTGTAAAGACCATCGATACTAGGAAGAAACTGCATCAAATAACGAGCAAAATAACCAGCTAACATCATAATGACAGGGTCAAATTCACACATAACAATATTAACCTTAAATGTAAATGGGCTAAATGCTCCAATTAAAAGACACAGACTGGCGAACGGGGTAGAGTCAAGACCCCTCACTGTGCTATATTCAGGAAACCCATCTCACGTGCAGAGACACATATAGGCTCAAAATAAAGGGATGGAGGAAGATCCACCAAGCAAATGCAAAACAAAAAAGGCAGGGGATACAATCCTACTCTCTGATAAAACAGATTTTAAACCAAAAAAGATCAAAAGAGACAAAGAAGGGCATTACATAATGGTAAAGGGATCAATTCAACAAGAAGAGCTAACTATCCTACACATATGTGCACCCAATACAGGAGCACCCAGATTCATAAAGCAAGTCCTGAGAGACCTACAAAGAGACTTAGACTCCCACACAATAATAACGGGAGACTTTAACACCCCACTGTCAACATCAGACAGATCAACGAGACAGAAAGTTAACAAGGATATCCAGGAATTGAACTCAGCTCTGCACCAAGCGGACCTAATAGACATCTACAGAAGTCTCCACCCTAAATCAGCAGAACATACATTCTTCTCAGCACATCACACTTATTCCAAAATTGACCACACAGTTGGAAGTAAAGCACTCCTCAGCAAATGTAAAAGAACAGAAATTGTAACAAACTGTCTCTCAGACCACAGTGCAATCAAACTAGAACTTAGGATTAAGAAACTCACTCAAAACCGCTCAACTACATGGAAACTGAACAACCTGCTCCTGACTGACTACTGGGTACATAACAAAATGAAGGCAGAAATAAAGATGTTCTTTGAAACCTATGAGAACAAAGACACAACATACCAGAATCTCTGGGACACATTTAAAGCAGTGTGTAGAGGGAAATTTATAGCATTAAATGCCCACAAGAGAATGCAGGAAAGATCTAAAATTGACACCCTAATATCACAATTAAAAGAACTTGAGAAGCAAGAGCAAACACATTCAAAAGCTGGCAGAAGGCAAGAAATAACTAAGATCAGAGCAGAACTGAAGGAGATAGAGATACAAAAAACCCTTCAAAAAATCAATGAATCCAGGAGCTGGTTTTTTGAAAAGATCAACAAAATTGATAGACTGCTAGCAACACTAATAAAGAAGAAAAGAGAGAAGAATCAAATAGACGCAATAAAAAATGATAAAGCGGATATCACCACCGATCCCACAGAAATACAAACTACCATCAGAGAATACTATAAACACCTCTACGCAAATAAACTAGAAAATCTAGAAGAAATGGATAAATTCCTGGACACATACACACTCCCAAGACTAAACCAGGAAGAAGTTGAATCCCTGAATAGACCAATAACGGGCTCTGAAATTGAGGCAATAATTAATAGCTTACCAACCAAAAAAAGTCCAGGACCAGATGGATTCACAGCCGAATTCTACCAGAGGTACAAGGAGGAGCTGGTACCATTACTTCCGAAACTATTCCAATCAATAGAAAAAGAGGGAATCCTCCCTAACTCATTTTATGAGGCCAGCATCATCCTGATACCAAAGCCTGGCAGAGACACAACAAAAAAGAATTTTAGACCAATATCCCTGATGAACATTGATGCAAAAATCCTCAATAAAATACTGGCAAACCGAATCCAGCAGCACATCAAAAAGCTTATCCGCCATGATCAAGTGGGCTTCATCTCTGGGATGCAAGGCTGATTCAACATACGCAAATTAATAAACATAATCCAGCATATAAACAGAACCAAAGACAAAAACCACGATTATCTCAACAGATGCAGAAAAAGCCTTCAACAAAATTTAACAGCCCTTCATGCTAAAAACTCTCAATAAATTAGGTATTGATGGGACGTATCTCAAAATAATAAGAGCTATTTATGACAAACCCACAGCCAATATCATACTGAATGGGCAAAAACTGGAAGCATTCCCTTTGAAAACTGCCACAAGACAGGGATGCCCTCTCTCACCACTCCTATTCAACACAGTGTTTGAGATTCTGGCCAGGGCAATCAGGCAGGAGAAAGAAATAAAGGATATTCAATTAGGAAAAGAGGAAGTCAAATTGTCCCTGTTTGCAGATGATATGACTGTGTATTTAGAAAACCCCATCGTCTCAGCCCAAAATCTCCTTAAGCTGATAAGCAACTTCAGCAAAGTCTTAGGATACAAAATCAATGTGCAAAAATCACGAGCATTCTTATACACCAATAACAGACAAACAGAGGGCCAAATCATGAGTGAACTCCCATTCACAATTGCTTCAAAGAGAATAAAATACCTAGGAATCCAACTTACAAGGGATGTGAAGGATCTCTTCAAGGAGAACTACAAACCACTGCTCAATGAAATAAAAGAGGACACACGCAAATGGAAGAACATTCCATGCTCATGGATAGGAAGAATTAATATCGTGAAAATGGCCATACTGTCCAAGGTAATTTATAGATTCAATGCCATCCCCATCAAGCTGCCAATGACTTTCTTCACAGAACTGGAAAAAACTACTTTCAAGTTCATATGGAACCAAAAAGGGTCCCACATTGCCAAGACAATCCTAAGCTAAAAGAACAAATCTGGAGGCATCATACTACCTGACTTCAAACTATACTACAAGGCTATAGTAACCAAAACAGCATGGTACTGGTACCAAAACAGAGATACCGACAAATGGAACAGAACAGAGCCCTCAAATTAATACCACACATCTACAACCATCTGATCTTTGACAAACCTGACAAAAACAAGAAATGGGGAAAGGATCCCCTATTTAATAAATGGTGCTGGGAAAACTGGCTAGCCATATGTAGAAAGCTGAAACTGGATCCCTTCCTTACACCTTATACGAAAATTAATTCAAGATGGATTAAAGACTTACATGTTAGACCTAAAACCATAAAAACCCTAGAAGAAAACCTAGGCAATACCATTCAGGACATAGGCATGGGCAAGGACTTCATGTCTAAAACACCAAAAGCAATGGCAACAAAAGCCAAAATTGACAAATGGGATCTAATTAAAGTAAAGAGCTTCTGCACAGCAAAGGAAACTACCATCAGAGTGAACAGGCAACCTACAGAATGGGAGAAAATTTTTGCAATCTACTCATCTGACAAAGGGCTAATATCCAGAATGTACAATGAACTCAAACAAATTCACAAGCAAAAAACAACCCCATCAAAAAGTGGGTGAAGGATATGAACAAACACTTCTCAAAAGAAGACATTTATGCAGCCAACAGACACATGAAAAAATGCTCATTATCACTGGCCATCAGAGAAATGCAAATCAAAACCACAATGAGATACCATCTCACGCCAGTTAGAATGGTGATCATTAAAAAGTCAAGAAACAACAGGTGCTGGAGAGGATGTGGACAAATAGGAATACTTTTACACTGTTGGTGGGACTGTAAACTAGTTCAACCATTGTGGAAGACAGTGTGGCAACTCCTCAAGGATCTAGAACCAGAAATACCATTTGACCCAGCCATCCCATTACTGGGTATATACCCAAAGGATTATAAATCATGCTGCTATAAAGACACATGCACATGTATGTTTACTGAGGAACTATTCACAATAGCAAAGACTTGGTACCAACCCAAATGTCCATCAATGATAGACTGGATTAAGAAAATGTGGCACATATACACCATGGAATACTATGCAGCCATAAAAAAGGATGAGTTCATGTCTTTTGCAGGGACATGGATGAAGCTGGAAACCATCATTCTCAGCAAACTATCTCAAGGACAAAAAACCAAACACTGCATGTTCTCACTCATAGGTGGGAACTGAACAATGAGAACACTTGGACACAGGAAGGGGAATATCACACACCAGGGCCTGTCATGGGGTGGGGGGAGCGGGGAGGGACAGCATTAGGAGATATACCTAATGTAAACGACGAGTTAATGGGTGCAGCACACCAACATGGTGCATGTATACATATGTAACAAACCCGCACGTTATGCACATGTACCCTAGAACTTAAAATATAATTTAAAAAAAAAAAGAAAAAAAATACCACGAACAAAAAGGACATGGAATTAACAGGCACCGAATTCCTTGGTTTCTCTCTCAACTATTTACCACCTGGAATGATCTCCACGCAGTCTTCTGTCTACTTCTCTCTCCTTTACTGGCTACTTAGATTTTTCTCAGATGTCTTCCGCCTAAATTACCCCTTTTCAGGTTTAACCTAGACTGGTGCTAGCTTTGTAATAAAGAGTGCTACAGAATACAGTGATGAACAAGACACACCTAACCTCTACTCTCTGCACACTTTTAATATCTTCTTTAGCTTTGTCTTAGTTCTTGGACATTCTTCTACAACTGGAGAATCTGGGTAAGAGTTCTTTGTATTATTCTGTCCTTTCTCTAAGTTTCAAATTATTTCAAATAGCGAGCGAGAAAGAAAGAGAGAAGAAAGCACACACACACAAAATCAAATTTAGTTTGGTGGAGGGGGAGAAAGGGTATGTGCAAGAAGTACTTCTGTTTTGTAATGTGCACAGCATACACATTCATAGACTGTCATAGTATTATTCATACTGGGGGGGAAAAGGGTAAAGTAAATGTTTTCTGGACTGAGTGTCTAAATCCTTGAAATAACACCTAAAGTAAATGGCCTAAGCCAGTAAATATCAGTTTTCATGGCCTCCTGACAAAAGATGAAAACTGTATTAAGAAAAACTCTTGTGAAGTTCTCAGGCTGAAGAATGATTTGTGGCTTGCATGTCTGGCCCACAGCAGCTAGTTCTGGGGTAAGAGAACAGCAACTATTTAACTCTATGCCTCACCCCACCTTTCTCAGTACAAATGCAATCTATCTTTCAAGACCTACCTCAGAGTTCAGAGGTTCACCTCCTTCCATAAAGCCTCGTCGACCACGAACCTCTCTCCCCACGGGGTTTCCTCGGTGAGCTCCTAGCACTGTCTCTGAGCCTCTCTTGGGAGGTTTTACTTTTGTTTTCCCATCACAGGTATTTACAGGTCTTTTTTCTCTCCTATATTAGACTCCAATTTCCTTGAAAGCAGGATTCAAGCTTCATCATCCTTACTTCTTCAACACTAAAAATGCACCTAATTACAGAAACCTTGCAGTATTTGTTGAATGGTCCAAATTAACTGTTACTAATTAAAAAGAATTACCACACTGCTTTCAAAGCACTAACATATACGTCACATTTCTGAACTATTTCCACCCACATCCCCACAAAACATTTACAACACTCTAACACTTAAACGGCACACGCTATGCGGAAATCACAGCACACCAGAACTCACTTCCCAAGGAGCCTAGAAAGTTCAAGTTTTTCACTATACACTCACAGTTCAAAGATACGTATCGACTTTCGCTAATGCTAAAAAGATGCTCATTTTAAGTCTGGGGGAGGGAAACAGCAAACTTTTTACTCTTTTTAAAAGATGAACAAATACCTCTTCAGTTGCAGGAGCAACCTGGGCATCAGTAATCTCATCTAATTCATCTTCAGCCACACAGTCTTCCTGCTCTTGCAGCCCTTGTTGCCCACCATAAGCCTGCAAGTATTCTTCATCCTAACAGCCATTAAAGAGAAAACAAGTTTTTCTCATACAGCTTTGGGGTGGTTTTTTTACGTACTTTTCGTCTTTATGATTCATGCTTAATAATTGTAGAAAGTTTTACTATGGTGATTAGCTGACTGAGCACAAAGCACCAGGCCCAGAAACAGAGGGGAACCTCCTCTGCGTGTTAATGCAAACAAAGCATATCATGCTGGCCCAGCCACCAGAGCAAGTGCCGTGGGCTCTGCTTCAAACTCCAAGTGCCCTGTCACACAGCTCCTCTGCAAATCAACAGCACGGAAGAGCCACCTTCAAAAGACATGGTTTATGTGCTCTCAAAAAGGAGCTCAGCAGCAGAAGGGGGCTGAAATCATGCCCAACTCTATTTTTGTGGCAATGTAAGACAACAAAAGTGTCAGCAATTAAACAGAGGAGCTTTTTAAAAATCGTGATTAGTATGTTTCTCCATTAGGCCCCCTTCTCAAATGAGAGAAAGATTCCAGGTTTTGTATGAAACTTAAGGGGCGTATTAGCAAGCAAGAATCTCTTCTGGGTAGATGGAAGAAAGCAGGCAAGCTGGCTGGAGACGACCGCAACTGCAGAGAAGAAAAAAGGGCTTCTGGTATTGCTAACAAGTGACAACGTCTGATCCTACTCAGCGGAGGTAGACTTCCCAGGGTCCCAGCCTACTTGCTAAAAAATGAACAGTAAAATGGTTCCAAAGCAGACAACCTCAAAGAGTGAACAACCTACAGAAATTTAACAACCTACTGTATGGTACATGACAGTCTCATCTAGAACCCCCAAATAAAGCAGCTGTATTTAAGGTGACAAACCACCTTAGTTCCCACAATTCTCTCAAGACAATCTGAACACAACACATTTTATTTTCCAGAAAAAACTGTTAGCGTCCTATCAGAATAACAATTATCACTACCCATGAATCACGGGCAGCAGGACATTCAGATTTCAAATAAAGTCAAATAAATGATGCTAATCCAAATCTTCAGCCAGTGTACAATGCAGTACAGTCCACACCCCTGGATTCTCGCTGGGAAACAAACATCTGCTACCCATGACATAAAATGTCAACCTGAAATTGTTTTTACAGAACAATAAAATCTTAATCTATGTTAACTTTAAAGGCCTTAAATAAACTGATTGCACTTAAAGGTAAAAGTCACTCAACCATTTTCTAATATTTTGTCGACTAAACCAATATACACTCCTTACTAATATAATGAGCACACATTTTCAAATGAAATCACAATTCACTCTCAAGAACAGCACCAGCAACATTCACAGGAAAGGACAGCAGAGCTGTGCGTCCAGCTTTATTGATGTCTCTGGACCTCGCTTTCTTCATAGGGAACAGCAAACCCTCCCACTGTACATTCTGGGGTTTCATGATTCTACTCCCTGTTATGCACCAAAGCCCCTCCATGTGGCTTTACAGGTAGGTTCCAACAGATCCACATTTCAGAGTTCAAGTCTTAGAGTGGGGGTTAACAACCCAAGGGAGAACAAAAATCACAGTTATACAAGTCATTTAATAAACTAAAATGCCATTGGGGTACACAGAGACACAATCTGCTCATGTGTTCATTAGTCTAATGGTGAATAAATCATCTGGGCTTCAGTGACAGCCTCCGAAGACAGAGAGAGGCTCCCATTGCCGAGCAAGATAAGAGTACCTCACAATTTAATTCTCTGCGTATCTCCTCCTGTCCAAGGAAGCGGCCATTTCAGATCATTCAGATGTTACCATTGTGATCATCATAAAGCAAGAAAAGAATGACCACGGCTAGAACACATGTATCAAGATGAACTGACATTGCTCACAGAAAGACATTGAACTACTACTGCTCAACTTTAAACTTTACAACTCTCTGTGAAAACATCAGAACACTTCCAGAATTTCTAAGTTTTTTTTTTTTACTTCAAGACTTTAATTCTGAAAAAAAAATTCATTTTAATGTGGAAGAGTACCGTGAGTATTATTAAATTGCCACATTTTCTTCAACACCTGAATCTTAGACCACAAGATGTTGGATAATTAAGTTGGATTTTATTACAACTGGGGCCTATGTGTAATCTCAAGTTTGACAATGGAATACCAGAGAGGGAAATTCCTCACTTGGAAATTCTCTTTACAACAAACTCTGCAAGAACACCAAAGTGAAAGAGACCTCCCGTGTGGCTGTGCACATGCATTCTATCAGGCACCTTCCACGCTATGATCTGTGCCACCTAGTACTAAGTTCACAGGCAGGGCCAATGTTCATGACACGGTTTAGCAATATTTGTGTCCGCAGTGCTTAGACATCAGTAAAGACTTGTTGGACTGCTGAACTTACAGGAGGAAAGAACCCAGGACGATTAGCCAATCATCTTACTTTACTGATGAGTAACAGAAATAATAAAATACTCTAACTAGGCAATAACTAGGCACAATTCTAAAAGATCTTGGTTTAATTTTCAAAAAGCATTTTAAATTACAGTGTCTAACTTTAAGAGCATACAAACACACCAGTAAAGCAGAAGGCACGTGCCTACATTAGCGAAGGATTACTAGAACAAATTATTACAGGGTTATGGAAATAACAAGTTCCCCATGATGCCTTTTACATGATTCTATTTACCAAAACTACAAACATCTCTCATTACTGTATCTACCAAAGAGCAAATATTAACCAAAAAAAATTAAATCTTAAAACTATTGAGGGCCAGGCACCGAGGCTCATGCCTGTAATCCCAGCACTTTGGGAGGACGAGGCGGGCGGATAACTTGAGGTCAAGAGTTCGAGATCAGCTTGGGCAACATGGGGAAACCCCATCTCTACAAAAAATACAAAAATCAGCCAGGCGTGATGGTGGGCGCCTGTAATCTCAGCTACTCAGGAGGCTGAGGCAGGAGAATTGTTTGAACCCAGAAGGTGGAGGTTGCAGTGAGTGGAGATCGCACCACTGCACTCCAGCCTGGGCGACAAACCAAGAGTCCGTCTAGAAAAAAAAAAAAACTACTGAGACACCTAAATACAATCATGACTGGAACTAAATATTCAAAGGTTCCACATAAACAATTAATCCTTTTCAAAATTACTCATACACATGACCACAATTCAGCAACTTCTAAACTATTTTTTTGAAACAAAAGCTTCCTCCGAATGAAGATGTAAATACAGAAAAGCAAAGCTACTCCCATTGCAAATGGGCTCTTTAAGGCCCCAATTTTGCATACTTCTGTCACCATCCCAACAGCCCCATTCACTCGGCCCCCATAGTGTTCCCAAAAACCCTAAGATTCTACTACAGCTACTGAGATCACATCCTTCCCTCATAAATTTCGTTACATGCTTATTTTAAAAAACAAATCTCTTTTGATAATGAGTCATTTAAAGGTGAGAATCTTACACTAGTACATTTTTTCTTTCTTGTTGGTTCAACTTTGAAAAAAAAAAACTACCTACCAAAATCATCTTTCTGAAATAAAAAATCAGCACAATCTTGCTTCCTGATTATAGATAACGAATTATATGTGACATTTCCTAAACTAACCTCCAATCTCTTTATTCAGGTTTAGACAGTTCTCATCTACAAAAAGGATGAATGAACAGGACATCAATCACTCTGGAATATTAGCACCTTAAAGATGTCTTTAGCAGGTCAATAATCTTTTCGCCTTAGAAGGACTTTATCAGATCTTGTCTAAAGCCAGGATAAAAGCTCTGCATTAAGTACTCCTAACAATTGACAGTGTATCCCCACCACACAAAGCTGTTTTCTTCCTTAGGGTACAATCCTCAAGGTCACGATTCTTTGCAGCCTTCCAGAATGACAAAGGAGCATTACCTCTGGTCAAACAAGCTGTCAACACAAACTTTGTCATAGCTCAGATAAAGAAACTGGCAGAGAGTGATAATAAGGTCTAATTTCCCCTCCCTCCCAGGGGAGGTAAATAGATTTCAAATCAGTCTAGAAGCCTATGCATGGGAAGCCAGGTTATCTTTGGCCATACAAAGGAGAAAAGACTCACTGTAAATTCATCTAAAGGTTCATTGATCTCGATGTCTAACACTTCATCAGTGTAAAGCTGCTCCTCCTCTGGCTCTTCCACATATTCTATTTGGTCTTCTGTCAACTCAGCTTCGTGGCCTTCATACTGTCCTTCTTCTGGGTACTCTTGAGTATACAATTCTGATCCATCAGATTTGTGATAAACCAGTTCATCCTCTCCTTGTTCTTGTTCATACTCAGATTCCTGTTCTCCAGATTGGTCGTTAGTGTTGTCAGAGAGTTCAAATGATGTAACCATGCCAGATGTAGCATTCAGACTAATTGTAACACCCTGAGAACTAGAGAGGACGAAAATAAAAAAAAAAAGCACCCAATGAAGAGAGGAGCTCAAACTAAATCATTATATAAATAGCTGTTACAAAGATTTAAACCATGACTGATAAAAAGTTATTCCAGTTACTGACAAATGCACATTAACTCCAACAGTACTCAAAATGCTATACAGAGCCAGTGCCCTAAACCCTTAATGCGTACAGCAGAGCTAACTGTGCTATATGGAGCCGGCCACAGACTGGCAATGCATATAGCCCCTCTACTTATCACCAGCTGCAGGTTATTTGACCAAATGAATTAAATCAACCACAGATGAAACACATCTGAGTGGCAAAAGTCCAAGACTGAAATCAAATAGCCTATATTTCATTCTAATTTACAAAATGAAATAGACAGAAACTGCTAAGAGTTCAAAGTAAAAACAGGAGTATTATTCTATAAGGAGAAAATCAGAATCGGAATTTTAAGAACAATTTTTTTCTTACATCTGTGATAGAAATTATAAACTCCTGTTTAAGAAAATCAAAATATTAAAAATTTGTGTGAAAATACATTTCAGTGTTCAAATAAATAAATTTATATTAGTCACAAATATCTTTAAAAATTGTTCATAATTTCTAAGTAAAATAACAAAGGTTTTGAAACTGCAAAAAAAACATGTTCCACCTATTAAATCACAACAGTTAAATACCAAACAATAAGGTGCAAGATAACATTTCCCATGTAAGATCGTGCAAATCTGTGTTCACACATAGCACTCAATCCTAACAAAAAATTAATACACCTCTTAGACTTCAAGATACTGTGTCTAAAAAACTTCAATGATGTATTTCTAAAAGACAATCTAACTCAAAAGATTAAAATATAACAGTGATGTCAAAGAATGGAATTGGGAAATTTATCTGACTGGTAGAATAATTTAAAACTTATTTTTACCTGTAAAAATTACTTTATGTTAGAAAATCTGTTACAAATCCATGGCTCAATAATAAATGGCATATATTTGTTAATTACATTTATAACAAGAGCTTGTCTACATTTTCCCGATGTTTCCTCATAAAATAAAAACTATTATTCCACCTACCAGTGTGTCTCTCCTCTTTTAATATAGCTTACTATATGTCAACAGAAAGACATTCATCGTATCAGTCAACTAGAGTCTAAAGTAGCACCTCCCAAAGTGCCCAAAATGGTAATTCAGTAAATGATCTAAATCAACTGGCTAAAATGAAGACAAATGCAGCAGTATCGAACTGCAATGGTGTTGAGAGTCCCAAGCCACTGCCCTCCATCCGAGTAGAGGAATTCTTTAGAAAAGCAGCATATATCCATACTAAATCTTCATAACCTGCACTGAACAGAACTCACAGGGATCATTAAATGAAAGACCTACTGATTTTTTGTTTTTTGTTTTTTTTTTTTTAAGACGGCGTTTCACTCTGTCTCCCAGGCTGGAGTGCAGTGGCACAATCTCGGCTCACTGCAACCTCCACCTCTGTGGATCAAGCAATTCTCCTGCTTCAGCCCTCCAAGTAGCTGGGACTATAGGCGCGGGCCACTACGCCTGGCTAATTTTTGTATTTTTAGTAGAGACAGGGTTTCACCATGTTAACCAGGCTGGTCTCAAACTCCTGACCTCAAGTGATCCACCTGCCTCAGCCTCCCAAAGTGCTGGGTTTATAGGCACGAGCTACAACGCCTGGCCAAGAACTGCTTATTTTAAACAGCTGCTCTGTTTACAGAACATCCATATGGCTTCTACAGTTATTACTAGTATTCCATTTAGAATGTAATCATGTGTTAAAGATATAAGGCTACATTATTCAATTACATTCCATTATAATTATAAATAACAGTTCCTATCAATTTAGTTAAATAAAGAACATTTATAATGAGGTAATATTGAGTACCTGAAATTTTCTTCATCTTCATTATCACTCTGCAAAAGATCATCATTTAGCTCTTCATCTGACAAATCCGACTGATTCTAATTAAAATAAGAAATATAATTAATGTGTGTCACTTCCATAAAAAGACTTGTTAAAAAGCACAAAATTACACTGACTGAATTGTTCCTAGCCTTATATTAAAACGTTTGCCACCCGGAAGGCTTTCTGGTCACCAGTGGATAATCAAGAAATCCCACACAAGGCATGTGGATCCCTCCTGGGCTCAGCTTCAGGTGCCCAGGCAAGTTAAATGTAAAAACACCAAGTGTAACGATCACATTTATTCTCACACAAAAGAGAAAAGGTAAGAAGTCCATTGGTGGAAGCTTACGAACAAATAATATTTCCTTATAATACACAAAAAAAGAAAGATATCCTTAAGGTACTACTAAATTTAACATGCTAATATCCAAAACCTAAAGATTTTTTAAACAACACAAAAAGTGTAATTTTAGAAATAAGATTTAAATAACTGAATCATTAAATTGAAATGAGACTATAAAACTTTGGTTTTTCCAGTACAGATCACGTATGAAAATAAATGTTAGCAGCTCAGTTCCCCACTCCTGTTCTTGATGGTACTCCTACCTATAAGGAGAGAGAGCCTAGCTATTCTGTCAAGAGTTCCAGGTTTTCTTAGGTTATATATATTTGAGCATCTTAGATTAGGTTGGGGGGGTGTTATTCACACTGTCTCACTACTTATTCACACTACTTCACACGTTCCTCCCTTTTTAAAATTACTTATATGTATAAATGGTATATGTAAATTACTACTCCCTTCACGAAAGCCAGTCAAAGCCACACACACACTGTCATTCACACATATTCATTCTTAAAAAGTAAAGACAGAAAAATCAACTTGCTTTTCTTCTTAAAGGTGAACAAACAAGCAGTCTTTTTCTGGTAGTTACACCTTATAAAAACTTACCTGTATACTTTATTACAGTATTTCTGATAGCCAAAAATAATCTTATTAGCACTTCTTAGTCGCACAGGACTCAACCTAATCACTGACACCACAATAAGATAAAAATAAAATAACACAGGATACATACTCAGTTTATTTGCAGAAGGGAGAACAGATATGTGTGATAACAAAACGGACTGCTTAACTGACAGAAAATGAAGTTTCTGGCTGGGCGCAGTGGCTCATGCCTGTAATCCCAACACTTTGGGAGGCCAAGGCAGATGGATCACTTGAGGTCAGGAGTTCAAGACCAACCTGGCCAACATGGTGAAACCCTGACTCTACTAAAAGTACAAAAAATTAGCCAGGCGTGGTGAGGGGCGCCTGTAGTCCCAGCTACTCGGGAGGCTGAGGCAGGAGAATTGCTTGAAATCGGAAAGTGGAGGTTGCAGTGAGCCAATGCACTCCAGCCTGGGAAACAAGAACGAAACTCCATCTCAAAAAAAAAAAAAAAGAAAAAAAGAAAATGAAGTTTCCGTTAGGTGACCATATAATCTGTCATCCACACAGGGCCAGTTCTGAGACTGAAAGGAAATGCCATTATGAAAGTGAGAGCTATGAGCCAGGCCTACCACAGACAAACCTCAGTTTGGCTGTCCAACTCAGTAAATAAAACTTCAGGAAAGCTTTAAAAATTAATAATTCAATGAGAGACAAATTTCATTCGAGAGGCTGTTTCTCTGAGCTTTTTAGTTAAACTCTTAGTATTTCTCAAAAATCAATGAGCCAAGAAGGCATCAAGCAAATAGAAAGGGAATGTGTACTGTGGTGGGTGAGCCCTCGTGGGAGTCAAATCTCCTTTGAGGATTATTCAACTTTCCTCTCTGGCTTTTAAACCTACTAACAGACACAGGAGGTGATAAGCACAATATCCACTTCACTGAGAAAGCTGGAATGGAGAGCTAGGCTACATCCTTGAGGCCAAAGCTGATTTCAACACATCCTAAAGAACTGGAGCGAACAGTTTTCTCGGGCTCCAGGGGGTTCTGCTCAGGATGGTCTGCAGGAAATCAGGGCCACAGATCCCAAGAGATGAAGATAAAGTGGCCACAGATGCTAGTGAAATCCTTTCTCTCAATCTTTCCAAACAGGTCATTTCTCCCATGGGGAGAGAAACAAGTATGAAAGAAAAAGAATGGTTCTCTCCAATACTCCCAAGAACATAAAACCTTCATGGAATAGCCAGAGTTTAAAAATGGGAAGAAAATGGTTCCCAAAACATTCTCCAACACAGGCATCTATGAAACAGAGCCACCTCAATGTAACAGGAGAATGTCTGTCCAACACGAGTTGATGAAGTTAAATACAAAAGCTGAAGAAGGAACTGCAAGCTGGCAGCCAACTTCCACCTCACTCTTACCCACTTCCTAAAAGCTCTAGCCTGGTCACGTCAGCCTGCTTTAACCTCAGTTTGAAACCTTAATTATTTAAAACTGAGCACTAACAACCTTCTTGACACGAATGAACTTGTCCCTGACAGTCTGACCCGTGTGCCTTTCTCAGTACTATGCGCCTCCCTCGGGCTATCTGCGCCTTAGGAGTCTCTCCAAGCAAAGGCTCATCATTGTGCATTTCGTGGGGACCCCAGTGGGAGAAAAAAATTGTTCAGGTAGCCAGTGTACTCATCATGTGAACTCCATTCATAGACCCTGTAGTAATTAACTCGCTAATAAACACGTGAAAAAAAATTCCATTCTCACTAGAAATCAAATAAATAGAAATTAAACCAAGCAGAAATCATTTTTCATCTATCACACTGACAAAGATTCTTTTTAAAAAGTAGTATCGAACAGGGAATGGAAAATTGAGGGCAATGCTTATTCCCTGCTGCTAGGAACATAAGTGGATCAAACATTTCTGGAAGGTAAATTGGCAATACAAGACAAGAACCATTAAATGTTTCCACCCTCAGGCCAGAATTCCTCTTTACAGAAACTTCCTAAGAAAAAAATCCCAAAAGCATAGTAAGATTTGTCCATTAAAATATCATCATAATGCTTGAGATTTACATCAAAATGATTCAGGAGGTAGGGAGTGAGTGCGTAAACAGGAAGCAAAACAGCCTTTAACTAAAATTGCTGAGGCTGGACGACGGACACCTGAGAGTAAACGATACTGCCCTCTCCTCTTTTGTGTATGCTTGAGATCTTCCACAAAAAGGGTTTAAAAAAAAGTCATAAGCAATGAGCTGGAAACAACCTCAATGTACACAGGAGTGACTAGGGACACTGTAGCATATACAAACATTCAATGTTATGTTGCCATTATAAAATATTTTAAAATAACCCTAATGACAAGGGAGAAATGCCAATGATACAATGTTAAATTAAAAAAAAAGTAACGTTTTATATCTATAATTCTTTTTTTTTTTTTTTTTTTTTTGAGACGGAGTCTCACTCCGTCTCCCAGGCTAGAGTACAGTGGCGTGATCTCGGTTCACTGCAACCTCCGCCTCCCAGGTTCAAGTAAACCTCCCGAGTAACTGGGATTTCAGGTTCATGTCACCATGCCCGGCTAATTTTTGTATTTTTAGCAGAGACGGGGTTTCACCATGTTGGCCAGGCTGGTCTCCAACTCCTGACCTCAAGTGGTCCACCTGCCTCAGCTTCCCAAAGTGCTGGGATTATAGGCGTGAGCCACCATGCCCAGCCTATATTTTGGTCATATTTAAAAACACATGGGAAAAGAATAAAAGACAGATGGCAAAATGTTAGTCACGACTGTTTACATCTTTTTAAGGCTTTCTTTTTTTATATATTTTCAATGCCTTGATTCCTATAAGGTACAATGCATTTATTTTATGTTAGGAAAGAACAGAGAAGAGGAAATGAGAGACACATCTCCTGTTCCAAAGTAAACACACTTCCAAAATGTCCAAAGCAGATACAGCCCCTCCACTGAGGCGTCGGAATGCACTGTCACTGGGCATGCTCCGGTTCCAGCCCACATGAGCAACTTACAACAATCAGCTCAACTGAGAAAAGTAAGATGACTTCCCCCAGAACAGTCAGCATTACTGTCCAAACCAAATAGTATTTCTCCATCTTTATTGATAACAGTCCTGACCCCAAAGCTTTTATGAGAGGAGGTCACATGTAAATCAAAAGGGAATTATCACAGCTTTCTGGAAAGAAACACAGGGCAAACCATGACATGAGGCTTGCCTAGAGATAGAAATCCAACCTCATGGCAAAGTATTTTACTACATTTAAACCTTTTAATATCTAACTTATTCTCCATTAAAGCATCTTAAATACGAAGAAAAAAGTAGCCACTTTAGGTACAAAAATACAAGTGAGAGCACCTAGAAGAGTATGCAAAATAATTCCCCAATAGAGTATAAAAACAGGAGCCTTTTCCCCCAGTGACCATGACAAAGAAGGACTGAACATCCCACTCACACTCCAGACGTCACACTACAAGATGGACCAACTACGAGGCTCTCTCACTGGGCTTTCATGTTCAACTTATACGGATGTATTTCAGTTTACTCCTATTAAATCAGGTGGATTTACAACTAACTAACCACACTAACTCTTAAGTGTTAGAAGTGATGACAGAGCCATCTAAAGGAGGGAAAGCAGGGTTAGGCCAAAGCCAGGCGACCTGCAGGCTAATGATGCAGTAATCACTTCTAGAAGCTTGCAGTGAGCCAAGATGGTGCCACTGTACTCCAGCCTGGGCAAGAGTAAGACTGTGTCTCAAAAAAAAAAAAAAAAAAAAAAAAAAAAAAAACTAAGCCTAAACTATCTTGATAATGAGAACAGAAAGTGTTTTTAAACTGTTAATAAAATTTAAAAAATGTAGTATTTCACTTTCTCGCTATACATTCTACTTTTATGTGTTTTATAATGTCCGAAATATACTGGTAGGGGTGTGTGTGTGTGTGTGTGTGTGTGTGTGTGTGCGCGCATGCGCGCGTATATACACGTGTGTATGTATATATGTGTGTGTATATATATACACGTGTGTATGTATATATGTGTGTATATATATACACGTGTGTATGTATATGTGTGTATATATACACGTGTGTATGTATATGTGTGTATATATATACACGTGTGTATGTATATGTGTGTATATATATATACACGTGTGTATGTATATGTGTGTATATATATACACGTGTGTATGTATATATGTGTGTATATATATACACGTGTGTATGTATATATGTGTGTATATATATACACACGTGTATGTATATATATATGTGGGTATATATACACATACACACACACACACACACACACACACACACACACACACAATATATATAAATAGATATACAAATTTTTTATTTCATCAAAAAGATTTAGAAAAACCTACATTAGGTTTTAGACTTTTATTTATTTTAATGTTTATTATATTTGAGTATGTTTACCTTTAAGCTTATCTCTGAATGCCTCCAAAAAGTGAAATCCAGAACAAGTATGCAAAATATTCACCTCCAAATGTGACTTTCTGTTATGGCAAGGAATAACTCTATGTTAACGCTGTCACAATCCAGTAACTGCCAGAGTGCCTTGGACAAAGTAGGAACTAATCTTCAAGGATTTATTTCTTGAGTTATAATTACCAGAGAATTTACTAATAAACAGTCAATTCCCTGCGCACTTAAAAAATAATTCAGTTTACAAAATTTTAATCTATACCCAACTTTCCAGTAATGAAACCCATGTATAAGTGATTACTGCTGTATGTTAAGTATAATTAAATGACTAGTATTTCATCTCAGAAGGACATAAACTTCTTACCTTTTTGCCAGATAGCAAATCTTCTCCAAGTAAATCATCTTCAAGTTCACTTGGGAGAAAAAAAAGAGACATGTCAATGATTATTCCCATAAGACTTGCAAGTTTGTAGATCACTTGGAAATTTACCAAGAACTCTACAGCTCAGGTACCTTTTTTTTTTTTTTTTTTTTTGAGACAAAGCCTCACCGTGTTGCCCAGGATGGAGTACAATGGTGCAATCTCAGCTGACTGCAACCTCTGCCTCCCAGGCTCAAGCAATTCTCCTGCCTCAGCCTCCCAAGTAGCTGGGATTACATTATGCCCGGCTAATTTTGTGTATCTTTAGTAGAGACGGGATTTCACCATGTTGGCCAGGCTGGTCTCGAACTCCTGACCTCATGATCCGCCTGCCTTGGCCTCCCAAAGTGTTGGGATTACAGGCATGAGCCACCATGCCCGGCCAGCTTGGATACTTTTACATTAAGTTTGCTATGCTTTCCTCTTTCTTTATTAATAATAAAAATGTATTTTCAAATGCACAGAGAACATTTTATCTTTTTAAGTATGGGGAGGCTTTGCTATAGGTAGTGCCTCACTATACTTCTAATCTTAGTTTTGTACCTTAATATGGGATCTTAATCTCTTTGGGTCTGTTGAATAATCAGTAAAAGCAGAAACTGTAATATAGTAAGTCATATCTAAGCTTTCTCCTATCTTTAAAAACCTTAATGAAGAAGGAAAAGATGCACAATATAATTGATTAGGAAGATAAAAACCAAAACCACTAGAGACCGTTTGACATTCATCAAACCAAAAGAAACTGAAAAAAAAAATAAATTTTAAAAACGAACGAGAACATAAAATCAAATCACAGTAACTAAGGGAAATTAGCTTTGTATAACATGGATGTCGTATCAGTGATTTGCAATTTTTTCTAGCATATTTCTGTTTTAAATGATTAGAAGCCGGCTTTCTCCCTATTTTTACAACTAAAACAGAAACCCTTAGCAAATAAAAAAGCTGAAGACATTTTCCACTGCATTTATTAGAAACAAGATTTTTTTAGTTGATAAAAATGGCTACCACTAGATCATGTTTTTAATTCTGGGGAAATCAATCTCTTGGAAGCAAATATCATTAAAAGTCAACATACAGAAATATACAAAGAGGAAATACAATTAGATGGACTGTAACTCTAGGTGCCAATACTCATGGAGATTTAACTGCATCGATATTGTTATTAGAATTGCTGCTTTATTTTTAATAGGTGCTCTGGTTACAAAATTCTATAGGTATTGAGAAATCAGCAAAACCATTATTTTACCAAAAAATCATGTTTATTTTTAGCATGCCACTTTGCAGAATACTATAATCTCCGGGAATGCATATATGGAGTTATAATGAAATGCATGTTTCTATATAACGCCTTTTAGAACTAAAAACAACCTGACAAATCATTTAATTCATGCACTAAAGACTTTATTCGTTATTTTAAGTTATCCTCCAGTAAGTCCTATATTACATTTTACAGATAAAGAAAACAAGGATAGGACATGAAATAACTTGCCTAAAGTCACACAGCAGTGACAGATGCAGGACAAGAACTTAACAGCCCTTGAAAAACAATCTTTCACAAACTCCTATAGGATAGTTATAAGAGAATAACATATAGCTTCTTCCAACATTTTAAAACCACTATCATCTATCAAATACAATTTTTGTATCTTCAGTGTTCCAACTACCCTCCAGAGGCAGGGAGAAAACAATGCTGTCTAGTCAACAATATTTACAATAACCCCATTTGAAAATTTGATTCCAGATAACCAAAAACACACAAGCACCTCTTTTAAAGACAGGCACTCGTCTATACCATCACCTTAAGTAACTAAAAATGGAATGTGATGCCAGTTTCCCAGGGCAAACTGACAAAGTCATAAAAACAGGCATTAGTAATTATACAAGCAAAAATCTAGAAAGTATCTGTGCCTCTTGCTGACAAGTACATGGAAATAAATCAACCTTTAATAACTACTTATTTTTTCTCAACGAAAACATTTTTAAAAAGATAAGTAAGTGTATCAACTATAAAATGAGTAGAGAAAATGAAGACTAGTACTTGTTTCATGACTAATGAGAAACAGGATGGGGGACAGTGGGATTCAGTACAGAACAACAGCAAGTATAAACAGCAGCCCCAGCGATCCACAGCATCCGCTCAATGCACTTCTGTGCCAGGCACCACTTGACATGTTCCACACACACGAGCTTTTCATTGACATAATACCCCTCTCAGGTAGACACACCGTTGCCATTTTCAAAATGTGAAAACAGAGACACTAAGATGCTAATTTGCCCAAGGTCATCCAGCTAGGAAGTGGTGACACCAGTGAGAGAATCCAAGTCCTAACTACTATGCACACACCCCACAGAAACTACATGTACTTTTCTTCTTGTCATCGTAAAGCTGGACCCTCACAAAGGATGTACACATAAGGAATAAATTTATTACATATGTAAAACTACATCCACTCTTGGCAAAAACAACAATGAACTAATGGAAATGACTGGTCTCCATCTGGCAGTTTCAAAGGGGTGAGCAGTCACTCTGGCTGGCAGCAGCAGTAAGTGTTCTAGGAAATCAAACAAGCACTGGGCTGATGAAGAGGCTTCCTGTGTTCAATTCTAGAGTTCCCTAAAGATTCCACCAGTAATCACTACTTGAGTACGAACAATCTTTCTGGCAGGCATTTCTTATTAAAGCTTACAGACAATGAGCTCTTTGAAAGCAAGTATATTTTTACTTAGAAACAGAAGTTATCCTCAAAGACGTTTTTCAGGAAACAAGTATTTGTTGTCAGCCACTTGGCTACAGCCTTTCAAAACCAGAAGTGAACTTGACCACTGTAAGTGGGGCTGTAGTCTCTGGGTCCTCCCCACTCTAGTCCACTCTCCGTCTTACCTGCCTGCTCTGTGGCTGGATTGCGTCCTCCAGGAGCAGCTGGCACAGCCGGTCCTAACCTCTGGCTTCCAGATGGATTCGCCCATTGGGACGCACCAACATAACGTCACCAAGTAGGAGGAGAAAGACCGGCCCCTCCCCTCTCACCTGAAGAAATAGAGACTACAGTATCCCTCCCCCAACAGCCTTCACTGGGCCCTAGGACACCACTTCCCACAAGGCCGGGGCAGGAACTGGTACTCCCTGGATGGGAATGAACTCATTAGTTCTTTAACCCTGGCCTGTAAATAGACCCGTCATTAAATTTCTTCAGTTAAAACTTTTTGGGCCAGGCATGATGATTCACACCGTAATCTCAACACTTTGGGAAGCTGAGGTGGTTGGATCACCTGAGACCAGGAGTTCAAGACCAGCCTGGCCAACACGGCGAAACCCCTTCTCTACTAAAAATATAAATATTAGCCAGGCACGGTGGCACATGCCTGTAATCCCGGCTACTCGGGAGACTGAGGCATGAGAATCGCTTGAACCTGGGAGGTAGAGGTTGCAGTGAGCTGATATCGCACCACTGCACTCCAGAGCAGACT
The DNA here is from genome assembly GCF_000001405.40 of Homo sapiens. Classification (NCBI taxonomy): domain Eukaryota; kingdom Metazoa; phylum Chordata; class Mammalia; order Primates; family Hominidae; genus Homo; species Homo sapiens. Next base: position 155,669,390 of record NC_000007.14, on the reverse strand, counting down.
CTGTCTCAAAAAAACAAAAACAAAAACAAACAAAAACTTTTTGAGTGGGTATCTCTTTCTTGCCTGGACACATGAGACATTCATATCTTTAAAAAAAATAAATAAAACACAATTTCAGGTGTTGGTTCAGCAATGACATCATATTCTTCCAAACACCACTACCAGTACAGCATGGCAGAAGAACTTACCATAGTAATTCCTGACCCACTCTTCTCACCTTCCAAGTGTCTCTCTCTGTGTCATGCAGCACACAGAGAGGCTGTCTTATGCTTAAAACATCAAAAAAGAAATACATGTGGCAAAAGCTTCATAGATGCAAACACGTCACTGAAGACAGTAAAAAAAAGAGCTCGTTCACAAACAATATGAAACAACTGCAATTCATAATACGGTAAACAATAAAACCTAGAACCGTCTCACACCATGACCAAAACAAGTTCCATCATAGCAGAAAGCAAGACAGCTGCCAAAGACATCTAAAGTCATGTCAAATGGACACAGGAGCCAACCTGAAGAAATTCCAGTTGAACAAATATCAGGCAATGTAACCACCAATAAAGATACGAAACGACAATGGATTCAACACAACCAACATTTAAATCTATGATTTCAAAATGATTCAAAAACAAAACTCATCCCTGCAAGTGCTAGGGCTGACTTCTTAGTTTGAAACTTGGTAAACAACAGGAAAGACTCAATCACTTACCCTGTCTTTTCTATGTAATCTCTACCTCAAGAACGAACTAGTTTACAGTACTATTAGGTAGTATATTAGTGTACTAGTACTACAGGTAACAGGAAAAGCAGAGGTATCACCACGCAAAGTTCACCAGCCCCCAAGGAGCTTCCGATGAGGAACACAGCAATACTTACTACACTGCCACACCCCGGCCCCTCCCCCAAGTTCAAACCTGAATCCCATCCACTTCTATTAACTCACATAAAATATCAGCAGCTAAGGGGCACACTAAAAACACCTCAGGGAGTGCAATCAGCAAAAGGAAAAATTCTAGAAGACACGCTACCTTGCTTCTTCAACAAAAATTGCATGGAACTAAAATAAGATGGGGGAGAACCTGTACATGAAACAACACTTGAAAGACATACCCATCAATGACCATGTGCGCCCAATTCAAACCATCAAAAAGCACACAGACACATATCCACACTGTGTAAGTGACAGTATACTAATACATATATTTAAAATATGTGTGTATACATATGTATGTAGATATATATGCGTCTACATACGTATACATAGACACACACACAAATATAAGAGACAATCGGAAATGTAAACACTAAGATATTTACGTAATAAGGAATTTTTTTAGATATAGTAACTATTGTGGCTATATTTTAAACCGTTTATTTTTTAGAAAAATATATTCTGAAATTTTTTCAAAAATTTTGTGATTTGAGGGGGCTGCAGAGAGTATGGATAAGAGATTGGCTATATGCTGATAACTGGTGAAACTGGAAGATGGTACATTGGGTTCACTGTACTAGTCTATTTTCACATATGCTTGAACTTGTTAGTAACTAAAAATCAATCAATTCAATCAATTTCAGGCAGACTGTATAGCTATTTAAAAAAATTACAACTTTCATAGACACATGCAGGAGATATCTAGAATACAAGGAAGGGAAGAATTTCTTAAGGACAAAAAGCACAAACCAATTTCCTGTGCCTCCTGAAGTGGGCACTCAGGAGGCCACACATCATCTACTCTGACCACAATGCACAGCCCGCATTTAGTCACAATGGACCACCAGCAAACCCAAGATAAATGGCCTGTCAACGTCATAAAAGACAGGCTACAGAATTCTTCCACATTAAGAAATGATGAAAGAAAAATGCAATGTATGATCCTGAATTGAATCTTGAATCAGAACAAAAAATTCTTTTGGGGGTATAAAGGAAATTATTGAGACAACTGAAAACAATCTGAATAACCACTGTAGAATAAAAATACAACTGGGCACGGCACACTAGCTCACGCCAATCCCAGCACTCTGGGAGGCCAAGGCAGGAGCATCACTTGAGCCCAGGAGTTCCTGCTTGCTATGATCACGCCACTACACTCCACCTGCGTGACAGAGAAACACCCTGTCTCCAAAACAACAACAATAAACCTCACATATATAGAACTGGATGTCTGATAAACTTCCTGACTTTAAAAATTATACAATATTTATATAAGTGAAAGTTCCTGTTTTGCGGGAAATACATGCTAAACAATACTGAAGCATTCGGAAGTGGCATGACACCTGCAACCTACTGTCAAATGGTACAGGAAAGAAAATTTTACATATACAGTATATCCATGTACGTAAACAATTAGAATGACAACATAAGTTGACAAAAAGCAGTTCATGAGTGTAAGAGAAGGTCAAGTGGGAGTTTCTGTATTATTCTTGCAACTTTCTTGGAAGTCTGAAAGGGTTTCCAAATACATTTTTGTTCATGTTTTAATAAAAAAAGAATAAAAACTACACAGAAAAAAGATTATACATCTGACTGTATTCTTCTCAAAAATCTAGTCAAAGACTATTTTTTAAGGAAACACATGCCACAGACTGGGAGGAGATACTTATAAACAATAAAAATAAATTTCCAGTAAGTATAATATAAACAGTCCCTAAAATCAATAAACAAAAGACAAACAACCCAAAAGAAAAAACAGATATGAACAGACCATTCAAAGAGGAACTCCAAATAATGAGTAAGCTATTGAAAGACCCACTTAATATTTTATTCAGCTCACCATCACAGTCTTTTAATCAAAACTAGCTTTAGTACTTACTAGTAAGACCATTTCTTTTCTAGGAAAGACATCGTTTTTAAGCACTATCTAACTTTTAGAATGCATACTGGCTGATTTTGTGCGACAGCTTGACTGGGATAAGAGATGCCCAGCTACCTAACAAAATATTATTTCTGTGAAAGTCCATGAGGGTGCTTCCAGAGCTGATTAGCAATGAGTCCACAGACTGAGTAAAGAAATCCATCCTCACCAATGTGGGCAGACATTACCCAAAAAGTTGGAGTTGGGCAAATTCACCCTCTTCTTGAGCTGAGCTATCTTCTGCCCTCAGACATGGGTGCTCCTGGTTCTCAGGCCTCCAGGCTCAGATAGGGACTTCCATGACTGGCTCCCCTGGTTCACAGAACACTGGGCTCAGACTGGAACTACACCATTCTACAGACCGTGTAACTTCTCAGTCTCCATAATCACGTGAGCCAGTCCTTCATAATGAATCTTTCTACATATATTCTTTTGGTTCTGCTCCTCTGGAGAATCCTGACTAATACACTGCATGAGTCACTAAAGAGCAATCAGCTTTATGTGAACTGTAAGGGCCTCATAGTTCTCAAGTTAGATTATTCTATAAAACTTCCAGATGTGACACTGCCGTTTTCAAATTGACTGCAGCTTCAAAGTAATTGTTACATTTTCTCAACACAGTATTTAAGGTGTTAAAAAAGTTATAAAGAATAACCATCATTTCTCAGCCCCACCACCCAGATTAAGCCCCACTGTGTATTTCTCCCAGAACACATCTCTAACCTCTATTATTAACTCCTTGCCAGAGGTAACCACTATATCAAACTACCATCTATCATCACTGTGGATTTTTAAATTGTGTTTGTGTGTATTCCTAAACAGGTCATTTTCATCCATTCCTAAACAGGTATTTTCATCTTCACTGGTAACCAGGAAAATGAAAGTTAAAATTAGTGAAATACCATCTACACATATTAGAATGGAAAAAACGTTAAAGTGTAGCCAGATATTCAGTACAAAGTAGAGCTTAAAGAACTCTGGCACAAGGCCACTCCAGTAATGGTTCTGGGTGTCCACAAAGTCAGTATCATTACTGTACAAAAACAAAGAAAAAGGACAGAAGACCTATGATCTATTGGCAGCCCTCCACACAACACAGGCCTGGAACAGGAGCACACCTCAGCCTTCTGCATGGAGAAGCTTCACTTTAGCTCAGGAGGGACAGCCCCACTCAAGAGAGAGCGCCAGGTAGTCAAGGTGCTGCGTTCAGTAAAGATCCCTCAGGAGCCAAGTGTCAGAATGAGAGAGATCGGCACAGGCAGTTAGGTGAAGCACAGGGTGCACGTACCTGTCCCAGTCCTCATCAGCAGCTCTTCTTCTCCACGACCGTTCCGCGCCAGGCTTATCAAACTGGTCAAAGTCATCATCTATGAGAACAGTCCATTGAAGTCAGTTTTACTAAGTTAAAATAGACACAATGCAAATAATTCAAACACTAAAACAACTTTTTTAAGGATTCCTGACTTGACATTTTAAATTACAAAAGTTTCATATGTAACTATCATTTTACTTTAGCCATTTTTAATAATGAAACATCTTTAAAAACACAAAGCTATCCAAGAAAACCAACTTATTGAACATTATTGGGCATGAAAAATCACTAACAGGTTTTCAAAAAAAAAAACCTCAAATGTTATTAAAGTGTTTTCTTTATAAAATGGGTTTTGAGTGTTTTTTTACTGCATGAAAGAAAAAAAATGTGACATGCTAAAAAGTTAGAGACTTTCATAATACTTTTTGTAATCGTCACACTTTTCCAAATCATGGAAAGCTAAGATTCCATTTAAGCAAAATAGAGATAATGCAGAGATGTGCTGAGCAACGGAAATATAAGCACACACCTAATTCTAGGTTTTCTAGTAGCCACATTTATAAAAGGTAAAGAGAAATAGGTGAAACTTCAACAGACGATATTTTAACAATATATTTTATTTAACATACTATATCCAAAATATTATCACAGTATGTATGGCTGGGCGCGGTGGCTCATGCCTGTAATCCCAGCACTTTGGGAGGCCGAAGCGGATGGATCAGCTTGAGGTCAGGCGTTTGAGACCAGCTCGGCCAACATAGCAAAGCCCCACCTCTACTAAAAAAATACAAAAAAAAAAAAATCAGCCAGGCACGGAGGTGCACGTCCGTAGTCCCAGCTATCCCAGCTACTTGGGAGGCTGAGGCAGGAGAATCGCTTGAACCGGGAGGCAAAACTGCAGTGAGCGGAGATCGCGCCACTGCACTCAGCCTGAGTGACAGAAACTCTGTCTCAAAAAAAAAAATGTATATACACACACACACACATATATATATATAAGTCATAATGTGTACTCAATACAGGAAATATTAACAGCATATTTTACATTTTTTCCATACTAACTGCTTATTTTGCACACACAGCACATCTCTCATCTCAATGTGAACAAGCCACATTCCAAGTGCTTGGTGCCATGTGTGGCAAGTAGCTACTGAAATGGACAGTGAAGAAAGGGCAATTAAGAGCAGAGCCCTTTAGAGGCCTGTTTCTTTTTCTGTAAAAATGAAGCTATTATCTACTTCATAAATTTGCTGGAACACTAAATTTGACAACGTATTTTAAAATACAAGAACTGACAAATGGGTGGCACCTGACAAAGTTATCTTTATTCCTAGTAAACAAAGAATTGAAATTAAAGGTTTTCATCTCAGACATACATACAAGCAAAGAAATCTGAGAGACAGCAGAGCATAGATCTCTCTCCCCAGAAAGAGTCTACCTAGGGGCAGGTGGTTGGGGTAGGTAGGGCCAGATGATATAAACACCTATAAAGCCTCAGGAATTTTCCGAGCCTGGAGCTGGAAATCAATCAAGTTCTACCAAAGTAATATATATACTCTTACCAAACACTACTGATACAGTTTGAATATACATCCCTGCAAATCTCATGTTGAATTGTAATACCCAGTGTTGGAGGTGGGGCCTGGTGGGAGGCGTTGGGGTCCCGGGGCAGATCCGGCATGGCTTGGTGCTGCCCTCACCATAGCCAGTGAGCTCTCTGGATATCTGGTTGTTGTAAAGTGTGGCACCCCTCCCCGCCTCTGCTCACCCTCTTGCTCCTTCTTTTGCCATGTAAGGTAAGTGCCTGTTCCTGCTTGGCCTTCCACCATGAGTAAAAGCTCCCTGAGGCCTCCCCAGAAACTGAGCAGGCGCTGACACCACACTTGTACAGCCTACAGAACCATGAGCCAATTAAGCCTCTCTTCTTTATGAATTACCCAGTCTCCAGTATTTCTTTATAGCCCTGTGAGAATGGCCTAATACAATTACCAAACAGAACAAGTGCTTTAAAAAAAAAAAAGAAAGAAAGAAAAGAAAATCCAAGAATTAAAGACATTAAAGAATTAATAGCCTCAGGAAGTTCCACTTCCAATATGACAGAATGAGGAGCTCCATGGGTCCTCTCCCTGTGAGCCTGGTGAAAACTGTTTTATAAAATAACTACTTAAAGTCTCTAAGAATAATTCTAAGGACATACAACAAATGAAAAGACACTTATTCCAGAAATCTACCAAAAATCTGGCAAGAATGGCAGCAAGAATTAATGGGTTTTAAACCAGGACCCACCCCTCTTCATCCTTGAAACTCAGTAATGCTAAGACTCCACTCCAGACCAGTGCAGCCAAGAACACAGGACGCCCTCCCCACTCAGCTCCCAGCTGGAGGACAAGGACCTCGTCCGCATTTTCCATCCCACCCCCACCTACCCATTGTTGAGGCTGAATTCTGGGTGACTGTTACTGAGACATGTGGGCTCCTTTCTTCCACTCAGGTCCCACTCATGGAACAGACACTGCTGGAACCAGAGAACCCCTGCCCTGGGTCAAGGGCTGGGGGTCCCACACCAAGAAAGTCAAATTGAGGAGACCTGGGGCTGCTGCTTTCCCCCAGTTCCCAGGCACTCAGCTCCTAAGGCAAGGGTATCACCCAGAGACTGGTACACCACTGTCCACAGCCACAGCACAAATGCTGTGGCTCAGAGCGGGGGGGGCGGGGTGAGGAAGCAGACATTTAGAACAAGAGTGCTCCAAAACTCTCCAAAGAAACTGACTTCAAGCCAAAGAGTGCTCCCAAAAACAGTGAGGGAGAGTTCTGGTGAGAGCTAACTGGGAAGAGAGTGGTAAAAGCAGCTGGAAATATGGCCAGAATGTAGATGAGCTGCTGTGCTGGAGAGAAATGGGGACACAGACAGGTGAGGAGGGCCCCTGCTTGGGTCAGAACAAATCTCAAACACGAACCATGGACAGTATCCATTCAAAGGAGCCTGAATGTGATGGGCTCAATTTATAAAGCAATTTATGCCCCAGAGCATTACGGAAGGTGTGCTCAGAGAGAGACAATCAAAGCCATGACAACCATCCCAGGGTAATCCTTGGGCATGCCCAAGGCTGTGGTCACTGCGGAGCAACATCAGAAGCTTCGGCGGAGGGGTGAACACTTCATTAAAATAACCCAGCCAGTCAACAAAGGAGTGAAGAAGCAAATAACAGTAATTAGCCCAGGGGTGGGAGAACAGGGAGACCAGCACCCAGAGTTGCTACAACATATTATCTAAAATGTCCAGACTTCAACAAAAAATTACAAGATATGGAAGAAACAAGAAGATATATAACCTATAATCCAACGACAACAAAAAGCAGGCAACATAAACTGCATGTGAGAGGATCAGGCGTCAGATTTCATAGAAAAAGATCTGTAAGTAGCCATTATAAATATGTTCAAAGAATTAAATGAAACCATGATCAAAAAACCGAAAGAAAATATGATGACAGTGTCAGGTCAAATAAAGAATATGAATAAACAGGCCAGGTGCAGTGGCTCACACCTGTAATCCCAGCACTTTGGGAGGCCAAGGCAGGTGGATCACTTGAGGTCAGGAGTTCGAGACCAGCCTGGCCAACATGGCGAAACTCCGTCTCTACTAAAAATACAAAAATTAGCCAGATGTGATGGCACACACCTGTAATCCCGGCTACTCGGGAGGCTGAGCCAAGAGAATTGCTTGAACCCAGGAGGCAGAGGTTGCAGGGAGCCGAGACCACACCACTGCACTCCAGCCTGGGCCACAGAGCAAGACTCTGTCTGGGAAAAAAAAGAAAAAAAAAGAAAGAAAAAAAAAAAACCACTTCAGGAGGCCAAGGCAGGGGGATCATGAGACCATGCTGGCCAACATGGTGAAACCTGTCTCTACTAAAAATACAAAAATTAGGTGGGTGTGGTAATGCATGCCTGTAATCCCAGCTACTCGGGAGGTTGAGGCAGGAGAATGGCTTGAACCAGGGAGGCAGAGATTGCAGTGAGCAGACATTGCACCACTGCATTCCAGCCTGGCAAGAGTGAGACTCTGTCTCAAAAAAAAAAAAATATATATATATATATACACACACACACACACACACACACACACACACACCACACACACACACAGAAATTATTTTTAAAAACCAAATAGAAATTCTGAAATTGAAAAATAACTAAAATGAGTTCATTAGAGGGGCTCAGTAGTAGATGTGAACTAGCAGACTTAGTAAACTTGAAAACAGATAACAGAGATGACATAATCCAAAGAACAGAAATCAGAAAATGAAAACTGAACACAGCCTCAAAGAAATGTGGGGCCATCAGGAGGCACAACAATATACGTGTAATGGGAGCACCAGAAGGAGAGGACAGACAGGAGAAGGAAAAAATACTCAAAGAAATAATGGCTGACAACTTCCAAAAGGTACTGGAAAATATTTATCTATACATCCAGAAGGCTCAACAAACTCAAATGATAATAAACTCAACGATTTACAAACACACACAACGTAGTCAAAATGTTTCGAAGCCAAAGACACAGAAAAAACCTTGAAAGCACCAAGACAAAAATGACTCATCACCTACAATGGAAGTGCAATAGTTGATTCTCATCAAAACAGAAGCAGCCAGAGGCAGTAAGATGACCTATTCAAAGTGCTCAAAGAGTCCCAAATCCACCAACATGATCTTTCATAAAGACATTCACAGATGAACAGAACAGGAAGAAATCTGTTGCTGGCAGAACTGCTTATAACTGGTTGAATTGTATCCCCAAAAAATATATGCTGAAGTCTTACCCCTCCTTCTGCCACCTGTGAATGTGATTTTATTTAGAAACAAGGCCGAGCATAGTGACTCATGCCTGTAATCTCAACACTTTGGGAGGCCAAGGTAGTCGCTTGAGGCCAGGAGTTCAAGACCAGCCTGGGCAATATATCCAGATCCTACCTCTACAAAAAACTTTAAAACTTAGCTGGGTGTGGTGGTGCACACCTGTAGTCTCAGCCATTCAGGAGGTTGCAGTGGGAGGACTGCTTGAGCCCAGGAGGCAGAGGGTGTAGTCAGTCAGCTATGACTGACTCACTGTAGTCTAGCCTGGGCAAAAGAGCAAGCCCCTGTCTCTAAAACTGAAAAAGCTATTTACAGATATAATCAAGTTCGGATGAGATCACACTGGATATTAAAGAGGGCACTAAATTCAATGACGACTGATGTCTACATAAGGAGAGGGAGATTTGGGGACAAACAGACACATACAGAGGAGAAAGGTCATGTGAAGCCAAAGACTTGAGTTATGCTGCCATAAGCCAAGGAATGCAGGAAGCCAACAAAAGCTGGAAGAGGCAAAGGATTCTCCCCTAGAGGCTTCACAGGGAGTGTGGCCCTGCTGGTACATTAATATGGACTTCCGGTCTCCTGACCTGTGAATAAATTTCTGTTGTTTTAATATATCCAGTGTGTGGTGTACTTGGATGTATAGATTCCTATCTTTTAGCTATATATTTGTATATGAATTTGGCAATTTTCAGCCATTATTTCCTCAGATTTTTTTTCTGTCAATTTCTTGCTCTCGTGGGTCTCCTATGTGTATATAAGTACACTTGGTGGTGTCCCGTAGGTCCTTTAGACTCTGTTCATTTTTATGCATTGTTTTGTCGTTCTGCTCTTCCAATGGGATCATCTCAATTGACCTTCAAGTTTGCTGATTCTTCTGCTTGCTCAAATCTGCTACTGATCCCCTCTAAAGAGTTTACTTTAGCTACTGTACTTTTGAGTTCCAGAAGTTGTTTCCTTCTAATAATTTCTTTATTAATATTCTCTACTTCTTCATATATCATTCTCCAGATTTCCTTTAGCTTTTTGGTTCATAGTTTCCTAAAGCACGTTAAGCATATTTAAGAAGGTTAAAGCATCTGTCTAGTAAATCCAATGTCTGGGTATCCTTGTGGTTTCTATTTCTTTTTCTACTATGAATGGGCCATACTTTCAGGCTTCTTTCTATACAATGTAGTATTTTATTTACTATTTACTATTTAAAACTGGATATTCTGTACATTGCAATGTAGTAACTCTAGAAACCAGATTCTCCTTCCCCAGAGTTGCTGCTGTTACACAATGAAGGTTGCTGTCCATTTGTTTAATGGCTTTTTAAAACTACTATTTATTATATTCCTTAAGTGTGGTCACTGAAGTCTGTCTACTGTTATCTCCCTAATCAACCAGCGACCTGGTAGATTTCCTTAAATGCCTGCATCCAATAAAAAGGAAAAATGAACAAAGCTGAGGAGAAACTGCTTCAGCAGAGGGGGATGAAAATAACAGAGAGAGCCTCTGTACCAGCCCATCAGTGATGAAAACCAATGTTAGGTTCTCAAGTTCCAAAACGGTTGCTTCCAACAGTTCTTGCCAGGTCAATAGTTGTTCCACTGGAAGGACTGGCATCTGGCATTTCCCACTTGACTACCTTCTGTCACATCACAGACTGGCAGAGAGGATTAAAAACAAACAAGCAGCCGGGCGCGGTGGCTCACGCCTATAATCCCAGCACTTTGGGAGGCCGAGGCGGGTGGATCATGAGGTCAGGAGTTTGAGACCAACCTGACCAAGATGGTGAAACCCCGTCTCTACTAAAAATACAAAAACTAGCCAGGCTTGGTGGCGAGCGCCTGTTATCCCAGCTACTCAGGAGACTGAGGCAGGAGAATCACTTGAACCCCGCGGAGGTTGCAGTGGGCCAGAGGTTGCAGTGGGCCAAGATCACGCCACTGCACTCCAGCCTGGGCGACAGAGAGACACTCCGTCTCAAAAAAAAAAAAAAAAAAAAATCCAACTATATGCTGCCTATTAGAGACTCACTTTAGACCCAAAGACACTAATAAATTGAAAGTGAAAGGATGGAAAAAGATATTTCACGCAAATAGTAACCAAAAGGCAGCTGGCAAAGTTACACTAATATCAGATAAAATATTTTTAAATCCAAAATTGTTTCAAAAAGAAGGAATACTGTATACCGATCAAAGGGTCAATTCATCAAGATATAACAATTATAAACATATATGCACTGAAACAGAACACCAAAATTGATGTAGCAAATGTTGACAAAAATGAAGGGAGAAAGAGACTGATCTACATTAATACTTAGAGAATTCAACACCCCACTTTCAACAAATATGAAATCCAGGTAAAAGATTAATAAGGATATAGAGGACTCAAATACTATAAATCAACTAGACCTAACAGCCAATACAGGGTACTTGGACCAACAAGTGCAAAATATACATTATTTTTAAATGTAGAGGATGCACTGTCCCTGATACACGTTAGGCCAAAAAATAGTTCTTAATGAATTTTAAAACATCAAAAGTCATGCTTCATGAAAACAAGGAGCATTCCCTATCTATGAAAACAGAAGCAAAATCCCAATATTTTATAAGCTAAAAATTTAGCTTGTGACTTTTTTCTCATTAAGACACAGCGAAGAAATTAGTACTTAATCACAATCATCCATGGCAGACATTGCTAATTAATTAGAGCATCCACTGGGTGCAGTGGCTGGAGCCTGTTGCCCTAGCTACTTGGGAGCCTGAGAAGCGAGGATTGCTTGAGGTCAGAAATTTGAAGCTGTAGTGTGCCATGCTCATGCCTGTGCATGGCCACTGCACTCCAGCCTGGACAAAACAGTGAGACCAAAATAAGAAAAAACGAAAAAAAAGAGCATCTAATTCTGCTGAAACCAGAACATCTTTTTGCCAGGCTAGCTAATAACAAGTATTATAACCTTGTTAACAAGCATATAATCCTTGGCCTCCTCACTGATTTTTGATTCAGTGGGCTCTTTTTGCTTTTTAAAGTTCCCACTAATTCTGATGGACAGCTAGGGTTAGGAATCCCTGTGTTCATCTCACACTGTGCATCAGCGCGGGCACTCCGGAAGGAAATTTAACTGCCATCGTGCTACGTAGCACTTTCCGGAAATTTCAGAGTTAAATCTACAAAAGCCAAAATTAGAGGCCAGGATCATCAAAAATAATTAAAGTATTTTCCCAAAGGAGAGACGCCATAAAATACTAAGGAAAGTGGCTGTTGAAATCATTCCAAAATCAGAGAATGCAAGATAAGCAAAAAATATGAATACAAATGAAGAGTCATGAAACCTGTATCCTTCACTCGACAACTATTTCTTGACCACATAATATATGCCAGGCACTGTTCTAGACAACTGACATACAAGACAAAAAAAAAAAAACCTTCACCCTGTGTAGGTTACATTCTAGTAAGAAAAGACAAACAGTAATCCCAATAAACTAATATATGGTATGTAACTTAAGGCCTTTATTGGAAAAGACTAGAGCAGGAGGGTAAAGAAGACAGGAAATGAGGTAAGGGTCAGCTGGTACAAACTGGGCTGACTATAATTTTAAAAAGAATAGTCAAACTTAAGAAACAAATCAGTATTACATGTTAATGCAACATATTTTAATGACAAAAAGTCTATAAAACAAATATTTTTTAGTTTTCCAAAACTCTTTAATGTCTGACTTTGTAGAAAACAGCTGAATTCTTCTATCTGCTTCTGCATTCAATCTCTTGTGAGATATATACATACACATATTTTTTTTTTCCTGAGATGGAGTCTCACTCGATATGTTTTTTGACTGAAACACATGAAAGAAATCTGACTCCAAATAAATACGTAGTTGTAAAAAGAAGTACTTTGTCTTTTCAAACAATTTTAGATATTCTTCGATACTACACTAATAATCAAAAAGTGGCCACTTCTTAAAGACTGGCTGCAATGCAGAATCTGAAGCCACAGCAATTAATATTTCATACCTGTTATGTTAAAGTCCAAGCGTGTCTTGTACTGTTATTGGATCTTTAACCATGATTTTGTGCCACCATGCAGTGGTCATTTTGAAAATATTGGTGCCCTGATTTATGTAGTACTCCAAATGCTAACACATTTCATTATCCAATATACAAAATCACACTGGTTAACAACATCACCAATCTCACCAGGAAAGTCCTCAAGTGCTGGGAAGTTTTCAAGCTCACAATATCAAATATAAGTATTTCAAAATTCTCATTTTTGTTTGAAAACTTACATATTATCATTGGCAACAAATAATGTCCACTGTTTTACTTGAAGTGACAGGCTCACTTCATTTTCAAGAATGTATCCGCCAAGCACTAAAATCTGAATAACCACAGTCTGTCAATTGTCCTTTCAAGTAAAAATGATGTTCTACAGAAGAAATAAGAAAAGCTAGCTCAGCTCACAATTAAATTGAACAAGTACCTTTTTTTATTTTTATTTTTTAAGAGACGGGGTCTTGCAATGTTACCCAGACTGGACTGAACTCTTGGGTTCAAGTGAGCTTCCCGCCTCAGCCTCCAAGTAGCTGAGAACACAGGTGCACACTACCATGCCAGCTGGACAGGTACTTTTCCTGAAGACAACTGTTATACTTCAGTACGAAACAGAAGTCCTTTATGCATATGCTCCCTACTTGTCACAAAGATTTTTTAAATGCACTTTAGGATCAAGATTTAATAAAATAAATAATTGTCACTGCCTTAATTCATGTTAAAACACCAGAGAATGTACCCACCATTACTTTTGCAACATTGATGCAAATGTCAGCACAGTAAAAAAAAAAAAAAAAAAAAAAAAAGGCAAACAGCCTTAATACCGTTATGAAAATAGTCTGACTTCACAGACACTCTGACATAGTCTCGGGGACTCCCAAGATTTTGATAAATACTGTTCATCATTTAGTGAACAAAGGTAATATGTACAAGGATGTTCATCAAGAAGTGTTTTATTAATAGGAAAAAGTAGAAATAAACCAAATGCCCAACAAAAAAAAGCCAGAGCAGAGAGGTCAAATAAAAGTACAGTCATGTAGTTACATATTAGGCAGCAATAAGAATTTTAAAGTCAAACTGTTTCCTGACATGAAAAAATATCCCCAATAATATAATGGGGGGGAATTCTCCAATATCATACAATATGGTATGGCCACTGTGTATGTAAAACATACGTGTACACGTGTGCCCAGGATATAAGCCAAACTGCTACAATGGTAGTTATCTGTTCACACAGAATTAATTATGGATTTATGGTCTTCTTTATTCTTCCTTAAACTTTTAAAAAACTCATTTATTAGAGTAATAGCTTGATTATCTATACCAAACTAATACATGATCATTATGAAATATTATTGCAATACCTAAAAGCACAAAGATATTACAATCATCCCAAATTTCTCTGATAAAAACAATTGTAAAACTAGGAGAAGAACATCACCACCAATGTTTATCTGTGCACACATGTGAACATATAATGTGAGGACAAATAAAATTATTAAAAGAGGACAATATATAAAATTTTTAATGAAGTATTAAGTTTCATATTATGTAAATTTATCAGCAAAAAAGCAAATGAACTTAAATTAATGAATGACTTAAATTTGAGTAAAGATTCCAAAAAATATACACAATGTGATGAGGGCTGGGGAAAATCAAGTTTGGTTTGACACACTAGGTAATAACTGAGATGAAGGCTGAGAATAACTACATTTTTGTCAAGTAGATGGGCATTCCAGGGAAATAACAGCACAGAGGCTGAGTTCCACAAGCCTAGAGCACAGCAAGGAGTTCAGGTGAGTTGAAAGCACACTCATAGAGAGAAGTAGTCAGAAAGAAAAGGTGGTAAAGATTTGGGGCATTACTAGAAAAGCAACGTAAGAAATCTATACTTCATATGCAACACAGCCTCAGTTTAGGAAAGGTAATCTAGTAGCAAGAAGCAAGAACTAATTAATCGATAAAACATAAACAATGGTAAAACAAAGTAACTACAAACCAACCATTAAGAAAAAAAAATGTGGTTAGCATCACGGTGAAGAAACAGAAGGGAGAATAAGACAAATGCATGAACCAGAAACTGTCAATTTAGAAATTCCAAGGCATGTTGACTAACTGAATAGAACAAGGAAGGAGAAGTCAATGAAAACATCAGTATTTTGAATCTGGATTAGTTGTGGATTGATGGATATACGTGCTGGTTTATTTGAGGGTGGGGTAGAAGTTAATAAGTTTGGTTTTTAAAATGCTGCATGTGTATTATTACACTTCACTCAGCCATCTTTTGCAATATTTTTTAAAAGTTTGACTTGCTGACTGTACCAAATTGCACAATCATACTGCAATACCAACAACTCCATTCAATCCTAATACTAATCATCTGGAGTTCGGGCAGGCCCCACAGGTTAAGGGCTCAGTTTCACAAGGCTGCCCCACTTCAGATGCCAACTGCAATGAGGTGCCCAGGCTACTCACACTTCTCCCTGGCTGAAGTCTACAAATTCTGGGGTTATCACACCTCCCCCCATTGCTATTACTATAACAATTCACAGGACTCAGGAAAACACCGTACTTACTGTTACAGTTTATTATAAAGGATACAAATGAAGAGCCAGATGAAGAGGTACACAGGGCCAGTCTGAAGGGTCAGGGTGCACCACCCTCCCAGCACGAGGAGGTGCTCACCAACTCAGAAGCTCCCTAAACCTGATGATTAAATCACTGACTAATGGTGATTACCACCAATCTCCAGCCCCTCCCCTCGAGGGAGGCTGGGGGTTGAGCCTGAACGTTCTAACCCTCTTAACATGGGGTTAGTTTTTCTGACAAGCCCCCACCCCAAAGCTATCTAGGGCCCCCACCCCCGCTATAAGCCATCTCATTAGTGTAGAAAAGATAGTAAATTCAAAGGGTTTCCAAAGTTCTGCCGAGGGAACCTGGGCAGAAAAAAATATTCATTTTTTATCATACCACAGCATCCCCCAAAAGGGCATGTCCACCAGAACCTCAGAATGTGGCCTTATTTAGAAATAGAATCTATGCAGATGTAATTAGTTAAAATGAAGTCATTCTGGATTAAGACTGGCCCCTAAATCCAAGGACTGGCGTGGCAATTCCATTTCTGGGTATACACTCAAAAGAACTGAAAGCAGGCACTTGAAGACACATTAATATACTCAAGCTCCTATTAGTATTATTTACAATAACCAAAAGGTGGAAGCAACTCAAGTGTCTATTGAAGGATATATGGTTTAAAAAAAAATAGTATAGATATATAATGGAATATTATTTAGCCTTAAAAAGGAAGTTCTGACACATGCTACGACACTGATGAATCTTGAAGACATCATGCTAAGTGAAATAATGACTCAAAATCTTACAGGGCAAGCTAACACAAGAACCCTGTACAGCCTGTTTATATTCTTAATATATTCTGAGTCATTTCCCTCTGTTTTCCTTTAGAATACAAATACTTTTTAAAGTTCCAGTTCATAGCAGTCATATTAAACAGAACCAAGAAGAAAAAATGTGTCCCCATTAGTCCAGAACTTTAAAGGAAGAACAGCACATCCATGAAAGCCAAGGGGTAAAATATTAACTGAGCAAAACGAAAGAGGTCAATGACCTCCTTACCTGGAAAATCTCCTTCTAAGGCCTAAACATTGTACAAGACATTCTATTTTAATAGGGGGATCAATTTTCCTTCAAGACTGAAGATATCTACTAGATTTCTACAATTCTCTATCATGCAGCAATCAGACATCTACAGTTAACACAAACTTTTACTTACCATTCTATTTCTTCTTCTTTTCCAGAATCCTCGACTTGGATAAGATACCACATAGACTATTAGCTTGTGATAGGGTTCTAGCAATTATCTAATCTAAGGGTCAGCAAACCAAAGCCCATGGGCCAAGTAGGGCCTGCCACCTGTTTCTGCCCAAATTTAGCTACCACCCGTGTATGTAAATAAGCTTTTAATGGAACACAGCTATTCCAATTCAGGCATATATTGTCTATGGCTGCTTTCAAGGTAAACGGCGGAGTTCAGCACTTCCAACAAAACTCATCTGCCCTGCAAAGCCTAAAATATTTACTATCTGACCCTTTACAGAAAAAGTTTGCTGACCTTTGTATTCCAAAGGTTCTCAACCTTCTTTTTCCTCAATATCACACTCATGTATAATATGTTCCTAGTCCAAATCACTAATAGTCAAAATTCCTTATTTTATAGATGAGGAAATCCAGATCCTTTATTTAAATATTAACTACAAATCAGGTAATGTCCAATAACTTTCGAAGTGAACATATGAGCCTTACAGCATAACTAGTAAGTTCTGAATAGCCAAGCCAAATTTTCAGAAAGAGTTCCTACACCATGTTGCTTTAGAAATAATTTGTAGTCACTGTTTTAAAAATCTCCTATGTTACACGGGCCCCAGGAGAGGTTCTCCCTAAAATGAAGTTTTTATTTTGTTTATGAAGTGTAGTCCTCATTGGTCATTTGTTTGTCTTTCAACAAACTTTCATCATTCAGGGTTTAAAAATCAATCATAATAGAATTCCTGCTTGATATGAGATAGGACCCCTCCTATTATGGAAGTTATAAAGGCTTGCTCTATAAACTTGGGTAGCCGAGAAGAGGCAAGTGAGCTGAGCTCAGCCTACTGGATGTTCCCATCATGACTTAAAATCTATAGGAACTGACACTCATTTCTTTTCCCAGGAACCTAGACCCTTTTTTTTTTTTTTTTTTTTGGTGAGACAAAGAGTTTCCCTGTTGCCCAGGCTGGAGTGCAGTGGTGCGATCTCGGCTCACTACAACCTCCACCTCCTGGCCTAGCCATGAAGCCTTCTAAATGGCTGAGTTTAAGGGATGAAATGTCAAACAAAGAGGAGAAAATGTTGTTAAAAACTTCTAGAATGAAAAAAGGTCACATAAAAAATGATTAGGAATCAGAATGTCCTCAAACTTCTCAAGAGCAGATCTGGATGCCAGAAAACACAACAATACCGCCAAAAATCTTACAAAAATAAACTCAAATCTAAAATTCTGGACCCAACAAAACCACCAATCAAGTTGTGAAAATTAAAATTTCCTTCAGACTCAGGAGTCTCAATCTCAAAAAATTTACCTTCAACACACACACTCAAGAAGCTGTCGGCCAGGTGCAGTGGCTCACGCCTGTAATCCTAGCACTTTGGGAGGCCGAGGCGGGCAGATCACCTGAGGTCAGGAGTTCCAGACCAGCCTGGCCAACGTGGCAAAACCCCGTCTCTACTAAAAATACAAAAATCAGCTGGGTGTGGTAGCATGTGCCTGTAATCCCAGCTACTTGAGAGGCTGAGGCTGAAGAATCGCTTGAACCCAAGAGGTGGAGGTGGCAGTGAGCTGAGATCACACCACTACAACACTCCAGCCTGGGCGATAGAGCGAGAGTCCGTCTCAAAACAAAAACAACAACAACAACAACAAAAAGAAGCTGTGGCATTGCTTAACTCTATATCAATGTGGAAATCTGAACATAAAGAATAATTTTTCTAGGAAAATTTAAATGATCGTAATTGACTTTTCATCTTATAAAACTAAATAAATCAATAATAATACAGGAAATTGAAAAGATAACTTTTTTAAAGGGAACCAGACCCAAATGGCTCTGGAGAAAAGAGTTCTTCCACAGTCAATAACAGATTTTTACACCATCCCAGAAAATTTCACAACTCATTCTAAAAACCAACATATCATAAATAAAAGGATAGCACAAATGTACACACAAATACCAAGGAAGAAAACAGTAAGTCAGTCTCCCTTATGATCAGAGATAAATCCTAAAATGAAATCCAACAATATATTAAAAAGAACAAAATGTGGAGATCAAGATTTTGAACCCCAGAATGCATGCTTAGTTCAGCACTGGAAATCTATCAATAGATTACATTAAGAGATTAAAGAACAGGGGAAGAACACATAATCACAACAGATGCAGAGAAAGCGTTTCACAGCTCAGAGGCAGCACTGGGGATGGCAGTCAGTGCTCCTGGTGCAGTGATGCTAAAGGGGTCAATAAGAACCTGTCCTCAAAAAATTGTGATTGTGCATTGTGACCTGAGCTGAGGAATCAGCTCAGAGACCACCCCTTCAGAACTCTCTCAGAGCTAGAGCGGCATCCCAGGCAGTGCTTGTCAAAAGCATTTAAAGACATCCACTAACCAGGGTCACCTGGGGCAAGGGATGATGGCCAGGGTTAGCAACATACAAACTGAAAAGCCTGGGAAAGAAGAGGCTGAGGAGGAAAATATATGAAGGAATGAGAGTGTTGGGGGCTCCCATGTATAATGGGAAATCTGGAAGACCATGCATATGCTGAAGGCTGGGCACATGCTCAGAAAACAACTTGAAAGAACCCTAGATTTATACCTCTGGCTGATCTTTGAGCTACGCATATGCAGAAGGTGAGGCTAAGGTTGGGGTTATAGGTGGCCTGGATGAGCAATGAAGTAACGTAAGCACAGGAGTTTTTGTTTGTTTTTTGGTTTTGGTTTTGTTTTATTTGCAGCTCCAGCCATTTGAGGACATCTCCATCAGATCACTGGCTGGGCAATGATACAACACAATGGAGACATCAGTGACCACAGGAGACAAGGAATAGAGTCTCTTCATTTGGCAAGTCATTAAAAAACCAGACAACTGAAGGCCACAACAAGAAATATAGCAAACCCAGAAAAGGGGGGGGACATTCTGACTTCCAAAATTTCCACATCACCATATTTAAAATGTCCAATTTTCAGTCCCAAAACTGAGGGACCGAAAAAATCAAGCTAACATGATTTAATCAGTTACACAGGTGAATCATGTGGAATTGACTAACATAAATTAGGATACAATTATATTTTTTCAGATTCATACAGAAAATATGTCATTCTTTAATTCATTCACCAAATATCTAACACATGCTATGTGCCAGGAAGATGTGGAATGCATGGTAAAACAGCATTTTTTCTCCTCATGAGGCTTACAGGCTTATGTGGGAGGCAGATTTAAAAAACAAGTAAATAACTAAAGAAAATTACAAATTGAGATAAACGTTCTGAAGAAAACAAGGGTGCTATAGGTGAGGAAACAGGAAAATATTGAAATTATCCAGTCTAAGGAGCAGAGGAAAAATAAGCAGAGCCTTAAAAAACGGGGACATCATTAAAAGTACCAATCTATGCATTATGGGAGTCCCAGAAGGAGAAAACAAAGTAGCAGGAAAAAGAACTGGAGAAAAAAATAAAAAGCTTCCAAATTTGGTGAAAGACATGAACCTACATATTCAAGAAGCTCACCACTCCAAGCAGGATAAATCTGGAGACCCACACAGAAACACATTATGATCACACTATCAAAAGCCAAAGACAAAGAGAATCTTGAATACACCAAGAGAGAAGTGACATGTCATGTACAAAGGATCCTCCATAAGATTAACAGTCAATTTCTCATCAGAAACGATGGAAGCCAGAAGGTGATAGGATGAAATATTTCAAACTGCCATTCAAAAATTATATCCCCAGGTATGACCTAAGGGACTTTGTCATTAGTACACCTGCCCTACAAGAAATGCTAAAAGTACTCATGGCTGAAATGAGAAAGGCTATTCTTTCCCGACTCCTCAAACTCTCTTGATTGAAGCTAAGAAATTAAGCATGAAAGATTTTCTTGAAGGAAAAAAAAAAAGAATTAAATACACACATAATTATCAGTATGAAAACATCTCATTTATCAGCACTATTAGTGATTAAAATGCTCCAAAAATTTCCTACCAGGTAAATTTTACCTGTTGAAGTACTAAAACTTGTTTCACTTTCACAATTTCGAATGAAAACCTTCTGCACCATGCTTCATACTTTCCTGCCTTACTACATACTGACACAGTGGAAGGAACACTGAACTAGAAGTCAAAAAACCTGAATTCGAGTCTACTTCCCTTTCTTAACAGCTAGGTGGCTGAACTTTTCTCGGCTAGTTTACTATCAAATGTAAATTAAAGCAACTGGTTTAGTATCTAAAGTCTTAACTCATCCCAGCAGTGTATCTTGCTCTAAAATTTTACCAGCCTAGGATTTGTTTGAAATATACAAAAGTGGAGGTGGGGGGATGAAAACAGATTGCCAGAATGTTGATGCTAGGTGATGGGTATGTGGGTTCATTATTCTACTACTGGATGTGTTTGAAATTTCCCATTAAAACTTTTTATTTCTAAGAATTGACTAGAAAACAAAAAATTTACAAGCACCCATTTTTTCACCTCACCTATAAAATCAGATTAGCTCAGGCCCAAGAATGCTGTTGTAAATCTTAAGTGAGATAACGCACTCACTAGGTTGGAGGCTTTTTACGATTTGTGTACTGATTTTTTATTTTATATTTTACAAGGAAGCACTGGAACTAGAAGATCTTGAAACTCATTAAACTATTTGTTCCTTCCCCAAAATGCCATGTTTTTGCCTTTATGTTTTTGTTTTCAGTCTCCAATAAATAACAGTTGTCATTCTCTCTGCTATTAGTAAGGATAGCAATTCCATTTCTCTATCCTTACTACTTGGCTGCAATACCAAATGACTCCTTTGAAATGTATCATGCCAAGGCATGGTGGCTCACGTAATCCTTGCACTCTGAGAGGCTGAGGCGGGCAGATCACTTGAGCCCGAGTTCCTGCCTGGGCACCTTGGCAAAACCCTGTCTCCACAAAAAATACAAAAATTAGCCAGGCGTGCTGGTGCACACCTGCAGTCCCAGATACTCAGGAGGCTGAAGTGGGAGAATCAACTGAGCCCAGGAGTCCAAGGCTGCAATTAGCCATGATTATACGACTGCACTCCAGTCTGGGCAACACAGCAAGACCCTGTCTCAAAAAAAAAAGTAAAAAATAAGCAAACACTCCTATAGACACTTTGTGGTACCCATTTTGGCTATCCAGATTGTGGATAGCCAAGACCTATTTTATTCAATAAATACTAACCACTTACTATACAAGAGACCAGTGATTTTCAAACTGACAATCTCGAACATTTTGTAGGTTGTGAAATTAATCCAGGTCACAACCAGCATTTTACTGTAATGAAATAGAAAACATTAGAGTGCATGGCATAGTATGGACCAGTATTGTTCATGAAATTTTTTTTAACTTTTATGTATGTACTAAATCACAATGTCAATCACATTTCTGTGGCTGCCATTTTAAGAAGTTTGAAAGTCACTGTGCTAGACAATATGCTAAACTGAGCTGCCAAATAAGCTATCGATAGCTCAATAAGGTATTACCAATGTAAATATTTCTCCAAGCTAACATGATTTAATCAGTTACACAGGTAAATCACGTGGAAATGACTAACATAACTTAGCATACAATTATATTATTTCCTATTCGTAAAGAAAACATTTCATCCTTTAATTCATTCACCAAATGTTTGTTGAACACATGCTATGTGCCAGGAACACGTGGAACGCATGGTAAAACAGGTAGCATTTTTGTCCTCATGAGGTTTACAGGCTACTGTGGGAGGCAGATTTAAAAAACAAGTAAAAACTGAAGAAAATTACAAATTAAGATAAACGTTCTGAAGAAAACAAACAAAGGTGCTAGAGAATGAAGACAAGAGAGGCACAAGAGCAACGGACATACATTCCTCAGATACAATGAATTCTCAAGGAAAGCCTCCCTTAAAAGCGTGAGATCCACTGGATCAGGAGTCAGCCCTGGCAAGAGCGGGTACAGGAGCAGTCCATGCGATGAACTTCCAGGATAAAGGAAGCAATCACACAACATGCTGGTGGGGTAGGCAGGGACCAAGTCATACAGAACTCACAAATCTTGGCAAGGAGTTTGGTATGAAGAGCAAAGGAAACTTTGGCACTTGTGACAAAATGGAAGGAAAAACTCCAAAGCATCATGAATAAAGCCTACTTATTCTTCTAAAATAGCAATTCTCAAAACTTCTGACCTCAAAATTATTGAAGACCCAAAAATGCCTGTTTATCTGGATTACATTCAGTGATATTACTATTTTAGAAATTTAAAATGAGAAACGTAAAAGAATACACAAGCATATATTCCATTAGCCATCAGCATAACGTCTTCACATGTTATTCAGCCTCTAGAAAACTCCACTGTACACTACTGAAAGAAAAGAGAAAAAATACAAATAACACCTTAGTCTTTCTAATGAAAAGAGTGTTCACCCAAGAGTTCCCAGGTTACACTGGGAATGCTATAAAACAAGTAATTCTGACCCCCAGAAAGATAGGTGAACTATACATTTTAAAATTTTAATTAGTCTCAGATGTAACACGCAAACATCATGTATTTAAACTGAAAGAAAAGTGGCATATAGCAAACCAAATTGCCAGAAGCGACATTCCTACACTTAGTCTTTTTTGTTTTTCCATTTTGTCAGGCAAACGTTTTGACAGTTGGGCCAAAATTCCTAAACAGGATGATAACAACGTAACCATCTGCTAGCATTTACTAAAAAATACTTCTCGAGTATACACTAGACTGGCTTTTCAACGTTTCAATGGTAAGAACTAATCCCAAATGCTTTTGTTATCCATATTTTACCATCTTTTCAAAGTTTTCAAAATAATCACTTAAAAAGTCACTTTCAAGTATCTCTCCACGTTTTTAAAACCCCCAGTGATATGTAATTTTACCTGAAAGTAATTTACCTACAATTTTTTAGAGATAGGTGTTTCATCAATACTGTTTATGCTTGCAAACAAGAAAAACTATCCAAAGGAACTGACTCAGTATCTAAACCTTTTGTGTCACGTTTTCACTTTTGGAAGACGCACATAAAACACTAACAGGTTATTAGACAACAAATAAGTTAATTTAAAACAGGGATTTATTGAGACTTTCTCAAGAAATCTCACTTTCCAAACTGGCCTACTGTCGCACATTCCTTCACACAGGTGAATCTTTTCGTTATGTTTTTGTAATGGGCTTCAAATCAATCTAAATCTGTCAGGATGGCCCCACAATCTTAAACACCCACCCTACAGCGACCTGCCCCGCTCTCCCTAAGTGACACTGTCTCGGGGGGTGGGGGGGGCGCTCTCCTACCCATAGGACACCAGGCCGGCTTCGGCACTTAATGCCCGCCAACGCCAGAGATGGGCCTGACACTTAGGCAGCCTTGCAAAGTAGAGGACACACAGAAGTTCACAGGTAAGTACGATCTGCACAGCGGAGAGGAGGAGCGAGAAAGGGAGAATGACAATAGCGAGGGAAGGCGAGGGAGAAAACGGAATAGGCCGAACACAAAGAGAGTCGGAGCCGGGGAGAGCCTCGTCCTCTCCTAAGCGGGGAGGCCCCCCGGCCTACACCCCCGCCCACCGCGGCGCGGTCCTGGCCCCCAGAGTCCGGCTGCCTCACGTACCTCCGGCGCCTGCTCCTCCGCTCGCTCCCAGGGCGGCCGCCATGGCACTCGCGGGGCCCGGCCTTCAGCCTCCCCCACCAAGCCAGCTGGTGGGCCGACGTGCCTGGTCCGGGCCCGGGTACGGGTGACGGAGGACAGAGAAGGGAGGGGGCTGCAGGAGGCAGAGGCGAAGCCGGGCGCTTCGCGGTCCACAGCTGGCCCTTCGCCTCCGCAGGAAGAAAACAACAAACTACCGCAACATGGCCGCGCGCCCGCGCCCGCCGCGGTGCACCCTGGGATGATGGAGGCCGGGAGGCGGGCGGGCGCCGGGGCCTGCCCCCGCCGAGGCCGCAGCAGCCCTGAGGCCGCCGCCGTGTTTCGGGCGGTGGGCGTGCAACGCAAACACGCGGCAGTCACCTCCGCCCGGCTCCTGAAACCCAAATGTTTGAAGCAGGGCGGGGACGACTGCTGGCCATAGGTCGATTCCGGGTTCAGTCGTAAGGCGCTTTGCAGCAGTCGGCAAAGCGAAGCTTTACGGCAGCCCGTCTCCCGTTAGGAGCCGGGGAGGCAAGGTCCAGCGTACGGTCCGGGGGAACCTTAACTGTCGTTTCTGTGCCTGGACAGTAGGTTGGAGAGTGGGGTCTGAATGAGCTACAGTAGTGAACGCCGACGGCTTGTGTTGAGGGCAGGAAAGGGTGCACACAGCTCCGGCAGGTGCTTCCGCGAGGTGAGATGAGTGCCGCGCGCGCCGGGCTAACGTGCACGCGCACTCGTGCGGCGCCCGCGAGCCCTCACTTCCTACAACCCGAGACCCTCCGGACCCGCGACCCCGGACCCCCGTCCCCTTCTCCGCGCCCGGCTGGGCAGCGGGCAGCGCCGGACCCTGATGGGCTCTCGGCCCTTACTGCCCCTGCGCCTTGCGGCCCTGAGAACAAGACGTGAGCAGGACGGATAGCGCCCGGCACTCATGTCTGAGTTTGCATTTTGAGCAGTGAGAAAGGTTAAGAAACGAAATCCTCATACTTGACATAAAGGAAAGGGTGCTGGGTGGTCAGACAGCTGTGGACGAAAGGGCTCAGGGGTTTTGGGGTGTGGGGCCCGGGAAGGCGCATCTGAGTGGTCGCAGTCGGGGAAGGGGGTTGATTAAGTACACACCGGCTGTAAACATTGATTCCATATCGGTCAATGTGGGGCTTAGGTGAGGCGTTCTGACCCAGCAATGAAACTGGAAAGGTAGGCAGGGGCCAGGATTCCGGACTTTGGGACGTTTTTCTGAGTCTATGGGGTCTATTGAAAGATTTTAGAAACAATTTACATGGTAAGATTTGTATTTTAGAAAGGTGACTGATACAACAACGTAGAGGACCCTGCAATGTGGAGAGGCATGAAACTGGAGGTCCAGTGCCGTGAGTTAACAATCAAGACGTCCATACAGGAGATGCATTGGTGGATGGGTGAAGAGATGATAAAACGGTACGTATAATAAAATGCTGGCCGGGCGCGGTGGCTCACGCCTGTAATCCCACCACTTTGGGAGGCTGAGGTGGGTGGATCACGAGGTCAGGAGTTTGAGACCAGCCTGACCAACATGGTGAAACCCCGTCTCTACTAAAAATACAAAAATTAGTTGGGCGTGGTGGCACGCGCCTGTAATCCCAGCTACTCAGGAGGCTGAGGCAGGAGAATTGCTTGAATCGAGGAGGCGGAGGTTGCAGTGAGCCGAGATTGCGCCACGGCAATCCAGCCTGGGTGACAGAGCGAGATTCTGTCTCAAAAAAAAACAAAAAAATTATTCAACTGTGAGAACTCACTCCCCAAAAAAAATGTTTTGCAAGCAACTCATTGAAAAATGGTCTCTATTAAAAAGCACGTTAATACATCCATATTTAAATGGCTTGAACTCTTTATCACCTTTCATTATTTTTTGAACTGTGGAGGATGGCATGCCTAACTCAGAAAATATTTTTCAGGATAATTCAGTGGTGATCTTCAGAAGAATTCCACAAAAAACCAAATTAACAGATGAAACAATCTCATAAGCCACTTGAAACTGAATTTCTCTAGAACAAGAGTCTATAAAATTTTTTGATCAAACACCCACTGGAAAAATTTTTTAGCGTGGACACCCAGTATTTGAAGTTCTTGGTAAATTACTGTGAGTAAAGATTTAACCAACCCCTTGTCCTTATCTATGAACAAACTTCACTTTGTGTTAACTTTAACTTGTCATAGAAACCTTATGAAGGCAGAGTGTTCATTGTGGTATAAAACAACATTGGTTGTAGGCCAGGCGCGGTGGCTCACGCCTGTAATCCCAACACTTTGGGAGGCCAAGACAGGTGGATCACCTGAGGTCAGGAGTTCAAGACCAGCCTGGCCCACATGGCAAAACCCCATCCCTACTAAAAATACAAAAATTAGCTGGGTGTGGTGGCACATGCATGTAATCCCAGCTACCTGGGAGGCTGAGGCACAAGAATCACTTGAACTCAGGAGGTGGAGGTTGCAGTGAGCCGAGATCACACCACTACACTCCAGCCTAGGTGACAAGAGTGAAACTCCATCTCCAAATAAATAAATAAAACATTGCTCATGGTAAAAATGACCTCTGACATGTAGACTGCCTCTGGCTTGAAAGTACTGAATAATCTTAAAACACCTAGTGGGAAGCCATACCTTTAGCCTCTGTTACTGTCTTAACTGAATGTGGGAATCTAAAAGACAAACTCAGGGAACTGGTTTCCCGCCGGTCAAGGACTTCCAAGCCAAGCCCCCACCCATAATGGTTTGCTCCTGAATTGCATTTGGGCCAAAGAGTAGAGCTCTTCCATGCCTGTACCGCAGTGAAGTGTGTTTCTTCTCCTCAGTCCTCCAAAGTGGAGCTGCTGCCAGGCGTGGCATTATATGAGTGTCAGGGGTTAAACCTAAGAAGACTACCTAGTGAGCGCTGCAGTTTCATACATATCCTACTGAAAATCTTAAAAGCAAGCTTTGCTTTTTTGTAAATAAAGCGAATATAGAAGTCTTTCTCGTCTCAGTAATGATGAACTGGAAATTCTGTTCCCCTCCTCCAACAAAACAGATTCTGTGGAAAACATTTTTTGTTGTATTGCTAGGTTTTAGGAATAATGTTTCCAAAGGATCAAGAAGGAAGCAAAACGCTGGGCACAGTGGCTCACACCTGTAATCCCAATGCATTGGGAGGCTAAGCAGGTGGTTATCACTTGAGCCAAGGATTTCAAGAGCAGCATGGGCAACATGGCAAAACCCCATTTCTACAAAAAATAAAAATAAAAATAGCCAAGCATGGTGGTGCATACCTTTAACTGCTTTGCATAACTACTCTGGAGGCTGAGGCGGAAGGATCATCTGAGTCCAGGAGTTCGAGGTTATAATGAGCTGTAATAGCACCACTGCACTCCAGTCTGGGTGACCAAACAGAACCCCATCTCTTAAGCAAAACAAACAAACAAAAAAAAAACAGATCCAAAGCCTGAGCAGTTAGTAGTGTACAGGAAGTTCAGGGTTTCACTGGGGAAGTCATCCCCATTTGCACTGCTAATAGGAAGCAAATTCTTGGACAGCTTTTGAGGAGGGAATCTAAACCCCAGGCTCCCAAATTAGGCCAGAGATCCTGGAAGGGCTTTCTCAAATTATCCCCTTATATTCTTCACAGTTTAAGGTCAACCAACTATGGACTTAAAATCAAAGATCACAAAATGCACGAGGGAAGAAACCACTGTAAGTGAAAAATACAAACTAGATTGACCTCCTAGGGACTTTAGTTATTAAAATTACCATAAAGGACAATATTTGAAAGGTTTAAGGAAATAAAGGATGAAAAAAATCAAGAAGAGACTGTCTAGAGTAGCCAGAGAGTGCTTCCTTTTTGTTGTATCTGAACAATGTCCTAAAGCCATTAGGCAGCACTAGTGGTATAGCAGGGCTGGGAGAGGTGGGGAGGGATGTGCTGGCCAGGCTAGAGGATCGGAGCCCAAGCATGTGTTCCAGCTCATACCCTGTGAGAGGGCTGCCCAGCAAGGCATGTGAGAGCACCACAGGTTTCAAAGTATGTCCTGTGGATTGGCAAAGTGAGGAGGGCATCCACCCATGGGGGCAGTTCAACATGGGGAGTCACACATGACCGGGTTACTAGGACATGATCCTGAGGGATGGGCCCAAGGTGGAATTCAGGGCCCTACTGGGATGAGGTGGGAGTTGCCAAAGATAAGTAGACTAGAACGGCAGAACACAAGCATCGTGAGAGTTTTCACACAGGTGGGAGGCAGAGCACAGGGAATCAGAACTCCAGTTATAAGGGGACCTACACAGAAGAAGGTGACAACAGAGATGGCATGTTGGTTATGAACAGGGAAATTGATCAGATATATAAATATATGAAGGGTGATGGAGCTAAGTTTCACACTGTGCAAATAGGGAGTTACTTATATGAAGAAAAAGCTAAAATTAACCCTATGGTGTGTCACTAGAATAAAGAATCAGAGTGATTGCACTAATGGTTTTTGATAATTGTATTTCATTGTAGGAATAAATGTATATGCAAATATGTGTATGCCTGTTTTTGTATAACTGTGTGTGTGTGTATGTGTGTGTGTTTCCTAACTGTCCACCAAGAGTGCCCTGGAGACAGCAGCCCATCTTGAGCACACCCAGCACCTAGACCTTGGTTTCTAAATACCACTTTTCAAAAGGAACCAGTATTACTTGGAAAAACAACTGATTTCAGAACTGGGGCATGGAATTCGCAAGATCAGCCTGGAACATCTTGTTCCCTCCAAAAATCAAGGAAGTGCTTGAATAGTGATAAAGATATGTCAAAATGACACAGAAGTGAGATTTAATGGGCCAAAGCAGAGATGAGATGAGCATCAAATTAAATAATGAGAGCAATAGACTAAAAACAGGAAAGCTTGTGTCTATACAAATATTGATAAATAATAAATTGAACTTTATATGGAAACAGTATATCAAAATAGTTAAGGTGTTCCTTCCTAGAAAATATATATTAATTACATAGTAGAAAAGAATAATTTTCAGTGGAAAAGCCTCTAAAACCACCCTAACTGATCAAAGTAAACATTTTCAATAATGGGATAAATAAAAGTTGCCACCTGATATAATACAATAAGAAGAGTACAGCATCACTTCTGTGATCATCCTGTCAAAGATACCTAACCAAATCTAATTCTGAAGAAAAAAGGACAAACTCAAATTGAGAGACATTCCAGAAAATAATTGGCATGTAATCTTCAAAGATCTAATTACGAAAGTCAAGGAAACACTAAGAAAACATTTCAGACTGAAGAAGAAAAAGACATCACAACTAAATGCAATAAATGATCTTTTCACTCTTATTGGGACAATTTGCAAAAATTGATAGGGTCTGAAGGTTAGATGGCAGTAACACACCAAGTTAATTTCCCGATTTCAGTGATTAATACGCTGCATGTAGGAAGAAAGCCTTTGTGGTAAATACATACTACATACAGTGCTTGTGGCTGATGGGGCATCTGCTCAGCAACTTGGTCACACATGATTCACAAAAAAAGTTTAATTTTACTCTTAAACTTTCTACGGGTTTGTAATGCTTCAAACAAATTAAAGAGGAAAAAAAATCAAACACTGTTCAAAATACAGTTGTTAAAAAACCCAAAGGCAAAATTACACAGATGAGACAGAATTGAGAGAATTTGGGAATTAAGGGTAGACAAAAAAATTGCGCAGAATATAACACAAAGAGGAAAGGAGATGAAGGATGTGAATGAGAGGTTTAGCAATTGAGAGACTGGAATGAGGATGCCAAACACGTGATATAGCTTGAATGTTTGTATTCCTCCACCCCAAATTCATATGTTGAAACCTAATCCCCAAATGTGACAGTATTTGGAGGTGAGGCCTTTGGAGGTGAATAGATGAATGAGATGAGTGTCCTCATAAAGAAACCCCCAAGAGCTGCCTTGCCCCTCCCGCTGTGTGAGGTTAGAGTGAAAAGATGGCCACCTATGAGGAATGGGCCTTCACCAGACACTGAATCTGCTGGCACCTTGATCTTGGACTTCCCCACCTCCAGAACTGTGAGAAAGAAATTCTGTTTATAAGCCACACAGACTGTGTTATTTCATTACAGCAGCCTGAAGGACTAAAACACTGTAAAAGTGAGGTTCCAGAAGGAGAGAATAAAAAGTATAGAGGAGAGGCAATATTCGAAAAGATGATTTCACATGATTTTTAAGAATTAGTGAAAGACGTAAATCCAAAGATACAGGAAGCATAACAAGCATGGGGTAAAAAAAAAAATAAAAAAATCCACATCTAGACGTGGTGAAACTAAAAATTTGAATAACCAAAAAAGAGAAGATATAAAAAGCAGCGAAAGAGAAACTTCCACCTCTGGCCATCATGGAGGACTGAGACAGGCTTCTCACATCACAAACAACTTGAAAACTGGACAGATTTGGAAACACTCTTTTCAGACATTGGAAGACAGGCAGTCGAGGACCATGATCCCTGAGAGAATGGCAGCAAACGAGGTGGGCCTTATGATAACCCAGCTTTCTGGATTGTGAGGCAGGAAGGGGAAACTCAGGCAGAACACAGTGGTCTTAATGATTTGGGGCCACAGGGATGACAATTTGTAGTGCAGGTGTGGGACATTTGTGGGTTGCAGTACTGGAGATGAGGGAGCTAGGCAGAGAAAGAGTTCTGGAAATCTGCATGGAGTCACCTTGAATATGTTGCTGTAGGGTGAAACTCCACGAGGACAGACAAAGTACATCGGGAACAACCAGAAAGCTAGAGTAAAGGTTACTCCAGAATCTCCTAACAGAGTTTTAGAACAATCCTGGAAGGGAGTATGCTGATCAGCAGGTAATTTAATGGCCTGCCAGAACAAAGTCCAATATTTTTTAAGACAACCACATTCGGCACTCAATAAAGTAAAATTCATAAAAGTCCAGCATCCAATCAAAAATCGCTACTGAAGTGAAGGAGCAGGAATATATGACCAATACCAGGAAAAAAATTGATCAATAGAAATAATATGACAGAAATGATGGAATTACCAGGCAAAGAATTTCAAACAGTTACTATACATATGCTCAAGAATTTAAGGAAAAACAAGGCCATAATGAAGAAAGACATAGATAGGAAGTGAATATTTTAGAGCTGAAAAATACAGTATTCAAAATAAAATGTTCAATGGGTAGAAATAAAAGTAGTTAGAAATTTCCAGTTTTATCTCATAGACGTAGAACACTGGATAAAGTATCACTGCCAAGATTACAGCAAAAAGAACTGTAGCTTTCTTGAGCCCATCAGAAAATCAACATTGCAGAACGACCAAATAACTGGAAATCTAGGGAGAGACACCTCGGAAGAAAAACAGGACCTGAGCATTTGCTTACCTGGGAGAGAAACAAATGATGCCATATGTGTGGGAAATAAGAGTCAGCTAAAACGTTTAGAATGAATTTCTAAATACCATGTGTGAGAGTATGAAGTCCCTTGGTGCTGCAGAGTAGAGAGGTTTGCCTCCTCTTGCAGGCTTCTTGTTCATGAACTCCACCAGGTTCTCACAGGAAAGGTGGGAGAATCCTGAGAAAGTTCCTCATTATGTTGTTTGAGGGAGGGAACAGTGTCCACTCGAGAAACTCCATTGGTACACACCTCTCTTATCTCACTTATGGAAAAAGGCCTTCAGGGAGAAAGGCCACAAAAACCGTGGCCTTAGGGCAATGGGGAAGCCCATTTCCATTGTGCAAAGGGGACAGAAAAATAAAAAGCTCTACCCTAGGAGAGGATCAGGGATACCTGCCGAGCCCAACACTGCAGCTGGTGGGAGAAGTATTTTGAAGTCCACATCCCTGAGACCCAGACACTCCCTGTGTAAGAGGATGCTTAAACAGAACATCAGAGGATTCTGATCCTCTCCTATCTCCTGTCACCAGAATAATAGATGTCAAGTAAAAACGACAAAATACAGTTGGGAGGCCCACAAGAGACTGCTTCTTTCAGGACTACAGCGCAAAGAGAAGACCCAAAGCCCAGAGGAAGCGCAGACACTGAGAAAACAATCTCACAAATGAGCCCATGTTCTAAGTACAAGGTGTTGCCGGAGGAATTTGGAGCCTTTTGTGCACAGAGGATAGCTGTGGCAACAACAAATATCTCACTAAGCCCAACTCCTGAATAAGATAGCAAACTCATACTAACAACCTACTAGACAGCAAGATGTGCTCATCTCCAATCATAGAAAATATTTACCATAGTATACACTATCACTAAAAAAAAAACGAGGTTTCAAACAAAAATTCAGTGTACCAAAAGGAAATGCTAGAAATGGAAATGATAGAAATCAAAAGCACAATGATAGAGGTGAAGAATGCCTTCAATGGGTTCATTGATACACTTGACATGGAAAGAATAAGTTACCTTGAAGAAATATAAATAAAAATTATCCAAACTGAAGCAAAGAGAAGAAGGAGTGCAAGAAACAGAGCAGAGTATCTATGAACTGTTCAACAACATTGAATGGTCTAACATATGTATAGTTGGAAGAAGAAGAGAGAAAGGAGTGGAACAAATGTCTGAAGAACTAATTTTTTCAAGATTTATGACAGGCACCAAAACATAGACCCAAGAAGCTCAGATAACACCAAGCGAGATAAATACCAAGACACAAGCAAACAAGCAAAAGCCCCCATATCCAAATATATCATGTTCTAATTGCTGAAAAAGAAACATTTTCTCTTTTCCTAGAGAGGAAAAGAACAATAAGAATTATAGCAGCTATCTCATCAAAAAGCATACAAGCCAGAAGACAGTGGCATGACCAATCTTTTATGTACTGATGGAAAAACCTGTTGTCAGAAACAGTTACCCAGCAGAAATACCTAAGGAGCAAAAATGGAGGGAATTCATTGCGAGCAGACAAGCTCTACAGGAAATGTTAAAAGAAGTTTTTTAGGCACAAGGACTATGATAACAATCAGAAATCTGGTTCAACACAAAGAAATGATGAACACGGTTGATGATGAGTGTGGTTGAAATTGCATATATGACGGTAACATTTTTCTCCCTGTTTTTAATGCTCTGAAAGATTGATTGGAGTAAAAATAGGGAAAATGTATTGTGTGCTTAGAGCATATGAACAAGTGAAATGCATGACAATAATACAAAGGATGAAAGGGAGGAAGTGGTCATATGTTGCTATAAGGTTCTTATACTACACGTGAAGAAGTACAGTATAATATTTGAAAATAGATGCATAGTAATTAAAAATATAAATTGTAAACCCTAAGGTGACCACCAAAAAATTTTTTAAAGAAAAGTGTGTGTGTATATATATATATATATATATATATACACACACACACACTTTTATATATATATGTGTGTTTATATATATATGTTTAGGAAAGATAAAAGGAAATCATTTTTAAAAACTAACTTAATCCAAGAAAAAAAGAAATAACAAATTAAATAAAAAACAGCTAACAAGATGGTAGGTTGGAATCCAACCATATCAACTCAATTTCTATTGAATGTGAATGATCCATACACACACAACAGTCCTAACACCAAAAAAGTGTCAGATTGCATTAAGATGTAAGAATGAAATATAGGTTCTCTATTACTGTGGGAGGCTGAAGCAGGCGGATCACTGGAGGTCAGGAGTTCAAGGCCAGCTTATCCAACATGGTGAAACCCCATCTCTACTAAAAATATGAAAAAAAAAAATTAGCCGGGCGTGGTGGCAGGCACCTGTAATCCCAGCTACTCGGGAGGCTGAGGCCAGAGAATCTCTTGAACCCGGGAGGTGGAAGTTTCAGTGAGCTGAGATGGTGCCACTGCACTCCATCCTGGGCGACAGAGTGAGACTCCATCTCTAGAAACACACTTTAAAGATGTAGATAGGCTAAGTGCAAGGAAAGATATGCCATGCAAACACTAATCAAAAGAAACATTGTCTTCCATGTAACCCATTAGAATAGCTGTTATCAAACAGATGAAAGATAACAAGTGTTGGAGAGGACATGGAGAAAAGGGAACCTTTTTACACTTGGTGGGTATGTGAATTAGTACAGCCATGATGATCCAGCAATCCCCCTACTGGGTATATGCCAAAGGAAATGAAATCACTAGCCAAAGAAGTGTCTGCACTCCCATGTCCATCGCAACATTATACGGCTGTATATACTGTAGCCAAGATATGAAAGTAACCTAAGCATCCATCAATGGATGAATGGATTTTTGAAAATGTGGTACATGGCCAGGCGCAGGTGGATCATGAAGTCAATAGATTGAGACCATCCTGGCCAACATGGTGAAACCCTATCTCTACTAAAAATACAAAACTTAGCTGGGCATGGTGATGCATGCCTGTAGTCCCAGCTACTCGGGAGGCTGAGGCAGGAGGATCGCTCGAACCCAGGAGGCAGAGGTTGCAGTGAGCTGAGATCGCATCACTGCACTCTAGCCTGGCAACAGATCGAGACTCCGTCTCAAAGAAAAAAAAGTGGTACATATACACAAAGGAAAACTATGTAGCCATTAAAAGAAAAGGAACTCCTATCATTTGTAACAACATAAATAAATCTGGAGGAGATTAGGCTAAGGTGAAATAAGCCAGGCACAAAAAGACAACTACCATATGATCTTACTTATACGTGTGTGGAATCTAAAAAGGTGGAATTTACAGAAGCAGAGAGTAGAATGGTGATTACCAGAGGCTGGGGAGTGAGGGCAGGAGGTTGGAGAAATGTTGGTCAAAGGATACAAAGTTTCAGTTATACAGGATGAATAAGTTCAAGAGATCTATTGTACAACGTGGTGGCTATAGTTGATAACAATGTATTGTGTTCTTGAAAAATGCTGAGAGAGTAGATTTTAAGTGTTCTCACCACAAAACATAAGTATGTGAGGTAATGCATGTGTTAATTAGCTTAATTTAGACATTTCATAATGTATTATACATATTTCAAAACCACGTTGTACATGAGAAAGATACACAATTTTTGTCAATTAAAAATAAGTTAATTTCTTTTTAATCTTCCAGTAAAAGAATTGGCTGGTTGCAGTGGCTCATGCCTGTAATCCCAGCACTTTGAGAGGCCAAGGCAGGATCACTTGAGCCCAGGAGTTCGAGACCAACCTGGGTAAAATAGTGAGATCTCATCTCTACCAAAAAAAAAAAAAATTTAAATAGCCAGGCATGGTGGTGTGCACCTGTAGTTCCAGCTACTCAGGAGGCTGAGGTGAGAGGATCACTTGAGCCCAGGAGGTCAAGGCTGCAGTGAGCCGTGATTATGCCACTGCACTCCAGCGTGGGCAATAGAGAGATGTCCTGCCTCCAGGGGGAATAAAAAAAGAATCATGTTAAAGTGACACTAACTTCAACCAGATCATATTGCAGTTTTACATTCCTGTGATTCATTGATTCATTTTGTGTTGATTTCCTAGTGTGCTTCTCACTTCAGGTGTTCCAAAGCCTCAATACTCTTAATGCAAAAAAGAAAGAGAAAGAAAGAAGAAAGGAAAAGAAAGAAAGAAAACAAACTAGAGTGTCTACAATATGGGACAAAGTAGACTTCAAAACAAGTAATATTATCAGGAATAAACAGAGACAAGATAAAGGGGCTGATTATCCAAGAAGACATAAAATCCGTAAATATGTATGCACCTAACAGAGATTTGAAATACATGAGACAAACTGATAGAACTAAAAGAAGAAATAGAAAAATCCATAATTATATTTAGAACTTTAACACTACTCTCTCAGTAATTGACAGAACAAAATTCAAACCTTTTGCTCTGTGAAAGACACTGCTCAGACAAGGAAAAGGCAAACCACCGATTTGGAGAAAATGTTTGCAAATGAATCTGATAAAGGACTTACATTTAGAATGTATAAAGAACCCTTACAACTAATAAAATAAGAAAACAATCTTTTAAAAGGAGTAAAACGTCTAAACAGAAACTTCACCAAAGACAATGTACAGATAGCAAATAAGCATATGAAAGACTTGAACATCATTAGTCATTGTGGAAATGCAAAATAAAACCATATTGTGATACTACACACCTGTTAGAAGGGCTAAAGTTTTAAAAACTGACACTATCAAAGTTTCAGGAAGGACACAGAGTAACTAGAACTCTTAAACATTGCTACTGAGAGTGCAGCATTTGTACGTCACTTTGGAAAAGAGTGGCAGGTTCTTATAAAGTTAAGTGTATTTACCCCAGCCTGGGTGACAGAATTTACACCAGTCTAGGTGTATTTACACCAGCCGGGGTGACCCTGTCTCAAAAAAATAAAAATTAAAAAAGCACATTTACCAGCCAGACGTGGTAGCTCACACCTGTAATTCCAGCACTTTGGGAGGCCAAGGGAGGAGGATGGCTTGAGGCCAGGAGTTCAAAACCAGCCTGGGCAATATAGTGAGATGTCATCTCTACAAAAAAATAAAGCAAAATGCACAGGATATCCATACATGGAATGTAACTCAGGAATAACAATGCGTGATCTGCTGATTCACACAACGTGAATGAATCTTGAATGCATTTTGCTGCAGATCCAGAAGGCTACGTATTACATGATTTTATTTGTGTTCTGAAAAAGGCAAAACTGTGGGGATAGAAAACAGATCAGTGGTTGCTAGGTACTGAGAGTGGAGAGAAACTGACTACAGAGCATCAGCTCAGAGAATTTGGGGGCTGATGAAAATATCCTATGTGGTACTGTGGCAGCAGATACATGACTATATGCATTTTTCAAAGCTCAAAGAACTGTGCACCACCAAGAATGAATTTTGCTGTATGCAAAGCTTAAAAACATCCACCAGGATGTTGGGGGAGTTCAAGATGGAGCACAGACTCTGAGTCATGGACGGACTGTGTTCCTCGTGTGCCGTAACCACACGGAACGCAGTGGAGAAGAAGGGAGCTGAGCCACACACCTTTGGAAACAGCGTGTTGAATCGACATGGCAAGTCTGAAGACGGAAGGAACTGTGCATGAACAGTGTACTCTAGTTGGTAATGTCTTTCCTCACAGGGGTATGGATTAGCAATCCTGAAAGCACTTTACACATATACTGCACTTGAACAAATAAGTAATTATAGTTTAAGTAATGGGAAGAAGATTTCACACTGTGGGAGAAAATGATTACAAATAACCAAAGGGAGAATGCTGGAATGAGCCTTGCAGTGCTGGGTTTGAGTTGGAGATAGGAGTATGGGGCTCAGGATTACACAAATATGTATACAGATACACACATACAGAAATACATTTGGATGTGTATTCATATATTATACATGGGTTAGTATACATGCATACATTTCATAGCTCTGGTTATGACAGGGCCCAGGAGCAGCGACCATACCTAGATCGGGGTTTCTAAGTAAACAGAATGAAGGCTCTTTGGAAAAATGGCTGATTCTGGTTCTAGGACTGGGGCAGAAGAAATGCAAAATGAGCCTGCAACATTTTGTGGTGCCATCAGGTAAAGTGTTAAAAAAAAAAATAGTAGGAGCATGTCAAAAAGACACAGAAACCAAACCACTGCTCTCCTGGTGGCCAAAGCTAGAATAATTTGAGCAAGAAAATAAATCACAGTAGTATTGGAATGTTACACAAAGACTAAGATAAATATTTGTGAATTGATTTGTAAAACGATTGAATAAATCATAAATGGAGAAGGACAGCTCTTCCTTAGAAAAGGATTCCAATTAATGAATGTGAAATGAATGAGGGAAATAGAGAATCACAACATACCACAGGAATAGATGCTATAAGATCTGCAGATATGCACGGAGATTAGTGCAGGAAATTTTAAAGAGACGAATGTTTTCATAGCCTAAGTAGCTCTCCAAAAAATACTTGACTGTGGAGGTTTTAACTTATGTCCAAAAATTTCTGATATCTCTCCCTCCAGAAGAGCTTAATTCCCCTCCCCTTAAATATGGGCTACACTTAATAATTCACTTTAGTAGAGTATATAAAGGGGAAATTACTGTAGACTAGAAAAACTTAGAAAACTCTACTTCAATGTGAAGACATGTTGATATCATATATGCCCCCCAACTCGTGATACAGGCACTTACTTGCCCTTCCCATATCCTCTCTCCCAAACCTGTAATCTTAGTTAAATCACAAGAAAACACGAAACAAACCCAAATTAAGGAACAGTGTACAAAATCCCTGACCTATACTCTTCAAAATTGTCAAGGTTATGAGAAACCAAAAACAAAAACATGAAGGAACTGTCACAGATTGGAAGAGACATAACAGATAAAATATCCTGAATTGGGTCTTGGAATGGAAAACAGACATTAGTGGAAAAACAGTAATTCCCAATCAAGTCTGTAATATAACTAATAGTATTACATCAATTTATGATGGTTTCCTAGTTTTTACAATTATACCACAATTATGTAAGACGTTCGTTCACCTCTGAGAGACAGGTCAGAGGGCATACTGGAAACCAACTATCTTTGAAACTCTTTGGTAAGTCTTAAATTATCTTGAAATAAACAGTTAAAAGCACATTAGACAATGCAGAAGAAAACGTGGGCACAATAGAAACTTCTCAAGAAAAACACAGAAAGAAAAGACTTAAAAAATGAACAGAGCATGAATGACATGTAGGACAATGTCAAGCAGTCTCACATGTGCATAACTGGAGCCGTAGGGAAGCATAGGAAACAGAGACAAATCCCAACACAGATCATGGCCAAAGCTTTTCCAAATGTGATAAAAATCATAAAACTGTAGTTGAAGAAACTCAACAAACTCCAAATAGAATAACCACACAGGAAGCCACAGAGTACATCATAATCAAATTGCTAAAAATC
The DNA here is from genome assembly GCF_000001405.40 of Homo sapiens. Classification (NCBI taxonomy): domain Eukaryota; kingdom Metazoa; phylum Chordata; class Mammalia; order Primates; family Hominidae; genus Homo; species Homo sapiens. The sequence continues at coordinate 155,630,067 of NC_000007.14, read as the reverse complement.
AGGGGTAAAGCAAAAATCTTTTAAAAAGTGAGAAAGAAGACATTATATACAGAAGAATAAACATAAGGATGACTGCAAACTGTCAGAAAGAGTGCAAATTTCATGCCAAATGTCTTTATTGGTTAATTCTATCAAACATTCAAGGAAGTAGGAATATACAAACTCTTCCAGAAATGCAGAGGAGAAGAAAATACTTCCTAAATCATTTAATAATATCAGAATTACCTTAATATCAAACCCAGAAAAAGACGTCACATAAAAGAAAACAATAGACCAATATCCCTCATTAACATAGATGCAAATATCTTTTTTTTTTTTTTGAGATAGGGTCTTGCTCTGTTGCCCAGGCTGGAGTGCAGTAGTGCTATCATTAGCTTACTGCAGCCTCGACCAGCCAGGCTCAAGTGATCCTCCCACCTCAGCCTCCAGATTAGCTGGGACTAGAGGCACATGCCACCATTCCTGGCTAATATTTAAATTTTTTGTAGAGATGGAATCTCCCTATATTGCCCAAGCTGATTTTGAACTCCTGGGCTCTAGAAATCCTCCCACCACAGCCTCCCAAAGTGCTGTGATTACAGGCCTGAGCCACCTTGCCTGGCTGATGCAAATATTTTTAATAAAGTGCTAGTAAATTAAATACTGCAACATATAAAAACAATAATACATTGTGACTAAGTGAGTTTATCCCAGGAATGCAAGGTTGGTTTAATATTCACTATCAATTCATCGTAATAACAGAAAAAAGAGAAAAACCATATGAACATCTCAGTGGATGCAGAAAAATTACTAAGAAAAATTCAAAGTATATTCATGATAAAAGAAACTCTTAGAAAGCCAAGAATGAAAGGATACTTCCTCAACCTAATTCAAACATACAGTAAAGGCCACACAAGGGTGGAAGCAATGCTTTCCATCTAAGAAAGCAAACAACGCAAGGATATCTGCTCTCACCACTTCTGTTTACCATTGTATGATGCAAGAAAAAAAAACATATCATTGGAAAGGAAAGGAAAGCTGTTGATATTCACATGTGACATGATTGTGTATATAGGAAATCCCAAGGAATCCTCAAAAGGGAGATCTATGAGAACGAATAAGTGAATTTAGCAAAGTTGAAGGATACGAGGTTATTTTCAAAAGTTAGCTGTATTACTATGTACTAGCAACAAACATAGAAACAATTTAAAAATGTAATTTAGAATAGCATCTAAAACATGAAATATTTAGGATAATTTAATAAATAATATTTAGGAAATGTAATAAAATGTATGCAAGGCCTATATACTATAAACTTCAAAGAATTGCTGACAAAAACTAAAGGAGACCTAAAGAGATGGAGAGTCTGTGTTGTTTGGAAGACTCAATGATGTTTAGGTGTCAATTTCCTCCAATTAACTAATCAATTAATCAACAGTGCAGTCCAGTCAAACTCTCTGCAAGCTTTTATGAAGAAATTAGAAGCTGATTCTGAAATGTATGGAAATGCAAAGACCTAAAATAACCAAAACATTTCTTTTCTGTGTGTCAGTTGCATTTTTCTTTTTCTTTCTTTCTTTTTTTTTTTTTTTTTTTACTTATACTTTAAGTTCTAGGGTACATGTGCACAACGTGCAGGTTTGATACATAGGTATAGATGTGCCATATTGGTTTGCTGCACCCATCAACTCGTCATTTACATTAGGTATTTCACCTAATGCTATCCCTCCCCCAGCCCCCCACCCACTGACAGGCCCCAGTGTGTGATGTTCCCCTTCCTGTGTCCAAGTGATCTCATTGTTCAATTCCCACCTATGAGTGAGAACATGCAGTGTTTGGTTTTCTGTCCTTGTGGTAGTTTGCTGAGAATGATGGTTTTCAGTGTCATCCATGTCCCTGCAAAGGACATGAACTCATCCTTTTTTATGGCTGCATAGTATTTCATAGTGTATATGTGCCACATTTTCTTAATCCAGTCTATCATTGATGGACATTTGGGTTGGTTCCAAGTCTTTGCTATTGTGAATAGTGCCGCAATAAACATACGTGTGCATGTGTCTTTATAGTAGCATGATTTTTAATCCTTTGGGTATATGCCCAGTAATGGAATTGCTGGGTCAAATGGTATTTCTGGTTCTAGATCCTTGAGGGATCGCCACACTGTCTTCCACAATGGTTGAACTAATTTACACTCCCACCAACAGTGTAAAAGCGTTTCTATTTCTCCATATCCTCTCCAGCATCTGTTGTTTCCTGACTTTTTAATGATTGCCATTCTAACTGGCATGAGATAGTATCTCATTGTGGTTTTGATTTGCATTTCTCTGATGGCCAGTGATGATGAGCATTTTTTCATGTGTCTGTTGGCTGCATAGATGTCTTCTTTTGAGAAGTGTCTGTTCATATTTTTTGTCTGCTTTTTGATGGGGTTGTTTGTTTTTTTCTTGTAAATTTGTTTGAGTTCTTTGTAGATTCTGGATATTCGCCCTTTGTCAGATGGGTAGATTGCAAAAATTTTCTCCCATTCTGTAGATTGCCTGTTCACTCTGATGGTAGTTTCCTTTGCCGTGCAGAAGCTCTTTAGTTTAATTAGATCCCATTTGTCTATTTTGGCTTCTGTTGCCATTGCTTTTGGTGTTTTAATCATGAAGTCCCAACCAAAACAATTTTTAAAACTAAGGTCAATGTTGAGGCACATATAGTATGTTTTTCCAATAATTATTATAAAGGTACAGTATTCCAGACAGTGTGGTATTGATAAGAGCAAACACTTCAATCAGTGTAAAAAAAATAGTATACATTCCAGGAGTAGACAGACACATGGATGGCCAATCGGTTTTCATCAAAGTTATACATGTAATTCAATGGTGAAAGGAAAGTCTTTTCTGTAAATGGCCTGAAACAACAAACCTTAACCATTACTGCACCCCACACGCACAAAAATCAATATGAGATGTACTGTAGACCTATGTTTAAAAACGAATACTATAAAATTCTAGAAGAAATCCCCGGGGAAAAATTATTTATAACATTTGGGTTGGCAAAGATTTTTTAAAACAGGATATAAAATATACAAACTATAAAAGAAAAATGGAAAAGTTGGGCTTTCTAAAAATTAAAAACTTCTGCTCTTAGCTGCCATTAAGAAAAGGAGGAAGCAAGTCACACAATGGAGAATATATTTGTAACACATATACCTGATTAATGGCTTGTATCCAGAACACATTGATAAGAACTCACATTATAGGACAATCTACTTTTTTAAGTGGGCAAAAGATTGGAACAGACACCTTACAAAAGAAGATACATCTGTGGCCGATAAGCACATGAAAGATGTTCAACATCATTAATCATTAGGGTAATGCAAATTAAAATCACGTTTAAATTCCAATATACATCTACGAGAGTGACTAAAATTAAAGTCTTAAAATACCAACTTTTTCCAAGGGTGTAGAGCAACTGTAACTCACATACCTTTTTAGTGGAAATTTACAATCATACGGCCACTTTGGAAAACAGTTTGATTTTTAATAAAGTTAAGATATACTTACATGTGACCCAGCAATTTCACTTCTGTGCATTTATCCAAGAGAAGTGAAAACATATGGCCACAGCAAAGACTCTTTAAAACCAAATGTTCATAACACCTTCATTTATAATGGCCTCAGAGTAGAAACAGCCTAAATATTTGCCAATATGTGAATCAATAAACTGTAATGTATTTATACAATGGAATATTATTTAGTAATATAGAACATGCTAATATACACACAACATAGATGAATCTCAGAAATATCAGGATTAGGCAAAGAAGCAGCCAGACTCGAGAAAGTGCATAGAGCAACTAACAAGTAATTCTAAAAAGGCAAAATTAATTTCTGCTGACAGACAGCAGATTACTGGTTGCCTGGGAAAAGGCGCAGTTTTTGTTGCGATGCAAATGTTCTGTACCTTGCTTGTTGTAGCCTCACAAGCATATATAAAGTTGCCAAGGCTTATTAAATCGTATAATTAAAATGTGAGCTATTCATTGCATATGAATTATTCCTCAGTGAATTTAAGTACTGTATTTTTACATTTTTAATAGGGAGAACTATCTGATCACCTACCACACGACGACAATTAGACTCATAAAATACTTTTTAGTAGCAAAAACAGAAGCTAGAGATAGAGGAATAATATCTTCAAAGTACTGAGAGAAAGAAATTGCCCACCAAATATTAGGCATCCCCAAGCACTACCTTTCAATAGTGAGACAAACTAAGGACATGTTCAGATGAACAAACAATAGAGTGGGAGTGGCCTGAGACGCCCTGAGCTTGCGGCTGGTGTCTGAGCAAGGACAGGCTTGTGGAGGACTGGGCCTTAACCTGTGAAGTCTGCACCTGCTCTGGGTAGCTCGTGGCATAAGTCGTTGCAGCTATTCACCAGAAGATTCTGTAGTAAATGCAAATACAGATTTAGAAGGTGTGGGGTAGGGCCTAGGATTCTGCCTTTCAAACAACCTCCAAGGTGATTGTCATATCCTGTTAATAGCAAGAATATGTGCTACTTTCAGGCCTGACCTCCTGTGTTGCCTTCACACTTTTTGTATTTCCTTGGCTTCATTAGATGCAAAATTCTGGAGAAGGGCTCCAAAGTCCTGGGGATGGCAGAGCTTTGGGATGGAAGGAGACTGGGTACCTGAATGACTGTGTGGAGCAGAAATCCCTGTGTGTCCTTTCCCTTCCCCCCAGTCTGCACTGGACTCTTAACATGTGTAAAAAATAAACCTTTTTAAGGTTACATCACAGATATTTGGAAATGTTTACAGCATTTTTGCATACACAGATTAAATCAGAAGGAAATATTTTTATGTTTATTGAAGAACTTGTTTTAAAAAGATATAAAAATGGTAGTAATAAAACATTTTAAAAATCCATTATATTAAAAATAAGAGATCTTGCATTTATCAAAAGACATAAGAAAAAAATTAAAAGACAAGGAACAAATTCAAAGAAGATATTTACAACATATTTCCAATGAAGGATTAGTTTACAGAATACAAGGAAGTCCAACACATCAATAATAAACAGCAAACAAAAAAATAGAAAAATAGTACAAAATACAGATAGACATTTCACAGAAAAGGAAACAAAAGGACTCCAACATATTTTGAAAGATTTTCAACCTCATTAGTAACTAGAGAAATGCAAATTAACCCACTAAATTGACAAAATCTAATAGTAACAGTTAATTGCGACATGGACCAATGAGAACACTAATACACTGTGGTTGAGAACGTGTATGGATACAGCCACTGTAGAAAACAGTCTGACGCCACCTTCTACTGCGGATTCATGACCCAGAGTCTAGTCGTAAGTGCATAACCTAGAGAAACTCTAGAACTTAAGCTCCAGGGGATATTTATAATTATATTCATAGCAACTGTAAGAACAAGAAATTGTAAATAACCTAAACGTCCATTCACAGGAGATTGTATACAATTGAATATGTAAATTCTGGCATATTCATACAATAGACTAGCACACAGCAGTGAAAACGGGTGAACCAGAGATACTCCCAACAAACTGGATGAGTGCCAGAAACATAGTTCTTTATTAAGTGAGAAAGTCCCAGAAGACCAGGAGTGAACCCTAATCTGAACATGGACTTCTGGCTATAATGATGTGTCAAGGGCTCAGCAGTTGGAACAAATGAGCTGCCCTGGTGGGGGACGCTGATAATGGGGAGACTTTGCCAGTGTTGGGAAAGGTGGGGATATGGGCGATCTCCACACCTTTCTCTGAATTTTTCTGTGAGCCTAAAACTGCTCTAACAATACTAAGGTTTTTCTTTTTTTTCAAAAGTCTCAGAAGTGTATTGTATTTCATTTTTGTGCTCAAAACCAAGTAAAACTAAGCAACATATTGTTTAGGTATGCAGTCCATGCTATTTTTTCCTGATCATGGCATCTCCTCTGCTGGGTAAGTATTATATGTTATTTTTTTTAAGTAATTTTATTCTCAGACAGGGTTCACTCTGTTGCCCAGGCTAGAATGCAGTGTCCTTGACCTCCAGAATTCAAGCAACCCTCCCACCTCAGCCTCCTGAATAGCTGGGACCACAGGTGTGTACCGCCATGCTTGGCTAATTTTTTGTTTTTGTTTTGTAGAGACGGGGTCTCCCTGTGTTACCCAGCCGGGTCTTGAACTGTGGAGCTCAAGTGATCCTCCTGCCTCAGCCCCCTCAAAGTGTTGGGTTATAGGCATGAGCCGCTGTGCCTGGCCAAAACTAATATTTCTAAAAGCAAGAGCATAGTAAACACAAATTAAGGAAAGTGTCTGCAAAGGAGTCTGGGGAAGGGGATAGAGAAAAGAGCCCCACGGGAGACGCCACACATTGGGTCATGTTCTAGTTTTCAGATAGGATGCAGCATTCGCAGTGTTCATCCTATCACGTTGGTGTTTTGTTTTGTTTTGTTTTAGAGAGACAGGATCTTGCTCTGTCACTCAGGCTAGAATTATAGGCGAGAGCCGCGCCTTGCCTGTCATGCTTCTTAATTTACCTGCATGTTCATATAATATGTTGAAATATTATATTATGTATTATATATTTTATATCTGTACTCCACTTTGGATATTATGGCTCTATGGCAGTTATTTCATACATCAGCATTTGCCAAAATGTGGTCCATTTTAGAAATTTCCATCAAAATTACTTTTGAGATCTTGTCAGAATGCAGATTCCTGGGTTCCATGCTAGTTTACTAAATCTTAATTTCCAGAGATTGGCTCAGGAAATCACTTCCCAGGTGCTTTGTATGTTGTTTAACATGTGAAAACCACTTCCCTGGGTGTTTTAGGTTGGGAAACAGGGCTGTTTGATCTGCTTCCTCTCACTGTTCACACTGTGCACCTCTATTATGGACTCAAATATTGCTGTTTAGGAGCTATTTCCCTAATTTTATTTCACATTTCCAAAGCTATCTATTTCCCTAATTTTATCATTTCACATTTCCGGAGTCTAGCTGGACGAGGTATTGAGGAAACTTTTCTGATCTGCTGAAACCTCAGGATGGACATTCATGTTAATGGCAAAGTGCATTTGAGGAAGAAAGTGAGGAAAGGAGGGGGCAACATAGCCAGCCCCATCTATACAAAAATACAAAAATTAGCCAGGTGTGGCGGTGTGCACCTGTGGTCCCAGCTACTCAGGACGCTGAGGCAAGAGGATCACTTGAGCCCAGGGAGGTCAAGGCTGCAGTGACCCGAGATTGCACCACTCAAATGATCCTCCTGCCTCAGTCTCCCAAGTAGCTGGGACTACAGGCACACTCCATCATGCCCAGATAATTTTTTTTTGGAGACCGAGTTGCTCTTGTAACCCAGGCTGGAGTGCAGTGACACTATCTCTACCTCCCAGGTTCAAGCAATTCTCATGCCTCAGCCTCCCGAGTAGCTAGGATTACAGGCGCCTGCCACCACACCCGGCTAATTTTTTATATTTTTAGTATTTAGGTTTTTGCCATGTTGGCCAGGCTGGTCTTGAACTCCTGACCTCAGGTGATCTGCCCGCCTCGGCCTCCCAAAGTGCTGGGATTACGGGTATGAGCCACTGCACCCAGCCCATACCCAGCTAATTTTTAAAATTATTTTTGATAGAGATGGAATCTCACTATGTTGCCCACACTGATTTCAAACTCCTGGCCTCAAGTGATCCTCCCACCTCAGCCTCCCAAAGCGCTGGGATGACTGGTATGAGCCCCCTGCCCAGCTTCAAATGTCTTAAAAGCAGAAAGAAACATTCAACTGCAGCTCTGAGACTTTGGGTCTGTGTGAAGTGAGTTCAGGTCATGCAGGTGAACTCCTGGGGCGAGCAAAGGACAGACAGCACAGATCAGAGTCCTGGAAGAGGGTGCTGGTGCACAGACCTCGCCTGGCCAAGGCAGAAAGGCTGAAGAAGCTGTGGCTTGCATTTAAATGGCACCCGTTCCCAAGGAGCTCATTCATCTTATTTTGTTGACAAATCCTCATTTATTCACACACAACATCTATAGGATAGGGGGCAATTGGCCTCACCTCACAAGTGAGAAGGCCAGGAGGATGCAGAGAGGCTAATTGCTAGTCTGAGTCACAAAAGAGTGAATGGTCCTGAGCCATTTGTTCTGACCCAGTCCCGAGACCTGCGTGTGGCACTGTATCTGGGCCACAGGCCCTGTGCCTCTCCTAGGACCTCAAAACAAGAAGACAAACCTTTCTTTTCTCAGAGTGCACCTGTGCATCTCTCTCTACTTTGGCCTGAAGCCTCACAAGCCGTTTTCACAGTCACATTCCTCTGCACACGTAGGCGTCTGCAGTGCAACCCTTTTGAGGGATCTGTTACTATCACTTACCAAGAAAGAAATGTCAGAGTCATCCTTTGTCCCAATTTTTACTTCTCTGTTATTAATTTCAGTCATAACGAATTCTCTTTTTATGGTGCTTTTTCCTTAGCCTATCTTTTTTCATTATTAACAACACTTTATAAAGTCATTAAGAGGATGCCATCCTAATGCATAGTAAGAGTAAAATACATCATACAAATTGAGTGATTTTCGATCTAAAGATGTCGATTAAATAATGCGTTTAGTAATGGAAACCATAGAGAAATGGTCATGCGGATTCTCACTTTTAGGATCTGAGCTGCTCCTCAAAGAGGGTCCCATTTAAGTACAAATATGCACCATGCTGGCTTATGAAACAAGAATGTTTTCCCTTTGCTAATGATGACTTGTCATGTGACACACACATTATTTGTGTTATTCTGGTGAGATACTGTTTTCGGTCATGCTCCAGAAGCATATTTAAAGTCTTACTCTAGAGACAGGGCTTACTCTTGGGGAGCTACCTGCTCCCGCAAGTGTCTCACATTCTTCCTTTGTTGTTTTACAAATGGAAAGCAGGGAGATAAAACATCCTAGGGTGGTACTGAGGATGGTGGAGGAAACCCATCTCAGACACCTTCTTCATGCCTCATGCCGCCCACACATGAGATAACTTCAGTAGAAGTGTTTTGCGTGCTGCAGAGAGCTGTATAAAATTACTGCACAATGTTAATAATAGCATTGAGATTGTGTAAAAGCAAATAAAATATTGCTTCTGAACATGGGAATGTTAAATGTCTTTCTAAGTTAAATCTATCTGCTTTTGAATATAACTCATCTTTTACCATTTGTCCATATTACACCTTTGCTTCTAACATTCAAACTTCCATCTTTTTCTTTCTAACATTGTTTTATTTTTCTGAGTCCAAATTGTGTGTACTGCCTGAACATTCATTATTCTTACATCCATGCTCCCCCTATGCCAACTCACCACCAGTTACTAGCCTGTGTCCCTTCTGCCTTTGGGCTGCCTTCCAGGGGGTGAGTGTATTTGCTTCTCGTTAACATTGGATGTTCACCTAGCAAACACACGTTGAGATATTCCAGGCCTGGGGCTGGGCAGTCGGGGCACAAAAGTGAATACAAGAGTGTTCCCCACTACAGGGAGTCTCAGTTGAGCATCAACCAACAGCCCTCGGCAGCTGATGTTAGAGCAGCCCAGTCATGGAGCGAATCTGCAGGATCGAGTTATTAAAACCTGTTCTTATTGAAAGAAGTTAAATTCCCCTCCCAGCGAGGGACATGTACAAAAGCTGGTGCTGCCATTCTAATAACCATGAGTTTAATTCCTCAAATATTAACGGTTGAATAAATAAATCTGGCCATTTTTATTATAATTTAAAAAGTAAACTAATTTTTCATTTTGGCTAATGACAAACCTCATGAAGCCATGCCTCCATGAGTGTCCTCAGCATTTCCTGGGTGCTTTTTATGATGTGAAGCGACCTCATGGTGGTCACCTAACATGCCTGGAGCTTAAAGTGGAGAGATTAACACTTCCTAAGGCACACAGCGACATCCCCACTCCACAATTAGCGTACTATACAGTTGTTTCTGTTGAGACAAGATCTCGCTTTGTTGCCCAGGCTGGAGTGCAGTGACACAATCATAGCTCGTCGCAGCCTTGAACTCCTGGGCTCAAGCAATACTCCCACCTCAGCCTCCTGAGTAGCTGGGACTACAGGCATGTGCCACCATACTCAGCTGATTTTTAAATTTTTTGTACAGACAAGGTTGCACTGTGTTACCCAGGCTGGTCTCCAACTCCTGGGATCAAGCAATCCTTCCACCTCAGCCTCCCAAAGTGCTGAGATCATAAGCATGCACCACTGTGCCTGGCCAGAATGACAGGATTTCAGAATTAGGCTGGCCTGTAGCCCAGGTAATCCAGATGCTGAGGCAGGAGGATTCCTTGAGCCCAGAAGTTTGAGGCTATACTGAGCCATGATCACACGACTGCACTCTAGGCTGGGCAACAGAGCAAGATACTGTTTCTTAAAACACAAAACAAAATTGGAAGGCCACCTTATAAAGTGTAAGGCAACTGGGGGTCATTTGAGAATAAAGGACTTGGCTGGGGTCACACCACCTAGAAGGGTCTGAGCCAGGACTGATTTCCTGGGTGGTGAACATTTATTGTTCTGTCCATCTAGTAGAGGAAAACCACTCTCCTTCTTTGGGGGAGCTGCTCCCTCCCCTGCCCTCACAGCCCCACATGTAGCCAGTGGGAACTGCTGGGCTGCTGACCCCTGCCCCCTGTGGCTGGCCAGGCATGGCATGACTCAAGCAACTGAGCACATGATGGAATCTCATCACCTGCCTGCTCTCCCTGCCTTGTCTTCAGAGACTGGCCATGGGGCGGGCATTTAGCCCAAGCTGGAGGCCCTGCTCAAGACACTGTCTGCTGCAGCTGGGGGGTGTCCCCAGCCTTTTAAGCAGTGAGATCGGGGGAGAATGTGGCCTGAGAGGAGCCAGCGGCCACACATGTCCTTTCCCCAGGGGATCCCAGGCTCAGAAGAAGGGAAGGAAGAGCAAGAAAGGAGAGACTAGGGTCCAAAAAACTCCTTGCGACTTCAAAATCAGGTTAACTTATTGTGCAACCCAGAAGATGGAATTTTCACCAGCAGGAAATGAAAGGAAGGTGGACTGCTGGCTTCCGAGCAGTAGATAAATATTAGCCAGCAGTACAAAGTCTGAACAGTCCCGTCCAAAAGGCATTTGCCTAGTGTTTGTTTCTCACTTCCCAGCTACCACGTAGCACTCCCCGCAGAGCACAGGGAGTGGAGAGAGCAGTGTAAGCTACCTTTGCCCAGACGGAGATTTTAATTGGCTAAAGAGATGATGGGGCAGTGAACATAAAAACAGCCAGCGACAGGAGTGGCAGAAGAGAGGGAAGCACTCTGAAGATAGCCGCGTAGACGGCCAAGGGCAGCGTAGACGGCCAAGGACCATAGCGTGATCCATATCAAAATGCACACAGCAAAGCCGTTGCTAATTTCCAAGCCCTCAGTATTGAGCTCTTTGCCAGAGCAGTTCCAAGATCTGGCCATCAGCATCATCTTCTGTAAAAAGAAATCATTTCTATATCAGATATCTTGTTTGAACTTAAATCCACTTACAAAAATGTTTTGCTGCTAGAAAAAGTGTGTTAACATTTTAGACAAAGTGATGAGACAGATAATCAATGCTAGTATGTTGGGAAAGCCAGGAGTAAATCTCACCTTGACCTACACTGGTACTGAGAACATATCAATGTTCTGATGAACATCTGCCTAGTAGTATAGTCACATTAATTTGGTAGATAAGGAAGGATTTTTTTAAAAAGATAACATAAAACAACATAAAGGCAGAGATAGATAAATTTGAACTCAGTAAAATCTGAAACCGCTCTGTATCTAAAGATATCACCTAAATACAAAAAAGCAAGTTGTAAACTGGGAAAAGATATTTGCAACACATATGACTAACAAATAATTAGTACCCAGAAAATGTATATACATATTTTTTAATTGATATGTCATAATTATATATGTTCTTGGGGTCTATGTGATACTTTGATACATGTGTACAATACGTAATGTTCAAATCAGATATCTATTACTAATGAATCTTTTTTTTTTTTTGAGATGGAGTTTCACTATTGTTACCCAGGCTGGAGTGCAATGGCGCGATCTCGGCTCACTGCGAACTCCACCTCCTGGGTTCACGCGATTCTCCTGCCTCAGCCTCCTGAGTAGCTGGGATTACAGGTGACTGCCACCACACCGGGCTAATTTTTCATATTTTTAACAGAGATGGGGTTTCACTATGTTGGCCAGACTGGTCTCGAACTCCTGGCCTTGTGATCCACCTGCCTTGGCCTCCCAAAGTGCTGGGATTACAGGCGTGAGCCACCACGCCCAGCCACTAATGAATTTTTAAAACCCCAAATAGTGCAATAGAAAAATTGGCAAAGAATATGAATATACAAATTACAGATGAGAAAACTCAAATGCTTAATGGCAACATGGGAAACTACATGGGAAGCTGCTAAACCTCACTTGGTATAAGTGGTACACACATTAAAACACAGAAATACCACCTCACACCCATCAGGGTACACAAAACACAGAAATACCACCTCACACCCATCAGGGTACACACATTACAACACAGAAATACCACCTCACACCCATCAGGGTACACACATTACAACACAGAAATACCACCTCACACCCATCAGGGTACACACATTACAACACAGAAATACCACCTCACACCCATCAGGGTACACATATTACAACACAGAAATACCACCTCACACCCATCAGGGTACACACATTACAACACAGAAATACCACCTCACACCCATCAGGTTACACACATTAAAACACAGAAATACCACCTCACACCCATCAGGGTACACATGTTACAACACAGAAATACCACTTCACACCCATCAGGGTACACAAATTAAAACACAGAAATACCACTTCACACCCATCAGGGTACACAAATTAAAACACAGAAATACCACTTCACACCCATCAGGGTACACACCTTAAAACACAGAAATACCACCTCACACCCATCAGGGTACACACCTTAAAACACAGAAATACCACTTCACACCCATCGGGGTACACGCCTTAAAACACAGAAATACCACCTCACACCCATCAGGGTACACACGTTAAAATGCAGAAATACCACCTCACACCCATCAGGGTACACACGTTAAAATGCAGAAATACCACCTCACACCCATCAGGGTACACGCCTTAAAACACAGAAATACCACTTCACACCCATCGGGGTACACACATTAAAACACAGAAATACCACTTCACACCCATCAGGGTACACATGTTACAACACAGAAATACCACCTCACACCCATCAGGGTACACACGTTACAACACAGAAATACCACCTCACACCCATCAGGGTACATGCCTTAAAACACAGAAATACCACTTCACACCCATCAGGGTACACGCCTTAAAACACAGAAATACCACTTCACACCCATCAGGGTACACGCCTTAAAACACAGAAATACCACCTCACACCCATCAGGGTACACATGTTAAAATGCAGAAATACCACCTGACACCCATCAGGGTACACACGTTAAAATGCAGAAATACCACCTCACACCCATCAGGGTACACACGTTAAAACACAGAAATACCACCTCACACCCATCAGGGTACACATGTCACAACACAGAAATACCACCTCACACCCATCAGGGTACACACATTACAACACAGAAATACCGCCTCACACCCATCAGGGTACACGCCTTAAAACACAGAAATACCACTTCACACCCATCAGGGTACACGCCTTAAAACACAGAAATACCACTTCACACCCATCAGGGTACACACGTTAAAATGCAGAAATACCACCTCACACCCATCAGGGTACACACGTTAAAACACAGAAATACCACCTCACACCCATCAGGGTACACATGTTACAACACAGAAATACCACCTCACACCCATCAGGGTACACGCCTTAAAACACAGAAATACCACTTCACACCCATCAGGGTACACGCCTTAAAACACAGAAATACCACTTCACACCCATCAGGGTACACAAATTAAAACACAGAAATACCACCTCACACCCATCAGGGTACACACATTACAACACAGAAATACCACCTCACACCCATCAGGGTACACGCCTTAAAACACAGAAATACCACTTCACACCCATCAGGGTACATGCCTTAAAACACAGAAATACCACTTCACACCCATCAGGGTACACAAATTAAAACACAGAAATACCACCTCACACCCATCAGGGTACACGCCTTAAAACACAGAAATACCACTTCACACCCATCAGGGTACACACCTTAAAACACAGAAATACCACCTCACACCCATCAGGGTACACACCTTAAAACACAGAAATACCACTTCACACCCATCAGGGTACACACGTTAAAATGCAGAAATACCACCTCACACCCATCAGGGTACACGCCTTAAAACACAGAAATACCACTTCACACCCATCAGGGTACATGCCTTAAAACACAGAAATACCACCTCACACCCATCAGGGTACACACCTTAAAACACAGAAATACCACTTCACACCCATCAGGGTACACACGTTAAAATGCAGAAATACCACCTCACACCCATCAGGGTACACACGTTAAAATGCAGAAATACCACTTCACACCCATCAGGGTACACGCCTTAAAACACAGAAATACCACTTCACACCCATCGGGGCACACGCCTTAAAACACAGAAATACCACCTGACACCCATCAGGGTACACACGTTAAAATGCAGAAATACCACCTCACACCCATCAGGGTACACACATTAAAACACAGAAATACCACCTCACACCCATGAGGGTACACGCCTTAAAACACAGAAATACCACCTCACACCCATCAGGGTACACACGTTAAAAGGCAGAAATACCACCTCACACCCATCAGGGTACACACCTTAAAACACAGAAATACCACTTCACACCCATCAGGGTACACAAATTAAAACACAGAAATACCACTTCACACCCATCAGGGTACACAAATTAAAACACAGAAATACCACTTCACACCCATCAGGGTACACACGTTAAAACACAGAAATACCACTTCACACCCATCAGGGAACACAAATTAAAACACAGAAATACCACTTCACATCCATCAGAGTACACACATTAAAACACAGAAATACCACTTCACACCCATCAGGTTGGTAGAAACGTAAAAGCTGGACAATAATGAGTGCCAGTGAGAGCATGTATGCTGGTAGAAGCATACCCTAGACCACAGGCTCCCAACCTCTGGTGAGGAACCAGTCCACACAGCAGGAGGTGAGCGGCGGGCAAGGCAGCATAACCACCCGAGCTCCGCCTCCTGTCAGATCGCGGCAGCATTAGATTGTCATAGGAGTGAGAACCCTATTGCAAACTGTACATGCAAGGGATCTAGGTTGTGTGCTCCTTATGATAATCTAATGCCTCGTGATCTGAGGTGGAACAGTTTCATCTCAAAACCATCCCTCCAATGCCCCATACATGGAAGAATTGTCTTCCACAAAACTGATCCCTGGTGCTAAAAAGTTTGGGGACTGCTGCACTAGAGCAATCATTTTGAAGAGTAACTTGGCAATACCTAATGCAGTTGAACTGGAACATTCTCTTCTACCCAGCAATTTCACTACGAGTTACAGCCCCTAAAGACTTTCTTGCATACACAGGAGAAGATGTGAAACAGAGGCCCTTGCGGTGTTGTTGATAGGAGAAAATACAAGCAAAGAACCCAAACAAATAAAAACATAAAAGACAATATCTAAATCCTGATTTTTTTAAAAGCCTGGTTAAACAGATTGTGATAAAATCACAAAATAATGAGCGAGAGCTTTGCACACCAACATGGAAAGAGCTCAGAAACAAAGTATCAAACAACAGGTTAGAAATATATAAAGTAACCTTTCACATAAAGCCAAAGTATAAAGGTGTGTACAAGCATGACAGACATTCTGCACAGTGGTGACATCATGGGGAGGCGCTGGATGGTGGTTCATAGTGAATTCAACGTGTTTTAGACTAGGTTTGTTATATTAACCTCTAAGACTTGTTGGATGTCTGTAGGACTGCATCATCATAAAAGAAAGCAGGCTTTCCTTCTCTATCCCTGTGATGGTAGCATCTCTGGAGTCTGTGAATTCCTTTCTGTCACAGTACCTTGTTTTCCATGGATTAGTTTTATTTGTAAACATTTATCACTATAAATATTAGAAAACATCAGCTCTATTAGTCTGGAATCTTTAACATTTGAAAAATCAAAAAGCATTTTTTTTCTTTTCTGTCTTTTTTTTTTTATTTTTTTTTATTTTTTGAGACAAGCTCTTGCTCCATCGCCCAGGCTGGAGTGAAGTGGTGTGATCTCAGCTCACTGCAACCTCCTCCTCCTGGCTTAAGCGATCCTCCCATCTCAGCCTCCCACGTAGCTGGGATTACAGGCGCACATCGCCACACCCAACTAATTTTTTGTAGAGACAGATTTTCACCATCTAGCCTGGGCTGGCCTTGGATTCCTGGTCTCAAGCAATCTGTCCACCTTGGCCTCCCAAAGTGCTGGGATTACAAGTGTGAGCCACCACACCCTGCCAAGAGCAATGTTTTATTCAAAGTTGTTTTTGAGTTAAATATGGAGATGGGATGGAGGCCACCCATCACACTTTTCATTTATCAGCTGGACATTGATTTTTAGAGCTAATTTGAGATGTTTCAATGAATTAAAACTACCCAAGAACTTTTTTTTTAGGTTGAGTTGAGCTTTGTAGGAAGATCCATCCTACCTTATTTTTTACACAAAGTTCTCTGAAATCTCCTTTGGAATCAAAAGTAACCCAAAACTACCAGGCGCAGTGGCTCACACCTGTAATCCTAGCACTTTGAGAGGCCGAGGTGGGCAGATCACGAGGTCAGAGATCGAGACCATCCTGGCTAACACGGTGAAACCCCGTCTCTACTAAAAATACAAAAAATTAGCCGGGTGTGGTGGTGGGCGCCTGTAGTCCCAGCTACTCGGGAGGCTGAGTTAGGAGAACGGCGTGAACCCGGGAGGCAGAGCTTGCAGTGAGCCGAGATGGCAACACTGCAATCCAACCTGGGTGACAGAGCGAGACGCTGTCTCAAAAAAAAAAAAAAAAAAAGTAACCCAAAACAAGTCATTAAGGTTTTTCTCGGGAAAACTGATATTTTAGAAATGAGGTTCGAGATTTTCCAACAACAGAAAGCAAATGTGCACCTGCACATCCATCGAGCACGTGCTGATGTGCTGAGCACATGGCCAGGGGTGAAAATAGTCAAATAAGAGCTCGTTCCTGCCATCCAGAATCTTCAGGATCCCAGGGGAAGTAGACGAACAGGAGACAACTGAAGAAGTGGGTCAGAGGTGTGAGGGGCTGCACAGTGGCTGTCGGGAGCTGCCCAAAGGGGACAGCTGAGTTTGGGAAGAAACTAGTAAGGAAAATGGGTGGAGAGAAGGCATTTGCCACAGTGCTACAAGTGCTGTGACTTTATTCTTATCTCTGACCCAGGTTGGAGTGCAGTGGTGTGATCATAGCTCACTGCAGCCTTAACTCCTGGGCTCAAGTGATCCTCCTGCCCCAGCCTCCAGAGGAGCTGGGACTATAGGCACGTATCACTACACCTGGCTAATTTTTTATTTTTATTTTCATGAGAGATGAGATCTCGCTATGTTGCCCAGGCTAAAAATAATTTATCTAAAGAAGAAACCAAGTTATGCGTGATAGAGATGTGAAGAAGGAGACCCTCAGCTCCCCTTCACTATGTCAAGTGCCCTCAAATGCTCAGGCCTCATGGCAGGACCTCGGGAGCTTGCAGGAGCCAAGCCCACCATCTTCAGAAGGCAGTCTCAAGGCCTTCCTGTTTGTCCTTTAGGTGGGGAGGGAGTGGCATAAAGTACTTTTCAAAAGTAGTACTCCTCTTGAGTGGAATTCTAGTAATAGAATTTTGGCCATCACTTTACATTTCCAGAGGGTTTTTTAAAAAGTGCCCTGCGGAAATTGAGCCTCAGGAAACCAATTGACTGCTTCACCCCTAAAGGCTGCCAGGTTGGTCATCGAGGCAGGAAGGAACTCAAAATAAATGGCAAGGAGCTTGGGAAGTGGAACAAAGGTGTGGATGGGGGCTGGGCGCAGTGACTCAAGCCTGTAAACCCAGCACATATTGGGAGGCTGAGGTGGGTGGATCACCTGAGGTCAGGAGTTCAAGACCAGCCTGGCCAACATGGTGAAACTCCACCTTTACTAAAAATACAAAAAATTAGCCGAGTGTGGTGGTGGGCGCCTGTAATCCCAGCTACTCGGGAGGTTGAGGCAGGAGAATTGCCTGAACCCGGGAGGCGGAGGTAGTAGTGAGCTGAGATGGAGCCATTGCACTCCAGCCTGGGCAACAGAGACTCTGTGGCAAAAAAAAAAAAGTGTGGATGGGAAGGATGGACAAGTAACATCGTGCATATTCTTGGCTACATGGGAAGCCGTGGGGAGCTGCGAAAGGATTCTAAGCAAAGAAACAACAAAATCGACTTTTATGAAAGATCAAGGAAGTCCATGGGGCAAGCAGGTGGGTGGAGCAAGGGGAAGACTAGGGCTGGGGAAGCCAAGAAGAGGCTGTAGTGAGTGGTGGTTGATGTGGGGCGCCTCTTCTTTGGTAACAGTGCTTCAGTTTCCTTTTTGGACAATCCCTTCTCCCCCAGGTCGGAGGCTTCCCATCAGGGGTCTCCCATCGGCTGCCTCCTGCAGCTGAGAGGTGAGCATGTGACACCTCCTCTCGTGCCAGGGCTTGGAATCTTGAGCAGACTGGCTCAAGGATGAAGAACAATTGGGGTCCTGTGCTTCTCCCACCTGGAGCTGCCCCGCCCTGTGCTTCCCAAGTGTGGTTCTCCATCCTACCTGGCGTCCCTGTCCTTCTGTGAGCTCCTCACCTGTGTGCCTTCCCTTCAACACCTTGTCTGCTACAAAAACCAACAAAAACCCCTAAGTGATACTAAAGCTATGTGGTTATTTAGGAGCAAAGTAAACAAAGACACTTGGCAGTGGTAACGGGGGAGGAAGATCTGAGAGGCAGAATCCACACCACTTAGGAACCAACTGGGTAGGATGTAGCAGGAGAGTGGGAGGAAAGAGGCTGGGATGGCTTCCAGGACCCAGGGAGGGAACACAAAAGGGGAAGCAGCAGGGAGTGAGCAGGAGAGGAACATCCCGACCCTGTGAACTGCCAAATGCTGTGTCACATTCTGGTCCGCAGGTGTCCATGGCCAGTGTGGCGTTTAGCAAAACATCTGAGTGGGAGACGTAGATTTTCCCGCATCAGGTGTGAGTGTTGCGGGACGCTATGGCTTTGAAGGTGATAGCCTCGGGGGAGCAAGTGTGAGAAGAGCAGAGGCTGCACGTGGAGACCCAGGGAATGCGAAAGTCTAGGGGAAGTGGACAGGAGGAGAGCAGAGCAGCAGGAAACAGGCAGGAGGGGGGTCACAGAAGCCAAGTCAGCGTGGGTTTCCAGGGGAAAGTGGTCTGCAGTGTGGAAGGCCATAGAGAAGTGAGGTACAGACTGAAAAGGTGACCAGACTTGGCAACTAGGGGGTGATTGGCAACTTCTACACAAATCGTTCTCATGAAGTGCTGCAGATGAGTTTGAGGCGTGTCATTACCCACGCCCTCAGCAGCCAAACGAAAATAGCCTGGGTGGCTCCCAGCATGGGTGCCCATGCATGCTGCTTTGCCTTGGTGGAAGACCAACCCTGCACCATATCTGGATGCCTCCTGTTATGGACTGCGTGTTTGCATCCTCCTCCCAAATTCATACCCGGAAACCACAACCCCCGATGGCACGGTATTTGGAAGCAAGGTCGGTGGCAGGTGATTAGGTCATGAGGGTGGAGCCATCGTGAATGGGACTGGTGCCTTTCTAAAAGAGACCCCAGAAAGATGACCTCTCTCTGCTATGTGAGGATACAAAGAAAAGCCAGCCTTCTGTAAACCAGGAAGTGAACCCTCCCCAGAACCCGGCCATGGCAGCACCTGATCGCAGCCTCCAGCCTCCAGAACTGTGAGAGGGAAATGTCTGTTGTCTGAGCCATCAGTCTTTGGTGTTGGGCTATCACAGCCTGAACAGACAGAGATGCCTCATTTAGGCCGAGCTCCTGGGTGGGCCACACGGGTGTGGACTGGACGCTCTGCATTTGGCCGCCAGATTTGACCCCCTGAAGGTCTTTAGTCCATTGTTGGGGCTGGTCTCCAGACTTCTCGGGACTCTGGATCCAGTCCCCAAAGACTTCTACATCCTCCACTCATGACCTACAGGGGCTGAAGCAGAGCTGGCCAGGTTGCAGAGCATTGCGGAGTGGATGGAGTAGCAAGCCCTGGCTAGTCTCTTTTGATGTTTGACTGGTTAAGGGAGGGTGTCCTTACGGGAGAATTTATAGTGCTATTAATTTAAAAATAAACTATAATAATATTTTATAAGTAAGTTTGTATATTTTTTCATTTAACGTGATAATATCTTTTATATGACTTTATAAACCACTCCTTATAACATAGCTTGAGTGAGTGCATACGATTCCACTGTAATCTCTCTCAAAGCTTCCGAGGGCCACGGGAGTGATGTGAACCCAAGGGGCCGAGGGTGCAGGGCAGGGCTCTGGGGAGCAAATGTGAGTTCAGGCTGGACAGGGCTGCTGCTGGGGATGGGGGACAGCATGGTGTCAGCAGCCACATGGGATTAGGGCGACTTGATGGGTCTCAAACACTCGGCCTGCTCCCCGCTGAAGACATATGCTGAATGTTGAGGCTATGCCAGGCAGGAAGAGAAAACGCTAAACTAATCGTGTTTGAATCTCATCGTGGAATTTTCTGCAGTTTCTCAGTGTGAAGACAAGGCCTTGAGTTCAAGGGCCGGGAAGCCCACCAGGTGCTTGTGAAACTCCTCGAGAGCCACACTTGTCACCTTCATGAGCTGAGTAAGGCTGGGTTGCAATTTTGGTATCCTCGGTTAACATCAATTCCTCCAAATCTCCACGTCCCCTTCCTTTTTAGGATTTCTCCATCAGCGATTCTCTCCGTCTTGGCCGCTCTTCCCCATCTCTGTGTCTCCTCGACCCATCTGTTTCCCAGGTCTCATTTCAAAGGCCACTTCCTCAGGGAGACTTTCCCCAAGCCTTCCCCTGTTCCCATCTGATCCCATCTGTGTTTTGTGTGGTCTGAGGTCATCATTCCCTCCACCTTTCCCTCACAACACCTTTCGCCATTTGTAAATGTCCTGGATATGTTTGCTGGATCGTTTGAGTCATGCCTGTCATGTGATAAGATCACAGCCATATCGTTCTCAACTTTAGTGCACTGAAGAGTCACATGGTGCCAATTAGAATTCAGATTCCTGGGCCTTAACATGAGATGTTCTGATTCAGGAGGTCTTGGGTCAGGGCCACGAATCTGCATTTTTCTGGTCCAGGATCGAATTCAGGATCACATGTTGCATTTAGTTGTCATGTTTCTTTCTTTTTCTTTCTCCTTTTTTTTTTTTTTTTTTTTTTTTTTTTTTTGAGACGGAGGCCCAGGCTGGAGTGCAGTGGCGCAATCTCAGCTCACTGCAAGCTCTCCCAGGTTCATGCCATTCTGCTGCCTCAGCCTCCCAAGTAGCTGGGACTGGTGGTGCCTGCCAACACGCCCAACTAATTTTTTTGTATTTTCAGTAGAGACAGGGTTTCACTGTGTTAGCCAGGATAGTCTCAATCTCCTGACCTCATGATCCGCCCGCCTTGGCCTCCCAAAGTGCTGGGATTACAGGCGTGAGTCCCCACGCCTGGCCAGTTGTCATGTTTCTTAATTTTTACTTAATCTGGAACAGATCCTCAGTCTTCATTTTATTATGACCTTGTCACTTCGTGACGACCTTGTCACTTTCGAAGAGCGCTAGCCAGTTATTTTGCAGAGTGTTGCTCAGTTTGTCTGAGGGCTTCGCTATGCATTTTGGGCAGGAAACCCCAGGAGGGATGCTTCTCTGTGCCTCAGTCGGTTTGTCCTGTTCCTGCTGATGGTAACTCTTCTCACTCGGTCAATAGGGTGTCTGCCAGGTCTTTCCACTGGGAATTCCCTTTTCCCTGTGTAATATGTATCTACGTATGGAGAGATACTTCGAGGCTGTGTGAATATGCTGTTCCTAATCAAACTTCCCCCACAAGCTTAGCATCCATTGATGGTTCTTGCTGAATTATTATGATGATGGGTGCCAAATGATGACTGTACAACTTCATAATTCTGCATGTATTACTTGTGATGCTACTGCAAGGAAGAGCTTTCGCTATTTCCCATTTATTTAAGCATTCAATTCTTTCTTTATGCCAGATGGAATCCTGATTTTCCATTTTATTCTATGAATTATAATTCATTATAATCATTACTTATGATGTTCAAAATGTCACAGATTTGGCCATTGGAAAACCCTTCGAGTTTTAGAGAATCTGGTAAAAATGCTATTTCCCAAACGTACCTAGGCTGGTTCTTCTCTTGCTCACTCCCCTTCAGTGTGGCTATGTCATTTCTTTTTTTTTTTTTTTTTTGAGACGGAGTCTTGCTCTGTTGCCCAGCTGGAGTACAGTGGCGTGATCTCGGCTCATTGCAACCTCCGCCTCCTGGGTTCAAGTGACTCTCCTGCCTCAGCCTCCCGAGTAGCTGGGACTACAGGTGCATGCCACCATATCTGGCTAATTTTTGTATTTTTAGTAAAAAAGGGGTTTCACCATGTTGGCCAGGATGGTCTTGATCTCTTGACCTCATGACCTGCCTGCCTCGGCCTCCCAAAGTGCTGGGATCACAGGCGTGAGCCACTGCACCTGGCCTCTGGCATCTATTTCTTTTTTCTTTTTTTTTTTTTTGAGACGGAGTCTCCCTCTGTCTGTCACCCAGGCTGGAGTGCAGTGGCGCGATCTCAGCTCAGTGCAAGCTCCGCCTCCCGGGTTCACACCATTCTTCTGCCTCAGCCTCCCGAGTAGCTGGGACTACAGGTGCCCGCCACCACGCCCGGCTAATTTTTTGTATTTTTAGTAGAGACGGGGTTTCACTGTGTTAGCCAGGATGGTCTCGATCTCCTGACCTTGTGATCCACCTGCCTCGGCCTCTCAAAGTGCTGGAATCACAGGCATGAGCCACCGTGCCCAGCCTCTGGCATCTCTTTCTAATACAGTTGGGTCGGTTAGTTTCTGTTTGTATTCCACGTGGGTCCTTCCGGCTTATTTATTTATTTCATTTACCTGGAATGGTTAGCTTGGTTCTAAAAGTCGGAACTAAACAGCAGATGAACAGAGAGCACGGTATGTTTTCTTCTCCTTCTTACGTGAAAGCGACCTCATCCTGTAGAGACACCACAGTTTACTCAACTCCTGTCCTACATATGGCCGTTTCGATTATTCCCACAATATTCTGATGACGATCAGTGCCGCAGTGAGTAATCTCACGTGTATGTAGTTTCATGCTGTCGGAGGTATGTTTTTAGAGTGGGATCCTAGGAGTAGGTGACTCTAAATAAGTGCAGATCTCATTTTGTTAGGTGTTGCGAATTGCCTCCCAGAGCTGTGCCAGCTTTCACTCCCACCAGCAGTGTGGGAGGGTGCTGATTCCCCATGGCCTCATCAGAAGAAGGCGTTGCCAGCCAGGCGCAGTGGCTCACATCTGTAATCCCAGCACTTTGGGAGGCCAAGGCGGGCGGATCACTTGAGGTCAGGAGTTTGAGACCAGCCTGGCCAACATGGAGAAACCCTGTCTCTACTAAAAATACAAAAATTAGCCAGGCGTGGTGGTGTGCACCTGTAATCCCCACTACTTGGGAGGTTGAGGCAGGAAAATTGCTTGAACCCAGGAGGCAGAGGTTTCAGTGAACCGAGATTGTGCCACTGCACTCCAGCCTGGGTGACAAAAAAAAAGAAGAAGAAGAAGAAGAAGAGGAAGAAGGGATTTTCATACTGATTTTTGCTAATCTGATAGGCAAGAAATGCTATCTCCGTGTGGTTTCAATTTACATATTTCTAGTCGTGAGTGAGGTAGAACATTTTTTGTATGGCGAGGATCATTTTGACATCTCTTTTGTGAATTATCTGTTCATATATTTTCTAAATGTTTCTTTCTTTTTTTTTCTTGAGACAGTTTCACTCTTTTTGCCCAGGCCGGAGTGCAATGGCATGATCTCAGCTCACTGCAACCTCCACCTCCTGGGTTGAAGTGATTCTCCTGCCTCAGCCTCCCAAGTAGCTGGGATTACAGGCACCTACCACCACGCCTGGCTAAATTTTGTATTTTTAGTAGAGACAGGATTTCACCGTGTTGGCCAGGATGGTCTCCATCTCTTGACCTCGTGATCTGCCTGCCTCAGCCTTCCAAAGTACTGGGATTAAAGGCGTGAGCCACCGCACCTGGCCAATTTTTCTCTTTTTTTTTGGTTCTTTTCTTTCAATTTTAAAGACGTCTTTATAGATTGGAGACATGAGTCCTTCATCCGTGATATACGTTACAAATATTTTCTCCCAATTTATCAGGCTTTTTTGTTTCATTTATGATATTTTGCCACACAGCTTTATTTTATTTTTATGTAGTCAAATTTATTATTCTCTTTTAATTGCCTCTGGATTTGGGGTTATAGTTAGAAAGACTCAATGTGGAGGTTGAATAGGAATTTAACCATATTTTCTTCTAGTACTTTTATTATTTTATTTTTAAATATTTAGATCCCTGATCCACTGGGAGTTTATCTTTATGTTTGGTGTGACATATGGATTTAATTTTATCTTTTTCTCAAAGGCCACCAACTGTTCAGTCAATTGATTAAAACACTTGTCCCTACCCCAGTGGTGTGAGATGCCGCTTCTGCCGGACACTGATTTTCCACGTGTTTTGGTCATTTCAGGACCCTCTAGTCAATTCCTCTCTTCAGTTTGTCTATTCACGTATCAACACTGCACTGTTTTCTTTAAAGAAGCTTTATAGTATTGTTTCCATTCATTGTCACAAGTTTTTATTCTAACCTCTGAAATGGACATCAAAATTCTCTTGTGAATTAAGTGGGATCTTAAGTGAAAGCACTTGGCCTTTTGAAAGCTTTTAGAAAATAACAATTTCCCTTCCCTTATTGAACCTGACTACTTATTTTGATTGCACCCTGACTTCCAGGAATATTTACCGGAGAGCCATTGGTAAGTAAGTATAAATATTGGGTTTAACTTCCAAAGTCTGATATGGGGGAAAGGAAAAAGCTTAGACAGCTGGCCGGCCCATGTGGCCTGAGCTGCAATGCCAGGCTCTCTTTCTCCAGTAGCAGAGGCGGGTGCCATGGGGTGATTCCAGGGGCAGAGGCTGGTGCCAAGGGGTAATTCGAGGCTCCCAGGTCTCCAGAGGCCTCGGCTCAGAACTAGCTTGCTGTCCTGACCACCAGTCACAGAAACCAGCCACATTTAAGGGATGGGGAGCAGGGGCATGGATCCGAGAGAAGGGTGGAAAATTGAGCCTCCTTTTGGCGATGAATCTGGCGCACTCATATGAGTTTCCCTCCCCTGCAGTAACAAGTCACCACAGTGCACTGGCTTAAACAACACAGGCTCATTCCCTTACAGCTCTGGAGGCCAGAAGTCTACGGTGAAGGTGTTGGCAGGCCTTCCTGGAGGCTGCCTGCGCTCCTGAGGCCCCGAACCCCTCCTCGCATCACTCCACCCTCTCACCTCCATCCTCAGAGCTCCCAGCACTGACGCCTGCCCCTCTCCTAAAAGGTCCTCCGAGACCACCCGGGATGATCTGCCCATACCCAGATGCTTCATTCAGTCACGTTGCCACGTCCCTTCTGCCATGTAAGGTGACATATTCACAGGTTCTGGGGATTAGGAGGCGAACATCTTGGGCAGGGGCCAGGGCCCGCTATTCAGGCTACCTCAAAACATGAGAAATTAATTTTTCCTTTTTGTAGGTCCAAAGAGGCCAGATACAGCTCAGCCCGACACTGACACTCACACCCTGGCCCTCCGTCGGAACACCAAGATGTCAACCCTCTCCCTCCTCCCTTGCAGTATTTGGACGGCAGCATGATTCTGGGGTGGGTGGAGGGGTTCCTAGAGGAGTCAGGGTGACCTTGAGTGGGCGGGCTGAGAAGCCAGGGTGCCCCCAAGGGGACAGCTGCCTTTGGCTAATGTTTCTGAGTTAAGATCAAGTATACACAGAGGAAGATTCTGGCTCCCACGAGCAAAGTAGGAATTCCATCCAGTTCGTTTATTTGATGACATTGTTCTGCATTTTGAAAAACTGTGGTGGTATTTTCTTTTCCTTACCTGCGGAGCTATCACCAGGAGATGAATCTAGTGCATGCGTATGAGTTTCCCACCGCTGCAGTGACAAGACTGGGGTGGATTCCCGTTGGATGCCCCTTATGTTTCGCTGGTGTCCTGTGTTACTGCACACCCAGGACCTTTCCACATTTTCCCTCCTGGGCGCACGATGGCCTGGGTGGCTGATGCTTCTCCAGCTCCTTCCTTTCCTGCTGTCAGCTCAGCTGACGTTTGGAGCACAGAGCTCCCGGGAACTCACAAGCCATAGTGAGCAATTTCCTGGCTGGGGTTCCTGTTTATCTAGGGGTGCCCCAACAGTGGCGTGAATGTCTCCCATGATCTGGGAAGCTCTGCCACAGAACGAGAGAAGCAGACGGTCCCTGGGCAGTGTCAGGCACGCCCTCCCTCTCAGTCTGCCCTGGACACCGTCGTCACAATTCCATGCTGTTAACAGGCCGAGGCTGCAGGCCACGTGCCCTGCTTGAATGCGAAGAAACAAGCTGGGAGATAACGTCTTCAAAAGAAGGTAGAAGAGAGACAGCTACTGGAATTTTAACCCACACTTTAAAGGTGTCCCTCAGAAAACATCCAAATCACCAGGGGTGGTCTCTGGAGAGTGGAGGGCAGGAGGACATGTATTTCCCTCCCCCAGGAAGCAGGAAGTGCCAGGAGGCAGCAAGAACGTGCCTCTGTCAGTCAAGGAAAGCCTCAACTTGGGGAATTTTGAAATCACCATTGCCTGAGAATTGAGTCCGTGGAGCTCCTGGGGGTTCCCGAGTGTGGAGCACCAGCGTGGGCATCCTGGAGGGCTGCTTCCAGACTTGAGCCTTGGGGGCAACTCTCCCAGGGGCCGGGAGACTCAAGCCACCCGAGCGCAGCCTCACCTGGGGCTTCCCAGACAGAAGGGAGGAAGTGCAGGGGAGCCCAGACCTGCTCTGTGCAGTCAGTGGAAACTTACAAAACCCATCCCCTTGATGAATTCCTACTTGATTTGATTTGACCTAGTTGCAGGTTTTTTTTTTTTTTTTGGTCTAATGATGAGAAAAATAAGATTTTTTTTTTGAGACGGAGTTTCACTCTTGTTGCTCAGGCTGGAGTGCAATGGTGTGATCTCGGCTCACTGCAACCTCCTCCTCCCGGGTGCAAGCGATTCTCCTGCCTCAGCCTCCCAAGTAGCCTCCTCAGCTAATGTTTTGTATTTTTAGTAGAGATGGGGTTTCAACATGTTGGCCAGGCTAGTCTCGAACTCCTGACCTCAGGTGATCCACCTGCCTCAGACTCCCAAAGTGCTGGAATTATAGGCATGAGCCACCGCGCCCAGCCAGATTATTTTTTATTTTAAAGAAACAGCGGTTTGAATCACACTGAAGGCCATGAACAGAATAATGCGAAGTAGCAGTGCGGTCAGGAGAGCCGCCGGCTACCACTGGCTGCCGGAAGCCCGTGGCCTCAGCGAGCCACAGCCGGTAATGAGGCTCTGAAGCGTTGTGCGGCCGGGCTCACCGGGTTGTGTTTTCCTGTGAAGCGTCGTGCGGCCGGGCTCACCGGGTTGTGTTTTTCACATCATCGGTCACTCTACTTCTTTGTGAGGGATCGAATTTTTAGAGGGTCTCGACCAGCAAATTGATAAATGAAACGTGCTGTATAGAACAGCATGAAAACTAGCGGAAAACACTGCGCCCAGCTCAAGTGTTTTCTCATGAAACTTTGTTCCCTATGTGTATAGCATGCGTGTTCCATGTCACCAGGCGAAGTGTGAAAGTCCTTGGAAGTCACAGTTTGAAGAAAAAGAAGGCGACTGTGCTAGAGTTGCTTGGAAGTTTGTTGGGAGAGCGATTGGTACTTCAGCTCATCATTAATGGCATAGTAAAAAGGGAAACCCAGAGTTTAGGGAAGCAGAGGCTTTCTGAGAATGCAAAATTGAGCAGCATTTTTTAAAAAATGCAATTCCTTTCAATCTTTTCACAGAGCTCTGTATATTCTGTTGTCTGTACACAGAAAGGGCCATTGCTTGTACCGAATCACTTCAGATGGAAAGTAATTTCCAATATTGCTGTCATTCTACTCCCCGGCTCCTTCCTGGGACGCTGGGGATAAAGGAGAAGGAGAATTCCTTTTCTTCCTTAGGGCAGCAACAAAGCCTTAAAAAGATCCTCAAATAACAAGTTAAAGGCATGCTTTTCTTCTCCATGTGGGAGACCTGAAATGAAAATTAATGGAACAGAGGTATGTGTTAAAAGTAAGTTTTAAATCTGATTGACTGGAACCTCTGCTTGGGCTACTGAATGAAATTAATTAGTGACCTAATTGGCCTTGTTTCCAAAAATCCACACCTAGATTCAGACAACAGCCCTGCGTTGCTGAAGCACGAGAATCACTTGAACCTGAGAGGCAAATTTTGCAGTGAGCCGAGATCGTGCCACTTCACTCCAGCCTGGGTGACAGAGGGAGACTCGGTCTCAAAAGAAAGAAAGAAATAAGAAATAAGAAAGAAACCTTTGCATATGGCTTTCGTGTGGACCTAAGTTTTCATTTTTCTTGGGTGAATAGGAGCAGTGAAATTTGTGGGTAGTAAGGAAGCTTATGTTTACCTATAAAAAGACGCCAGTCGGTTTCCAAGGTGCCTGTGCCGTTTTGCACTTGCACCAGCAGAACGTGGCAGAAGCTGCTCTAAATCCCTGTCAGTACTTGGTATTGCCAGGTTTAAAAAATAATTTAGCCCGGGCGCGGTGGCTCACATCTGTAATCCCAGCACTTTGGGAGGCCAAGGCGGGCGGATTGCGTGATCTCAGGAGTTCGAGACCAGCCTGGGCAACAAGGTGAAACCCTGTCTCTACTAAAATCCAAAAAAAACCCTGGCATGGCGACATGTGCCTGTAGTCCCAGCTACTCGGGAGGCTGAGGCAGAAGAACTGCTTGAACACAGGAGGCGGAGATTGCCGTGAGCCGAGATCGTGCCACTGCATTCCAGCCTGGGCAACAGAGTGAGACTCCAAAAAAAAAAAAAAAAGCCATTTTAAGAGATGGGTTGTAGTATTTCATTATGGCTCAATTTGCTTTTCCCAAATGGTGACTGGGGTATTGAGCTCTTCCAGGAGCGCCATTGCCCTCCATATAATATACCCTCTTTGGTGACATGTCTGTTTGAACCTTCTGCCCATTTTTTAAATTGGTTTTTCTTATGATCAAGTTTTGACGATTCTTTTTATAAAGTGAATACAAGTCCTTATCAGTTCTGTGCTTTGCAAATTATTTCCTTCCAGTCCCTGGCTTGTCTGTTCATATTCCTAAGTGTCTTTCAAAAAAGCAGAAGTTTTAAATTCCGATGAAGTCCAGTTTTTCAATTTCTTGTGTGGGTTGTATTTTTAGTGTCCTGAGTAATCTTTGTCTAACCCAAGGTTGCCAAGACTTTCTTCTATGTTTCCTTCAAGAAGTTTTATGATTTTACGTTTTACATTTAAGTATGAATGATCTATTTTGAGTTAATTTTTATTATGGATCACAGTTCAAATTTTGATTAAAATTATTATTTTCTGATATAAAATGTAATGTAGGCTCATTGTAGAAAACATAAAATGGAGAAAGTAATAAAATTACCCAGAGCCCAGCCATAAGTGAGAACCTCTTTCAGTTTATCTCCCTCTTTTATGTACAGTGTATGTTTCACATAGTTCAGACCACACTGTACATAGAATTTGTATCTCCCTTTTATCCACTTAATACTTTATTAGAAATACTTGCTCATACACTGTCAGTAAATTGGTTTTTTAAATGAAGTCTCTTTTAATGGTTTTCTTCCTCCTAAAACAAGTTTGTTGCATAAAACTTAAAAACATAGATGAGCAAAAGAATAGCATGAAATATCATTAATCCTACTATGTAGAGACAGCTTGCCTATATCCTTTCAGATGCTTAGCTCTGAAAGTATGTATGGGCATTATTTTATTGACTAAACATAAGCAGTCATATAAATACTTTATAATTGAGTTACTATTCTGTTGCAATATTTAGAATGTGTCCTGTGTTTTACTGTTACACGTACTGTTGGAGTGAAAAATCTTGACTCCATATTTTGGATTTTAGATTTTTTTCTTGGGTTAGAGTCCCAAGACGGTTGCTAATAAGTCAAAGACTATGAATATTTTTAAAGCTCCTGAGTCTCTGGCTCCAATTCCCTCCAGAAAGTTTGGATCAATTTATTTTCTCTCATGTAGGACTCATTATTAATACATTTTGATGTGCAATAATTTGATAGTGAATCATGACATCTCGGTGGGTTTTTTTTTTTTTTGGATTTGATTGCTATTGAGGTTAAACATTTTTTCCAATGTTTACTATCCTTTGTGATGACCTATTTTGCGATTTCTCTGCTTTTCCTTTTACTTATAAGTGAGCATCTCTATCGGGGCACACTCAGGCATATTCACCTTTAGAGAGAAAACATCAGAAAGTCCTGGCAGTTTGACATTACCACTTAGTATAACGTGCGGAAGAGACAAGGAAAATGTATTTCCATCAATCTTGGCGTTGTTGGCTTCTTGATTTTCTGAAAAATAAGAAAGACAAAGTAGATTTTTTGACCTTTGAATTCTTCAATTACCATGCCAAGCTTTCAAGACAATTAAGCCATAAATATTCTTTATATAGGATCTTAGCTTTCTTAATCCCTGATTGAGACCTTGCGCTGCAGGAGCGTGGTGGTGCAAAAGCATTGTCTCAGAGGATGCAGACGTGTTAATAAAAGGTGGGTTGTCAAATGTGTTTAGAAAGAAAATAACGAAGAGAGAACATCATTTGCCTTTCTTAGGTGTCCTGACGATATCACGGTGGGCATTGAACGCTCCTTGAGCTCCCGCTTGGTTTCTGCTCTTTCTGAGCCTTGGTGCTGCCATCTGCTGGCCGTCCTCGGCACTGCGTGTGAACGGCTCCTGAGAAAGGACCAGTTTTAGAATATGGGGCTGAAATGATGACTGAGGGTTTAAGCCTGTTTTATATTTCTGGAGAATATGTAATATGAGCATATGTTGTTAAATATGGCCTGTTAATTCACTCAAAATTGAACAAATGCTCCGGAACAATCCAGATTTGCAGTTTGATGCTCCCATATTGGCTCTGCAACAACTTTGATGGTGGTGGAGCTGGTGATGGTGATGGTGGTGATGATGATAAGGAAAAGCTAGAGATCTTGTTGACGTTATATAAAAGGTCCTTGAACAGCAGAGTTGGTATAGGATTTTAGAGAATGCTTGAGTAACTGGAACTCCTTCGGGAAGCCATCGCATTGAAGGTTGCAGACTTTCTTTGTTTCGTCTGTTCAAAGGGAAATCAGGGGCAGGGGATAGGAAATTCAAACCAGGCTGGGTAGGTATATTCTGCTTTAGAAAAATCAGATTTTCAAAACTCGAATTCATAAGGTGAATAACTTAAAAGTAGCACTTGATTAATTGCATTACAAAGGAATTCTTCTGTTTGGGAAAATATGCTTCCTATTTCTTTCAAATATCTTTTATTCACTTAAAATAATTGGGTTAACACATTGTTCATAACATCATTCATTTTGGGGGGTGCAGAAACACCAGTATCTTAAACCTACTTTGAAATGCAAGATCTTATCAATCTTTATTATTCTTAGATGCAAATTTTGCATGGGTTAAATGGTGAAAGTAAAAGGAGACGCATCTGCAAGTCAGTTTCAAACTGAAATATGAATCATCAAATACCTTTTAGTATTTGATGAAAGATGCACATTTTTCTTTTCCTTTCTAGTCAGAAGATTTTCTTTCACAATCAATTTCCTGCTGGGAAAGCATGAGGACTGATCTATGGGAGCAGAACAAGCCCATTTAGGCCACTTCAAAAATGCAGTACACTTGGCAAGGCCAGTCTGAGACCCAGTTAATGATTCACAGTTTAGAAAGATATGCCTGCTTGTAGATCCAAGTTCTCAACTTAGTAGTTTATTTAGTCTAAGTTTGTGTTCTCATTAGGAGCTCTCAGTCCATCAAATGGCTATTAGGAAAGAAAACAAAATCAAAATGAGCTTTGGGAACCAAACCTCAACGTAGGCCTGGGCTGTCACTCTCCACCCCACATTGCCATGTTTACGTGTTTTTAATGAGTGAGGAGCCCTTCTCATAGGGGCCAACCCCAGACAGCTTGGATGGGACACGGAGACACAGGATGTTCAGCACAGACACCCCCCAGCTGCTCAGTGCTGAGGAGGCATTCATGAGCTTGCTGCTGTGGTTCGGAAGAACTCCAAAGCTAGACACCCTGTTGGTAGATGCTTGTGTGATGTGTCCAGTTGGGTGAGGCTTGGGACTAAGGTGATCCAGGTGGCCTTTAAGAGATTTGCAGTTGAGGAATATTTTTGGCCGATGAGTAAGTCTCAGGAATCCTGCCTGCTTTGGGCAGCAAAAAGAACATTCCTCACCTTCCAGGTCAGGCAGATGGCTCATGCCTGTAATCCCAGCACTTTGGGAGGCCAAGGCGGGAGGCCAATCATGAGGTCAGGAGATGGAGACCATCCTGGCTAAAACGGTGAAACCCCGTCTCTACTAAAAATACAACATATTAGCTGGGCGTGGTGACATGTGCCTGTAGTCCCAGCTACTTGGGAGGCTGAGGTGGGAGAATCACTTGAACCTGGGAGGCAGAGGTTGCAGTGAGCCGAGATCGCGCCACTGCACTCCAGCCTGGGTGACAGAGCGAGACTCCGTCTAAAAAAACCAAAACCAAACCAAAACAAAACGTTCCCCACCTTCTGGAGATGAGGCATCAACACTGCAAACAGAAGGGAAAACTGTGGCAACTTCAGAAGGCATCATTTTAGGAATTTGAAGGTAAATGAATATGCACATATTTCTAGATGCAAAATGTGTCTGGATAATTTTAGAACCGTTTTGCATCTCCATTGCTTTTTGAAGCTCCCACAGGTACAAAATGCAGCCGTTTTCCTAAACACCTGCTTAGTTTCTTGATCTAGTTAGATGAAAGAGCAGAACTATGAAAAATTACTCCGACAAGCATTCCTTTCATCTTCAGGCAGTAAACCATCTTTAAAATCTGATGAAAATGCTTTGAAACAAATAAAATAGCTGGATGTGGGATTCCCTGGAGAGAGACTAGGCATTTTCCCATGTTCCTCAGTTGCAAAACCAGATGTTTTGGAGTCAGAAAACTGTGGTTTTAAAATGTAAAGCCTAAATTCTTGACTTCTCTGCCCTCCTGTGACCATCATTTTAATGTGTGCAATTTATTTTTGATAATTAATCGTTTCTTTGCTCCCCCTCCTAGGTTCTGTGGTTTTTGGGGTCCAGGTACAGGTTGCTCTGGGGCTCCCAGGCATCTCTGCAATCAAGGAAATTGGTGCCAATTGTGAGTGTCCGGGTGGAGCGGGACAGGGACCAGGTGAAAGGGAGGGAGGCCTGGGGATGCTGATACAGGAGCTAGAAAGAAATTAATTTAGGTAGATAGTGAGGGTAAAGGAGTCCTCGGCAAGGTTTCCCTTTTAAAAAGAAGCAGTCCCCAAATCATTGCTTTTCTAACAAAGAGAAGCCTGAAAAATCGAGCTGCAAACACAGATAAGCAAGCTGGAAGTTTGCATGGGTGAATGCCGGCAGCTGGGCCAACAGAAAAGGGCTACCTGAGGGCTGGGCATGTTCAGCATGGAGGCGCCATCTTCCCTTTCCTTTGTCATCACTTGTACAGTAACGAGGCCGGCAACATGGCGCCAGCCAGGTAGAGAACCCACCTGCATAATAAAAGATTAGGGTGGCAGACCAGGTGCAGTGGCTCATGCCTGTAATCCCAGCACTTTGGGAGACCGAGGAAGTTGGTTCATGAGGTCAGGGAGTTCGAGACCAGCCTGGCCAACATGGTGAAAACCCATCTCTACTAAAAGTGCAAAAATTAGTCAGGCGTGGTGGTGGCACCTGTAATCCCAGCTACTTGGGAGGCTGAGGAAGGAGAATCGCTTGACCCTGGGAGGCGGAGGCTGCAGTGAGCTGAGATGGCACCCACTGTACTCCAGCCTGGGTGACAGAGTGAGATTGTCTCAAAAAAATAAAATAAAATAAAAAATAAGACTGGGGTGGCCAGCTTCTTCATGAACTATGCAAATGGCACACCTAGTCCTAACCAGTTCTTTGCGTGCTATGCACATGGCACACCTGATGCGACCAAGCTTTTGTGCTTTATGTACATCAGACAGTGCTGCCTCGAGCTCATTTATAAAACCTCGTGCACTTCACCTCAGACCAGAAGGCCCACTTGGGACCCTCTGTCTCTTCAGGAGAGTGCTTTTCTCTTTCTTTCGCCTCTTAAACTTTCGCTCTTAACCTCACTCCTTGTGTGTGCATGTCCTTGATTTCCTTGGCATGAGGCAATGAACCTCAGATACTACCCCAGACGGACAACACTGCTTTCATGTCTCAGTTTGTTTGAGTTGCTGGAAGAATGTATCAGGCTGGGTGGCTGATAAACAACAGGCATTTATTGAGGCTGCAAGTCTGAGGCCAGGGTGCCAGCACAGTGTGGCCAGGTTCTGGGGAGGGCCCTATTCCAAGTTGCAGAGGGTCATCTTTCTGCTCTGACCTCAGTGGTGGAAAGGCTCCGAGGGTTCCACCCTCATGATCTCATCACCTCCCAAAGGCCCCACCTCCAAATACTTTCATCTTGGGGGTTAGGGTTTCAACATAGGAAATCTGTAGTTACAACATTCAGTCAGGTAAAGGGAACTGGGAGTGGATGGAAACAACACCCTCTCCCTCCGGTGGGGGCGTATCCACTGTTCTCCATGCCTTCCTCCTTCCCCTCCTGCCTCTGTGTGATTTCCCTTCCCTTTCAGCCATCCCAGATGTTAATTTAAACCTGATCTCTCCCATTTAGTTTAGTCTTTGAGCACGCTATTCTCCACCTGTTTGCTGGATTACAGCTTTTGTGGGGGAGAGGGATTCATGGTGAAACGTAAAGGGAAGTGGTCTCCATTTTAATCTAAACAGTTGTGGGCACTGTGGCCTGACTGTGGAACAACAAAGGTGAGGGCACTAGCTGAAGAAGGAGTGGACATCCTAAGCCTGGCACAATAAGGATGTCTTGGGTTGAGGGTCTCAACCTGGCTCACAGCAGAGTCTCCTGGGAGCTTTGAAAATGCTTGTGCAGGGGCCCAGCCCTGGGGTGCTCCTGCAGTTGGTCTGGGTGCAGCTGACCTGGGTGCAGCTGGTCTGGGTGTAGCTGGTCTGGGTGCAGCAGCTGATCTGGGCACAGTTGGTCTGGGTACAGCAGCTGGTCTGGGTGCTGCTGGCCTGGGCACTGCTGGTCTGGGTATAGCAGCTGGTATGGATACAGCAGCTGATCTAGGTGCAGCAGCTGGTCTGGGCACTGCTGGTCTGGGTGGTTCTGGTCTGGGTATAGCAGCTGGTATGGATACAGCAGCTGATCTAGGTGCAGCAGCTGGTCTGGGCACTGTTGGTCTGGGTGGCGCTGGTCTGGGTGCAGCTGGAATGTTTAAGCTTTGCCGGTGGTTCTCATGTACAGCGAGTCTGAGAGCCTGGCCTCGGCGTGGGAAGGGCAGGGGTGATCCTGGGACCACCACAGCGTCTGTCCTTGGGACTGGCTCTTGGCTCTGCCTTGGGTGGGCTCCCATGAGTCCCATGGAGAGCCGGGGTCTTGGGAGGTGGAGGCAGCAGGTAGACACAGTACCACCAGAGAGCCTCGAGGAGCTGCACTGTCTGGGGAGCCATGTGATCCCCACCCTGTGCTAGGTACTGGGTGAGGTGTGAGAACACAGCAGTCAGTGAGATGCAGGCCCGAGTGCCCTGCAGAAGGATGCGTTAAGCTGACCAGCTGCCCTTGGCCTTGGCGGGAGCTCTGGCTCTCCTGGCCACTGGTTGGTACAGGAGTGGCCACACAAGTCGGGGAGCTGGGTGCACCCCAGAGCTGGCAGAGCAGTGGCAGCACCAGCCAGAGGGCCGAGGAGCTCAGCTTTGTGGGGACATTTTCCTTTAAGGGCAGGGCATAGGAAGAAGTGGCTGAATGGTGTAACACCAAGTTAGATTATGAAATATCCTGTGATTTGATGCTTTTTGTGGGGACACAGGACAGAGGTATTAGAAACACCTCTGCACTTTCCTGCCTCATCAGTTCTCCTGGGGGCAAGCTCCCGGGGCTTACAGGGGCAGGGAGGCTTCCAAGGTTTTGGGTGGGGCTTGGCTGTGGTGAACGGTGCTAGGAGCTGATGCAAACAGTGACGCCCTCCCGCGGGCAAGTCCGCCGGCCCCCGGGCCCTGTTCCCTCTTCTCCAGTGCTGCCTCACTTGCTTTCCTATTCAGCAGTCTCAGATGTGAATTTTAACCTGATGTCATGGATTTGGTGTGTCTTAAGGAGACTTTTTTTTTTTTTTTTTTTGAGACAGAGTTTCGCACTTGTTGCCCAGGCTGGAGTCAAATGGCATGATCTCAGCTCACTGCAACCTCCCCGCCTCCCAGGTTCAAGTGATTCTCCTGCCTCAGCCTCCTGAGTAGCTGGGATTACAGGCACTCGCCACCACACCCAGCTATTTTTTTTTTTTTTTTTTGTATTTTTAGTAGAGATGGGGTTTCACCATGTTGGCCAGGCTGGTCTTGAACTCCTGACCTCCAGTGATCCACCTGCCTCGGACTCCCAAAGTGCTGGGATTACAGGCATGAGCCACTGTGCCCGGCCAAGGACATGTTTTATCCAGGGCACCCACGTGATTTGTTCCCATGCTTTGACAGTAGAGAAACAGCCAGTGTGTCTGTCCACGGTTCCTGGGTATTTTTGAAGAGTTCTTGACTTGAGATTGCCTGGTCTGCCCTCCCTTGGAGAGGGACCAGAGACCCAAGCTTCTGGGCTTTGCAAAGCCTCCAATATTGAATCCAATACCCCATCCCCCGGGCCTCACTGGAGAACCAGTGAAGTCGTTCTTAACAAACCTGAGCGCAAGCGTGTTCCTGGTAGCTTCTCTTGTAGTGTGGGTTGTAGGGGTGGCAGGAAGGGAGCTATCAGTTTGGAAAACCAGGGCCCGCAGAGAGGGAGGCCAGTGTCATGGGTGGGATGGAATTCCAATTGAGCGGGAGAAAAGCACTCCACATTCCCTGGAGTGCAACTGAGCCCAGCCGGGCAACTGAGCTAGAAAAGGTCATTCACGGGGGCAGGTGATTGGTCAGGATCAAAGTCAATAATCCTGTGCCCTCCTTCCCGTGCTTCGGCTTTGCGGGGCGGCAGCAGAGAACCCCCAAATCCCTCGGATCGTGGGAACCTTCTGTCACAAATCACAATCATTTGTGTCCTTCACCTCGTTAGATGCTGGGGTTTTGTACTTTTTTTTTTTTTCCTCTGAGGTTCGTTCCCTGAAATATTTGTTTTTAGGAGGAGTTTGGGTTTAGGATTGTAAACTGCATTATGTCTTTAAACCCTTTTTTCAATGGACCACATTGTAAACCTGGGGGAATTTTAATATTAAAATGATGCGAAGGGTTTCTGTACCCATCTGACTTAGTTGAGTCAGTTGTGTTTTTGACTGTCACGCTGCACAGTGACTGAAAAAATATTCAAACTAGGCACGGCATCTCAGGGAAATTAACGAGCGCTCGTGCCTGGGGACGCGCAGCTGGAGTACAGAAACGCTCTTGAGACGTCTCAGCCTCCATGAGAGAACTGGGAGGCCAAACCCAGACTGTGCAGAGGTGGGGGGAGTGGGGCCCATTTTAGAGAAGAATTGTAAAGTAAAATCTGTGTGACAGCAAGTAAGAGATGTGACTCCAACATAGAGGCAGGTGACTATGGGTTCATGCAGCCGGCTAGTGCCACGTTAGGGAAAACAATTCTCAAAGTCTAGTGGTCAACGGATTGTCTGGGCCTTAGAATGCATGTCTCCAAAGGAACGTCGCGAGAACTGCTGGGGGCCTCCCAGCGGCCCTCAGAGGCCCAGTCGCTAGCAAACAGCAGCCACGACTTACTTGTCGGAACTACCCATATTTTCCTTCTGGGCAGTGTGGCTATGGAGAGAGCTTGGGGAAGGACCCAGAGGCCTGACATCTAATCCCGGCTTCACTGCTGTGGGAACAACTCAAGACCAGGCTAGGGACAGTGAGCACTGGGCTCATTGGAGAGGTACGGGAAGTGAGACCACTGTCTCTAGCAGCCACTCAGGAAGCCAGACCATAACCCCTCTAACCATCGGCCCCAAATGGCCCGGGCTTGGTTCATAACTGCCACTTCCCTAATTGTTGCCCCCGCTTACAACTCAGGAGCTTCTCCAGCAAGGGGGCCGCTCCCTCACCTATGTTTGGCAGAGACCCCAATGTGGGCAGGGGATGGGTGGGCCTCACCGTGAGAAAAGAAGGCTCCCACCTGAGCACCAGGCCAGTTCCCTGGCTGGAGGCTGCCGTCGTGGGAACCTGGAGGTGGCTCAGAAGCAGCATGTCCCAGTGATACAGAAGGGCTGGGCTCCTGGCTAACCCCCACCCTTAAGCCTGGAAGCGCAGCCCTAAGTGAAAACAGCTGACTCATTTTTCCACCTGAACGTTGCCTTTTTGGCCTGCCCCGCCCCATCCTCTGCCCATAAAAGACTTCAGCTGGCAGAGCAACACAAGCAGCTGAGCATTGAGGATACAAGCAGTTGAGCATCAGAGCTGTGGCTAGACGTGGCTAACTTCAGATGGTGTGGCTTCAGAGAGGGCCGGGCTTCTGGGAGAGATCACCTTCCCATCCCCTTTCCAGCCTCCCTTTCTGCTGAGAGCCACACATCACTTAGTAAAGTCTTCCGCATTCATCACCTTTCGAACAGCTCGCGTGACCTGATTCTTCCTGGGCACTGGACAAGAACCCGGGTGCCGAGAGGGCAGGGGCTGCCACCCTGACCCTCCACTGAGCTGGTTGGTACTTGGCTGTTCCTGGACAGCAGAGCTGAAAGAGCATTGGTTGTAACATGCTTGGACGCTTCTGCGGGGCCCTCACGGAGCCCGCTCCCGCCAGAGGCGAGCCACGGGCAGCTTCCAGCCACTCCAGTTGCTGTCCTCAAAGGGGTCAAGGGATCGTGTCCTGTCTCACCAGGAGATTGGCTGGGGCCACATTTGGCTTTCTCTGGTTGGTCCTGAGTTGCAAGTGGGGACAACAATTAGGGAAGCGGCAGTTATGAAGCAAGCCCGGGCCATTTGGGGCCAATAGTTGCAGGGGTTATGGTCTGGCTTCCTGAGTGGCTGCTTGAGACAGCGGCCTCACTTCCCGTACCTCTCCAATGAGCCCAGGAGCCGGCCTGTAAATAGCGGGGCTGGTTGCTGTGGAGACAGTGGCCTCACTTCTCACAAGCCTGGCTTGTAGATAGCAGGCTGGCTCCTGGGCTGGTTGCTGTGGAGACAGTGGCCTCACTTCCTGTGCTCCTGGCTTATAGACAGTGGGCCAGCTCCTGGGCTGGTGGCTACAGCTTGTATCTCCAGGCTCTGTGTCCACAACTGGTCTGGGCTGGTGGCTACAGCTTGTATCTCCAGGCTCTGTGTCCACAACTGGTCTGGCTGTTGTCCATTTGCATATCCAGGCTCTCACCACTGCCGATGGCTTCTCTGGCCTCTTATGAGCCACATAACCGATGTAGCCCTCTGTTCTTTCATGTGTAAAAAGTCAAGGGTGCAATGTACATGATCTCTGAGATATCTGCCAGTTCTAAAATTCTATAAAATAATTAAGTTGCAAGAAATTACAACTTTATGTCCACTTAGGTCCCGGGTGGGCCCCTGCACAGAAGCAAATGTTTGCAGGCTCTCCTTGCTCTGTTCGGAGGCTCCTTCAGTTTATCGCAGACCGTTAGGGTCCTGGGAAGACAGCTTGGACAGACTCACCTCCCACAGAAGGATGCTGAGGTCCAGAGGAGGGAGGGGAGTTGCAGGTCCACCCTGTACCATACGACTCCCAGCCCAGGACGAGCGGGGCCAGCACTTCCCAGACTGGAAGCTGTATGCGAAGTCCCGGCCAGGCTCCTGTCTGTGTAGAACCGCCTATAGCGGGGCCTGTGAAGCTGCATTTCTCGGTGCCCAGTCGATGCTGGTGCTGCTGGTGTCCCACCAGGCTTTGAGGAGCCAGAGACTGGACGCTCTGGCAGGTCCTCACGCTGTGCCCCCATGGAGGCTGGTGCCAGGCAGCACGGGGCTCTGCAGCCGACGGGAGCAGACCCGTCTGCATGGAGGTAGACACTGTCAGTAAACAGACCCAGCTACCGAACTTGAAACCACTGGGGACTAATTAAGTGCCTGTGTGAAGATTATAAGCGCAGTGGGAGTTGGAAGGACGCGATCTGTGAGCTCATTGTCCCATGGGAAGCACTGCCTGGCTGTGCTTGTGCCTCTGGACACCTGACTTCATCACAGTCACTATGACCTCTCAGAAAGAAATACGAGTGACATGCCCCACGCCTGTGCTCACAGCACACACTGTGTCTCTGCATCACGAGGGCCGGCTCCAGGTGGAGTGGCTACTTTCCCATAGCCCTCCCGCTCCCACGCCCTCTGCATCCCTGTCCCCATCCTCAGGCACTGGGAGTGAGCCACACCTGCCTGCCTCTCTGTGGCACTGACACTGAGGCTTTTCAGCCCTCTGCTTATCCCCAGCCCCCTAAACTGCTTCCGCCACAATCCCCCTTACTTTGGGGCCTTCTGACCCAGTGGCTGGCCACTGGATCCTGAGGGGCCGATGAGGTTGATGTCCTGTGGTGAGCTGAGGCACGCTGCAGCTTGGCTCTGCTTCCATTCTGAGGTCCAGCACGGCCCCTGCAGCACTGGTGGCCAGTTGGATGCCACAGCCCCTGGGCTCTGCCCCATCTGCTCAGCATGTGGACCCAAAAGAGCTGCCCTCCTAAGTGAGGGAACACGTATAAAAACATGCAGACAGGAACACCTAAAGCACACACAGACACATGTGTGAACACATAAAACACATGAACACAAAACATACAGGAACACACAAAACAGGAACACATAAAACAGACACGTGAACACAAAACAGACACACGTGTGAACACATAAAACACGTGAACACAAAACAGACACATGTGAACACAAAACAAAACACAGACGTGTGAACACAAAACACGGGAACACACAAAACACAGGAACACAAAACACACGTGAACACATAAAACACAGGAACATATAACACAGACAGGAACACATAAAGCACAGGAATGGATATGAGCACACACGGAAATGGGAACGCATATAGGCAGGAATGGATATGAACACACAGAAACAGATGTGAACACACAGAGGAACGGATATGAACACATGCAGACAGGAACAGATATGAACATACAGAAAAGTGAACACTTATAGACAGGAACGTATAAAACATAAACAGATAAAGCAAACAACCCCAGCAGGGGCCATAAAAAGGAAACCGACAAGGAGTAGGGGTGGCTGAAACCCGCACCCAGCGGAGGTGAGAGTGGGGCCAGGCCCGAAACAAGCTTGGGATGATGCCCTGTCAGTGACAGCACAGGACGGCAGAGTGTTAACATTTCAATAGCTCCAAACATGCTGAAGACATTTCCCAGCTAGCACGATGGTGAGTGCCCTGTAATCCCAGCTACTCGGGAGGCCAAGGCTGGAGGATCGCTTGAGTCTAGGAGTTTGAGACCCTCACCTCTAAAAACAACAACAAAAAGATATTTCCCAGGAAAAAAAGGACAAAACATTTAAAAATACATGAAAAAGACGAGAAAATCAGACGCTCACTGTGGCAGCCCAACATCCAACAAGTG
Organism: Homo sapiens; assembly: GCF_000001405.40. Lineage (NCBI taxonomy): Eukaryota > Metazoa > Chordata > Mammalia > Primates > Hominidae > Homo > Homo sapiens. Next base: position 155,588,043 of record NC_000007.14, on the reverse strand, counting down.
GGAACTCCCAAAAGTGAGGCTGGAGCACAAGGCCAGTGGAAGGACCTGAGTTTCCAAATCGAAAGGCCCCTGGTTTGTGTTGAACTGTGTGCCCTGCTCCACATTCAGATGCTGAAATCCTAACCCCAGGGTGACCTTATTTGGAAACCGGGTTTTGCAGATGTGATTAGTCAGGTTTAGATGAAGCCTTGCTGGAGTAGGGCGGGCCCCCAGTCTAATATGACTGGTATCCTTGTAAGGGGACATGTGGACAGAGACGGTTGCAGAGGGATAGCGCCGTGTGAAGATAGGAGTGAAGCAGCCACAAGCCAGGGAGCGCCACGGCTGGACAGCCACCCCAGGGGCAGGAGGAGGCCTGGACAGATCCTCCCCAGGGACCTCCAAGAGGAGCCAACCCTGCTGGCACCTTGAAATGGGACTCCCAGCCCCAGAGCTGGGAGGCAATGCATTTCAGGTGTGGATGAGCCCCAGCCCGCGGTGCTTCATTTCAGCAGCCATGGGAAATAAACACAGGCCCCTTGAACGCCCAGACCCGTAAGGGAGGAAAAACTCACACAAAAGCATATTGTCACAACGTCTCAGGACACCAGTGATGAACAGAAGCTTCTAAAAGCTTCCAGAGAAAAAGCAGGTCCAACAAATACTCAAAGGAAAATGACATATGACTTTTGGGTCCACCTGGTTGCTGTGAGAAGCGGATGAGAAGACATAATTGTGTGTGCAGGGACCCCGCAGGGCGACGCGGCTGCGGGACAAGAATTAGATGGGGCGGGAAAGGTTCTTGGGCCTCAAAGGAGGACACCCCAGTGATGGAGATGGGAGGAAGGACGGGGGAGAGCCGTGGCCTGTGGCAGCCCAAGGTCATGGGGGTCCTCATGCCATCACGGCCATCAGAGGAGACGAGGGACCTCCAAGAACAGCGCTGCCTTGGAACCCCATCATGTGCCACCCTGGCTGCACAGATGTGGCCACAGATTTCAGAGCAGTGCAGCTGGGACTCTGAGCCAACCATGCTCCTGGTAGCTGGAAATGCGAGGTGCAGATGGAAGTGTGGGGGCAGAAGGAGGCATGTGTGGGAGGATGAAGGCGCAGGTGGTGGGTGGAGGAGCAGGTGTGGGGGTGGAGGCATTGGGGGGCATTCTCATGGCTCCACACCTTTTCAAGCACAAGCTAGAAGGTCACATTCCATGATAAGCCTTTGGAATTCAGAAGGAACGTGACTTCCCACCAGGAATCCCCTACCCAGTAAATCCTCAATCAGGTATGAGAGTGGAATATTTATAATTTTATAAGGTCTCAAAAAGTATCTTCACTGTGGTGTGGTGGTGCGTGCCTTTAGTCCCAGCTACTTGGGAGGCTGGGGCAGGAGGATCGCTTGAGCCCAGGAATTGGAGTCCAGCCTGGGCAACATAGTGAAACCTGCCTCAAAAAAAAAATCTTCACCCTTTTTTTGAAGCTCCTGGAGATTTTGTTCCATTTAAAGAGGGGAGTAAACAAGAAGGGAGGCATGGAATCCAGGACATGGGGGAGCTGATGGGGAAGTGCCTGGTTCAGCTAATCAAGGGGTGCTTTACTACCCTGAGAGGGAGGTTGAGCTCTGCCGGAAAAGCTGGATATGAATTTAAGGTGGGTATAGAAAATTAAGCGAATGAGGAAAAAAGTCAGTTAACTCCAGGATATACAAAATTTGTACAAGAAAGGAAATGTAATCAAGTGCAGGGACTCAGTGGTAAGAGGTAGCTCCACAATCATAATGTCAATGCTGGGCATGGATTTAACAAAAACAAGCACATGCCCAGGCTGGGGGAACGAACAGGGGGGCATGTGAATATGTGTCTGCCACAGCGCATGTGTGTGCAGCTTCGTGTGTGTGCAGCTCTGTGTGTGTGTGCAACTGTGTGTGTGTGTGTGCAGCTGTGTGTGTGTATGTGTGCGTGCAGCTCTGTGTGTGTGTCGGGGGCGGTTACTGAGGTAATTCCTCATCCTAGATAGGAAGTTCAGTGAGTGCAACATTGAAATGCTAAGAGATGGCAGTACATGGCTGTTTATTTAGAAATGTGGAGCTCAGTAGGAAACAATCTGCAAAGCTGGAAGTGTTGCTTCTGGGGAGTGAGCACTGCAGGTGCAGTGGGGGCCAGGTTTTACATGTGCTGCTTTGAGAAACATTAAAAGGATAACTGATATCCCCCAAAAAGCACCGCAGTATGAACACACACACACAAACACACACATAAACACACGCATAAACATACATGCATAAACACACACATAAATACACGTAAACACACATACGTAAACACACGCACACACACAAACCCATAAACATACGCATAAACACATACACACATAAGCACATAAACACACATACACACATACACCCATACAAACACATAAACACACAAACACACATATACACATAAACACATACGTATACACACATAAACACATACATATACACATGAACACACACACACTCTGTCTCCCCTGTGTGTAGCCTGAAACGTCAAAGAATCGGCCGAGAGAAAAGGTGAGCCCCCTAGAGTGGAGAATTGACGGGCCATGTTGCAGGAGGAGCCTGGCTGATCTGAAGTTCCTCATTCCCGCCCTGGTCTGGGTGTGCTTGCCGTCATTTCTGAGGCATGTGCTTTTGGCTGGAGCCCCAGGTACAGCTCAGCTGTGCTCAGATTAACAGCGTCCATCAGATGGAAGTAGATTTTCCTCCCTGTGTGCTTCTGATAACACAGGCTGGATGTGTTCTGGGGAAGGATGAACCAAATGCATACAGCTTTTCTTATGATGAGAGGAAACAGGGAAAAACATGCACGATGCAAATGCAATATTATTTATGATCCGTTGGAACATTATTTCCCTAGCGTGAGCCCTGTTAAACACAGCCTTACTGTGCCTCAGGCAACGAGGCACATATGGCTGTAAACTCCTATTACAACTGAGAGCAGAATTGAGGTCTGATCCGATCATCGCCCTGCTGCTGGGGAAGTTTAATGATAGCTAGAGATGCTTAGTGTCTAATTTGTTTTGTCAGAATTGTGGTTCCCAAGGTCACGAATGCTGCAGCATTGCAGCCTGCAGAATATGGCGTGTCACGTGGCATGACAGATCATGAGAGCAGCTATGTTCCATCTGAGAAAGACCGTCTTATGCCAAGCTTTGTTTTCAGTGGCTTTAGTTCAAGGACAGTTGGTGCAATAGCAGGGCTGGAAGTGGTCTTGTAGCTCACTGAGTAATATCCCCTCACTTGGTGGAAACGTGGAGTCCTGGGGTCGTTGTGACTTGCTCCACGTCAGTCCATTATTGATGTTTCAGAAACACTTTCTACTGGGTGTCCATTGTGTCCCAGACTGGAAGTTATGTCCAGTGCCAAGGTCCAGGGAGAGTGGTGCCCAGCCCAGCCCAGGGAGCCCCTCTCTGGAGGATTGGTGGGTTGGGGGTTCCGATGGAGGCTGGAGGTGCTGGAACCAGGCTCAGACTCACAAGGAGGGGCAGGATGGTGCTCTGGGAAGTCTTCCTGGAGGAGCTGATCTTGACTAAGTCTTGAAGGACTAGGAACCACTGGGAAGGGTGGCTCAGCCTTTCAGACCGAGGGGCAGCCTGTGCGCAGAGGTGCAGTGCATGTACAGAGCTCTCAGCAAGGTGCCCAGAGGATGGTGCTGCCGTGTCGCAGCCAGGGGCCCCTCGTGCAGGGCTTTTATGCCAATGCAGAGGATAACCCTTGGGGTCACTCTTCCACTGTCCTCATGGGTAGCATCCGGCTTCCTTCTCTCCATACGAATCTCCCTTATCCTTAAGGTAATGTGGGAACCCTTGGTGGAACTTGGTAGAACTTGGGCATTCGGGTCTTTGGGTCACAGTTGGGTTGGTTTTCAGCAGCATGACTGTGGAGAATGTTGTGGAGAGCCTGGAGTGGGGAGAGAAGCCTGGAAAAGAGGCCTGCAGTCATCCAGAAGAGGGAGGAGGATGGGGGTGAAGAGGAGGTGAGTTGGAAGCTATTGAGAGATTCAGTGGTTGAATGGAGGGGTCGGGGAGGGTGGTGGTCTATGGTAACTCCTGAAGCTCTCCCTGGTTGGAGGTCCATGCCCTCCCAGGCTGGGGCTGCACACTGCTGCTGGATCTACAGTACCGGAGTCTTGTGGGCACTCCTGCCCTCAGAACTCCACTGGACATTGCCCTAGTGGGAACTCTCTGAGGTGGCCCCACCTCTGTGTCAGTTCTCTCCGTGGGAGCTGGGGCTCTCCAGGCCATCCTGTGAAATCTGGATGGAGGGAACCATGTCACCACAGCTCCTATAGAGAGGGCACTGCATAGATACTGTCAGAGTTTACTGCTTGTGAGTTCCAGAGGGGTGGGCTGAGCTGCACCTGGGCCTGCTTGAGCCTAGGTGGGCTTGAGCCCAGGTGGGGTGGCCAAGGAGCACTGCATTGGAACATGGGCAGCAGAGCCTTGAAATCATTCTATCCCCAAGGCCCTAGCGCTCTGGACCTGTGACAGGCAGAGCAGCCCTGAGAAGCTCAGAAGTTCCTGGGGTCACTCTTCCACTGTCTTGATGAGCAGCATCCAGCTTCCTTTTCTCCATACCAATCTCCTTATCAGCGGTCGCTTGGCTACACCCTTGATTTTTCTCCTAAACATGCTTTTTTGCTCTGTATGTGGCCAGGCTGAAAATTTTCCAAATCTTTAGGTTCTCTTCCCTTTTGATTATAAATTTCATCTTTAATTCATTTCTCTCTTCTTTCATTTTACTATAAGCAGTCAAGAGAAGCCAGGCTGCACCCTCAACACTTTGCTTAGTTATTTCTTCTGCTGAATACCTTATTTCATTGTTCACAAATTCATCCTTCCACAAAGCACTAGGAATGAACACAATTCAGCCAAGTTCTTTGCCACTTCATAGCAAAGATGGCCTTTCCTCCAGTTTCCAATAACATGTTCCTCTCCTCCTTCTGAAACTGCATCAAAATGGCCTTTACTGCCCATATTTCTACCAACATTCTCATTCTGACCTCTTATCAATCTTGAGGAAGATTGAGGTTTTCTCAGAGGCTCTCTTCTTCTTCTGTGCCTATACCTGAATCATCCTTGCTGTTCTGTTCACAGCAATGTAGGCTTTTTCTAGCATGCACCTCCAAACTCTTCCAGCCTCTACCCATTACCTAGCTCCAAAGAAGCTTTCACATTTTTAGGTATTTGTTATAGCAACATCCCCACTACTGGTACCAATTTCTTTCTTAGTCTCTTCAGGCTGCTATAACAACATACCTTAGATTGGGTAACTTAAAAAAAATAGATATGTAATGCTAACCATTCTAGAGACTGGGAAGTCCAAGATCAAGAGCCACAAAGCTTCAGCATCTGGTGAGGGTCTGTTTCTCATAAAGAGCACCTTCGATGTGCTCTCACATGGTGGAAGGGGTGAATATGTTCTCTTGGGCCTCTTTATAAAAGAGGCACTCCTTATAAAGTGCCTCCTTATAAAGGGCACTGATTCCATTAGTGCTTTGACCTCATGAGTAATCACCTCCCAAAGGCCCTACTTCGTAATACCATAACATTTGGGCTTAAGTTTCACCATGTGGATTTTGGGGGGATACAGACATTCAGACCCTCATAGAAACCTTCCCTGTAGTGTAGCCTTTTCTACACCTGTCCTCTGCAGGTGCCCCTTTCCTGCCCTGTCCCTCCTTATGCCAAAAGGGGAAGATCACTCCTTCACCTTCTCAGTTGAATTCATTCTCCAGGGCTTTGCTATTCCATGGGCTCCCTCCAAGCCTGGCAGTCACCTGTGCAAATAGGGGGTGGTGAGACCTCCCCACACTCTTCTTGGCCGGCCCTGGCACCCAAGGACCCCCTCAGGAAAAGGGGCTCACTTCTTGTCTGCACAGGGAAAGCAACATGTAACAGAGGGGAGGCCGCAGCCTTTCTCTGCACTTGCACAGGTGTTGGCGTAGCTACTAGACATACAGGCCTTCACTCTTACACGCATTTATCTAAAGCGAGTGATTATTGTTGGTTACGCTCGGGGGTAAAAGGGCCACGTGATCCCTGCCCACGAGGTTTTCAATCTAAGTAAAAGAGACAAAACAATTCAATGAAAGAAAAATATATATCCCAGTAAACGAGCCGGTGCTTTAAACCTCAGAGGGGTGAGGTTATTGGCTTTTTCTCTTCTTATTCATTCTTTTTTGCCTGGAGGGGAAACTTTCAACACTACCTTGCCTCAAAAACTCCTTAAATGTGAGATGCCATGTTAATACAAATTTATGGTATCCATTATAAGATGGGATCTAGCAATTTCACATGGAAAAGGCTGCCCAGCATTGAGACTGGTTTGGCCTGAGAATCTGAGGCTCTGGCCACCCTGTCTTGATGGCTTTCAGGGGCCAGCTCTGAGGCTGCAGGTGGTTGTGGACTCTGGCCAGGTGCCACTGGCGTGTCCAGCACCCACCACTGCTCTTGCTCCCCGTTGCTGCCGGGAAGCTGTGACTCCTGCCCTGGGAAGCTGAGGCATCAGATTCTTTGCTTTGGAATTTCTGACCCTCCCTCTGTGTGGCCTCTTCCCACCCACAGGTTGTATCAGGATGTAGGGCTCTGCAGGTGCCAGCACGCTGGAACTCATGCTCGGGTTGGCGGGTGGTTGGAGGAGTGTGGGCTGTGCTTTTTCATCCCCGCATCCCCAGCACCTAGCATGGAGAAGGGGTGTGATCAATATCTGTCGGAAATGGAACAAGCCTCGGGATAAACAGCCTCATCCTGGGATGTGCCAGACAGTGGTCATTGTTCTAAAGGCTCGGTGAGTGCAGTCAGGTTATCCTGACCTTGAAAGTTACTTACCCAGTGCAGAAAAGCAGACTTTCCTTCCTGAGTCTCCTCCCAGAACAATAGGCAGGTGCCCGGTGGTGCAGTTAGCAGAAGGCAGCTCTGCGGTTCCCCAGGAGGGACCCATCTCTCTCCCCAACTTAGCATTTTTATCCTCACCAGCTCCTGGACATCTGGCCAGAATGACACCCAGGAATTTTCATTTTGCCCAGTATTCAGGCCAACTGTTTGGGGTCATGGGCTCTAATATGCCTCCAGACAAGCTTGCTGGAGTCTTTCCTTGGGTGGACAACTCAGGTTGAATGAAAGAGGCTTTCATTTAGCCTGTTCCCTGTGACTACATACACAGCAGAATGTGAGCAGATACTACCCCAGGAAAGTGACCGCAGAGGGCAGGTGTGGTCCTGGGCTCTCCTCTGATGGAGAGAGGACCCTGGCTTGTGTCTGTGTGTTGATCTCTGTGTTACACAGTGGTTTTGGTACAGAATCCTAAGTACCCCTTGCACCACCCTGCAGATGGAAAGCATTGTTAATCCACTTACAGGTGAGCAAATGGAGGACAGTAGAGACTTGGTGACTCATCCTTGGCCACACAGCCTCCACGTGGGTGAAAATGAGTCTTGAATCTTGGTCTTCTAATGCCAGATATGCCTCCCCCATGAAACCACATGCACAGAATAACCATGATGATGACTGAAAATGTCATCACCATGTGCCTGGGCCTCTTTGGAAGGGGTAGAGACTGGCTTTATATTCAGAAACTTGAGTACATGAGCAATGCACTTGTTTGACACGTTTATTAAACTTTCCCCATGCATGAATTCCTGTTCTCGACCCTGGAAGGCAGCTGGTCCCAGTGACTCTTACCAAGCAGGTGCAGGAGCCCCAGGTCTGCCTGGAGGAGTCATCTCCATGGGAGTTTGGGTGTCTGAGGCTTTGCTGGGATGGGAGCGCAGACTGCAGACCCCTCACCATCCTGGGAATCAGCCTTCCAGTCTCTTCCTCTCTGTGCTGCAGAGGCTTAGGACTTCCCCAGAGTCCCCAGCCCGCCACATAACCTGATTCTGTTTTCCCAGGCTGTTCCTAAACATGCCCGGGACACAGGTGTCCCCTTGGGCTACATCCCAAGCATCCCTGGGAGGAAGGTGCACTGGATCTGGCTCTACTTGGAACTTGGGAATGGGAAAATGCAGAGAGCACAGAGTGCCTTCGCACTCTGCCACCTGCTCTGCTGCAGAGGCTGAAGCTCCATGTCACGGAGCTTGGCAAAGTCATCACGTGCCACCCAGCTCCACAAACATAGTCGAGAATGGCAGTGGCTGGGGGCTCTCCATGGAGCCCCCTACACCAGGCCTTGTCATGGGACTGATGGGCACCTCTTGGCTGCCACCTTACTTCCTGGCCCTGTTCTGCCCTGGCCTCCTCGGTCTCTCTCCTCTTCAAACCGCCTTTCAGAGGCTACCGATCTTTCCTCCGCCCACTTTTGCCATTCAGCAGAGGCCCCGCCATTCCCAGGCAAGCTCGGGTTTCCATGTGGTCTGCTGCATGAACAGTCACCACAGCGTGCATCGCACCATCGCTGTAAGCATCATGAGATTCACAGAACACTTATGCTGGGCCAAGGACGGTACCAAGGATGCTACTACCTGCAATGAGATTCACAGAACACTTATGCTGGGCCAAGGACGGTACCAAGGATGCTACTACCTGCAATGAGATTCACAGAACACTTATGCTGGGCCAAGGACGGTACCAAGGATGCTACTACCTGCAATGAGATTCACAGAACACTTATGCTGGGCCAAGGACGGTACCAAGGATGCTACTACCTGCAATGAGATTCACAGAACACTTATGCTGGGCCAAGGACGGTACCAAGGATGCTACTACCTGCAACACGTGAGAACCCCTACAGCAGCCCCGGAAGACAGAGCCTATTTTTTTTTTTTTTGAGAAAGAGTCTCGCTGTATCACCCAGGAGTACAGTGGCATGATCTCAGCTCACTGCAATCCCAGGTT